>NC_000003.12:57585757-57888787 GCF_000001405.40 Homo sapiens
GTTCAAGCGATTCTCCTACCTCAGCTTCCGGAGTAACTGGGATTACAGGTGCGTGCCACCACACCCCAGCTAATTTGTATTTTTAGTAGAGACGGGGTTTCACCATGTTGGCCAGGCTGGTCTTGAACTCCTGACCTCGGGTGATCTGCCCGCCTCAGCCTCTCAAAGTGCTGTGATTACAGATGTGAACCACTGTGTCCGGCCTAAATTCTTAAAATGATTCAGTTGAGGCAGAAGTACAAGTAGGGAGGAATGTGTTTGCTTGTGAAAAAAAATCCACACTAGAACAAGAGGCTATACCTCCTTGTAGGGTGACAGTGAAGAACAAATTAAATGCTTGTAAGTATGAATCTCTCAAAACCTGAATATTCTGCAGTGTTTGCTAAAGCCCTCATAAATGAAAGATCAACATCTAATAACCTCATTGAATCTATCATTGTTCTTAGGATATCATATCTGGCCGCCTGGGTTTATCTTATCACAGATTTTTGTATCGATTCAATCAAGTATTGATTTAAGCAAGGACACTTTCTTAATATTTAAATCAAAGCATGACTTAGCACATAAAAGCAATGCTAGTAAGTTAAAAAAGAGCTGAAATTATCTCACTTATCTAATTTACATTCCTATGCAAGTAAGTCTATCTTTTATCAGTTAGTCCAAAACAGAAGCGAAGGCTACAGGCAATTCTGATTCCTTCTACCCTCTTAACAACCCTTTCTACTCTGTACCCTACCAAGAATAACTTTAAGTTCTTTTTGGAGACTCAAGCCTTTTATTCCTTTGTCCTGTAAAACCCTGTTCCCCACTTCGTACTCGGATACAGGTTTATTCCTTCCCAACTACTAGTCAGTGTGATCAGCCCACATCAAGCCCTCATTCATGAGCATAATAATAAAAACCAACTGTTATACAAGTGTTTTATTTTTTGAGCATGGAACATTATCAAAAAAATCAGAAAACATAATTCTAAAAAATACATAAAAAGGAGCTACATTAAAGTTTGGCATCTTTAGTAACAAGATATAAAACAAAGGGGGGTGGCAAAAAACAACTGGATCTTTAAATGGTCCAACAAAGCTGTCTCTTGAAAGCATCAGATTTTTAAGTTAACCAAAATTAACCTTTAAGTTCAAATATGATTAAGCCAAGTCAGAATTGAAACTGAGACGCTGATTAAGAAACACACACACACACGCACACACACAAAACTATGGTACCTGCCAGTTATCACCGGAGGTCCAACTGGACCTCAGATTGTCATTTAAAAACAAGGTAAGGCCTGGCGCTGTGGCTCATGCCTGTAATCACAGTACTTTGGGAGGCTGAGGTGGGCGAATCACCTGAGGCCAGGAGTTTGAGACCAGCCTGGCCAACATGGTAAAATCCCGTCTCTACTAAAAATACAGAAACTAGCTGGATGTGGTGGCATATGCCTATAATCCCAGATACTCTGGAGGCTGAGGCAGGAGACTCGCTTGAACCCAGGAGGCGGATGTTGCAGTGAGCCGAGATCGTGCCATTGCACTACAGCCTGGACAACAAGAGCGGAACTCAGTCTCAAAAAAAAAAAAAAAAAAAAAAAGTAAATCCAAAAATACTGACAAAGAAAAGAATTGAAGAAATCCAAGACAAATCATGACTATATCATTTTAAATTATACAAAAGCATGTAGGTAATCCAAGTTTTCTTTTAATAGGTTTTATATGTGCTTGTATGAATACTGTATGAATAATTATTTTCCTTGCTCCTCTACTGATAGGAATTTTTTTTTACCCAAAAATCATGTATTACTTTTATGAAAAGAGAAAAAAAATTGTCCAAGCAGATTTTTTTTAATTAAAATGTTGGGCTGTTTACATTTCCTGATGTATCTTTTTGAAGACGACTGCTTGAGGGCTTTAAATATATAATATTTTACATACTCATTTTACTTTTTTAAAAAGGGAAGTGTTTACAAAATCATGCAACCATTTCTAGGTCACCCCAGAATTCAAGGGGAAAAAATAATGCGCCCATAATGACTTTTAAGTATCCACAAATTATTTTCTAAATATAAATTACAAGACAACAGTTTAATGGCTCACAGCAACACAGAATGTATCTTATGCAGTTGTATCAAAAATAACAATGCTGTATAAATGCAAATTAAGAGTTTTTGAAAAAGGTATTTATAAGCTTTAATGCACGAATTAAACATATACAGTCATCACTTAAAACTTATAGTTCTTTACTCAAAAACATATTGGTCCAACAATTTTGAGCCACTTCAGTCATTTCTTATGTATTTCCTTAATGTTGCAATATTTGGCAATGAAATTTCTCCACAAAATGAAAACTATTACCAATTTTCAACTAGCCAAGATAAGACTAATCTGTATAGCCCAGCAATGGTCTCCCTCCCCTCCGTGTCCAGAAACAAGCAACTGTATTTAAAGATGTACTGGAATACTTGTTCTCCTTAACTAGACCTGCACTTTGACCAAAGTGTTACTATAGCAGGAAAACTACCTCAGAAATCTTTGCTGGCCAGGCAGTCACTCACACCTGTAATCCTAGCACTTTGGGAGGCTGAGGCAGGCGGATCGCTTGAGCCCAGGAGTTTGAAACCAGCCTGGTCAACATAGCGAGATCCATCTTTAAAGAAGAAAAAGTAAATTAGCTGGGAAGCTGTGCATGGTGGCTCACACCTGTAATCCCAGCATGTTGGGAGGCTGAGGCAGGTGGATGACCTGAGCTCAGGAGTTTGTGACCAGCCTGGACAACATGGCAAAACCCTGTCACTACAAAAAATACAAAAATTAGCCAGGTGTGAGTGGGGCACAGTGGCTCACACCTGTAATCCCAGCACTTTGGGAAGCCAAGGCGGGTGGATCACCTGAAGTCAGGAGTCAGAGACCAGCCTGACCAACATGGAGAAAGCCCGTCTCTACTCACACCTGTAATCCCAGCATGTTGGGAGGCTGAGGCAGGTGGATGACCTGAGCTCAGGAGTTTGTGACCAGCCTGGACAACATGGCAAAACCCTGTCACTACAAAAAATACAAAAATTAGCCAGGTGTGAGTGAGGCACAGTGGCTCACACCTGTAATCCCAGCACTTTGGGAAGCCAAGGCAGGTGGATCACCTGAAGTCAGGAATTAGAGACCAGCCTGACCAACATGGAGAAAGCCCGTCTCTACTAAAAATACAAAATTAGCTGGGTGTAGTGGCACATGCCTGTAATCCCAGCTACTCGGGAGGCTGAGGCAGGAGAATTGCTTGAACCTGAGAGGCGGAGGTCGCAGTGAGCTGAGATCGCGCCATTACACTCCAACCTGGGCAACAGGAGCAAAACTCCGTCTCAAAAAAAAAAAAAAATTAGCCGGTTGTGATGGCACATGCCTGTAGTCCCAGCTACTGGGTGAGGCTGAGATGGGAGGATCACTTGACCCCAGGAGGTCAAGGCTGCAGTGAGCTGTGATCGCACCACTGTGCTTCAGCCTGGGCAACAGAATTGAGACCCTGTCTCAAAACAAACAAAAATTAGGCAGGGTGGTGCCCATCTATATTCCCAGCTACGTGGGAGGCTGAGGCAGGAGGATCCCTTGAGCCCAGGGGATCAAGGCTGCAGCGAGCCATGATCACACCACTGCAATTCAGCGTAAGCAACAGAGCAAGATCCTGTCTCAAACAAACAAGGCCGGGCCCCGTGGCTCACACCTGTAATCCCAGCACTTTGGGAGGCTGAAGTGGGTGGATCACGAGGTCAGCAGTTCGCGACCAGCCTGGCCAACGTGGTGAAACCCAGTCTCTACTAAAAATACAAAAATTAGCTAGGCGTGGTGGCTGGCGCCTGTAAACCCAGCTACTTGGGAGGCTGAGGCAGGAGAATCGCTTGAACCCGGGAGGTGGAGGTTACAGTGAGCCCATACCGCGCCACGGCACTCCAGCCTGGGCAACAAAGCGAGACTCCGTCTCAAAAAAACAAACAAAAAACCCAAAAAAACAAACCTTTGCCCATAATTATGGCAGCAAGAAATACTTACATTTTAAATTTAAAAAGTTAGATCCAGCCGGGCACGGTGGCTCACACCTGAAATCCCAGCACTTTAGGAGGCCGAGGAGGGTGGATCATGAGGCCAGGAGTTTGAAACCAGCCTGGCCAACATGGTGAAACCCCATCTCTACTAAAAATACAAAAATTAGCCAGGCATGGTGGCGGGCGCCTGTAATCCCAGCTACTCGGGAGGCTGAGGCAGGAGAATTGCTTGAACCCGGGAGGTGGAGGCGCAGTGAGTCGAGATCATGCCACTGCACTCCAGCCTGGGCAACAGACCAAGACTCTGTCTCAATAAATAAATAAATAAATAAATAAATAAATAAATAAATAAATAAAACAAAAAACAAAAAAAGAACATCTATAAAAAACCTACAGCTAGTATCATAATTAGTGATGAAAAATTGAGGCCGGGTGCAGTGGCTCACACCTGTAATCCCAGCACTTTGGGAGGCTGAGGTGGATGGATCATGAGGTCAGGAGTTTGAGACCAGCCTGGCCAAGATGGTGAAACCCTGTCTCTACTAAAAAATACAAAAATTAGCCGGGCGCAGTGGCGGGTGCCTGTAATCCCAGCTACTTGGGAGGCTGAGGCAGGAGAATCGCTTGAACCCGGGAGGCGGAGTCTGTAGTGAGCCGAGATTGCGCCACTGCACTCTAGCCTAGGCAACAAAGCAAGACTCCGTCTCAAAAAAAGAAAAAAGTTAGATCCAATGATCTCAACTTTGAGGGAGAAAAAAATATTGCAGAAAGGAGTAAGACTGGAAAGACAAAAGAGTATTTTCAGATGGATAAAAAGATTTTTCATGTTTTCCTTTATCTTTCAAATTATCTACAAGTTTGAAATATACCTTCATAATTATAAGTGTGTGTGTGTACATATATATACATTTGTTTTTTGAGACAGGGTCTCGATCTGTCACCCAGCCTGGAGTGCAGTGGTGCAAACATGGCTCACTGTAGCCTCAAACTCCTGGGCTCCAGCAATCCTCCCACCTCAGCCTCCCTAGTAGCTGGGTCTACAGGGGCACGCCACCATGCCCAGCTAATTTTTAAAATTTTTTTGTAGAGATGAGGTCTTGCCATGGTATGGTGCCCAGGCTGCGTAATAGTTTAAAATAATAATTTAAAATTGAATATTTACTGCATTCTAAGCATAGTAGGTGATTCTATACATTTTTGGACTTTAATTCTCACAATAACCTTTCATTTTTCAGATGAGACATTTAATGTCCAGAAATGTCCCCCACAGTCACAGAAACAGAAGAACAGATATTTAAAAACCTGAGTCTTGCAGAAAAATTAGAACCCTCATATATTGCTAGTGGGGATGTAAACGAGGATGTAAAATGGAAATGTTTGTCAGGTCCTCAAAATGTTCAAGACGGTTACCATGACACAATTCCGCTCCTAAGTATTTATCAGAGAATTTAAAACACATGCCCACACAAAAACTTGTTCATGAATGTTGAAGAGCTAGAAAGTGAAAACAACCTAATTTTTATCATCTGATGAATGGATAAATAAAATGTGGTTTATCCATACAATGTAATTACTATTTGGCCATCAAAAGAAATGAGGTGCTTATGTGAATTTAATGAAAAGGAAAAAAAAAAGAATGAAGTACTAATATACGCTATAATATGAATGAACTTTTTTCTTCTCTTTTCTTTTCTTTTTTTTTTTTTGAGACAGAGTCTCACTCTGTCACCTAGGCTGGAGTGCAATGGCACGATCTCAGCTCACTGCAACCTCCACCTCCCGGGTTCAAGGGATTCTCGTGCCTCGGCCTCCTGAGTTGCTGGGACTACAGGTATCTGCCACCACACCCGGCTAATTTTTGTATTTTGAGTATAGATGGGGTTTCACTATGTTGTCCAGGCTGGTCTCGAACTCCTGACCTCGTGATCTGCCCGCCTCAGCCTCCCAAAGTGCTGGGATTACAGGCGTGAGCCACCGCGCCCGGCCATTATGAATGAACTTTGACAACATCATGCCAAGTGAAAAAAGCCAGACAAAGAGGCCATAAATCATGATTCCATTAAATGAAGTGTCCGGAATAGATTAACCCATAGAAACAGAAAACAGATTACGGGCTGGGAAGAAAGGGGAATGGGAATTATTACTAATGGGTATCAGGTTTCTTTGAGGGATGATGAAAAATTCTGGAATTAGACAATGGTGATGGTTACACAACTTTGAATACATATACTAAAACCCACGGAACTGTACACTTTAACAGGGTAAACTTTATGGTCTATGTATTATATCTTGATTTTTTTATTAAAAAATTTTCTAAAAAGCCAAAACCAAAAAACCTAGTTCTGATGCCAGAGACCTCAAATACTATTTACATGCTGCCATCCTGCCTTTAGGTTTTTCTGGTGGACATACTGTATCTTAATATTTTGGCCAGGCACGGTGACTCATGCCTGTAATCGCAGCACTTTGGGAGAATGAGGCAGGTGGATCACCTGAGGTCAGGAGTTTGAGACCAGCTTGACCAATATGGTGAAACCCTCTCTACTACAAATATGAAAATTAGCCGGGCATGGTGGGAGGGGGCCTGTAATCCCAGCTACTGGAGAGACTGAGGCAGAAGGATTGCTTGAACCCAGGAGGCGGAGGTTGCAGTGACCTGAGATTGCACCACTGTACTCGAGCCTGGGTGACACAGTGAGACTCCATCTCAAATATTTTTTATCAAATTCATCAGATGCTTGACCAACCAAACTGAAACTCAGGCCACCAGTTATACGGAAAAATGTGAACTTAGGTTCTGCTTCTACACACGGATGAGAAACATCTACATTTTTATCAGTTAATTAGCAGCAAATTATCAAAGTTTCCGACAGCCTATTGCACTACTATAATAATGCAAAAGGGTGCATCTAAGGATGGCTGTACCTATCAGCCAGTGGCATGAAACAGGATTTTTGCCTTTTCTGTTTCCTATATTCACATAATCAGAAGAGCCTGTTTTTTTAAAGGCTGGCAGTTATATGTTCAACCAATAACCTGAGAAAATGCTTGTAATAAGCTAAATCAAAAAGAGAGGACACAAAACTAAACATCACAACTACAATTTTAGAGGAACAAAAACTTCCTCTTAAAAGGCTGAGCGTGTACCAGGTGTGGTGGCTTACACCTGTCATCCTAGCACTTTGGGAGGTCGAGGCAGGAGGACCTCTTGAGCCCAGGAGTTTGAGATCAGCTGGGCAACAGAGCAAGACCCCCATTCTCTACAAAATAATTTAAAAATTAGCCGGGCATAGTGGCGCCTGTAGTCCTAGCTACTCCAGAGCCTAAGGCAGGAGGGATTGCTTGAATCCAGGAGTTCAAGGCTACAGTGAGCTATGATCATGCCACCTGTATGTGCCCCAGAGTATGGGTGACAGAGCAAAACCCTGTCTCAAAAAATAAAAATAAAAATAAGGCTGAGAGTAAATATGACAGAATAGTGGAATTACAGATAGGTAATTATCACTTTATTCTTTTACCTGTTTTCTAAATGTAACAGAAGGAACACATACTACTTTTAGAATCAAGAGGAAAAACATAAAAAAATTACATAAATAGATGGATTTACAAAATATGCTAAGAAACAAATATAAAACACCACTCTTTAGCTTGGTAATATTTTTTAAAGTGACAAATATAGGATCCTTTCTCCTGAACATCTCTAGACCCCCAAAACCACAGTCACATTCAAGACAATACAGAACTACACTGGCATACTACACTACACTGATATCAGCAAACTTTTTAAAAGTAACACTTTTTCAGCTTTTCAACAGGCAAGAACTGGAAAGTTCAAAGTAAAGAGATCAGAATTAGTAATTCCTCTGCAGAACACATTAGTATTTTTGGATATATACATAATTTAAGGATTCACTTAACAACATTACATCTTATCATGGATCAAGATACAGAAACCAGACTTAAAATAGGACAATGCAGCCAGGCTCAGTGGCTCGCCCTGTAACCCTAGCACTTTTCGAGGCCGAGGTGGGCGGGATCGCTTCAGCCCAAGAACAGGCAAGATAGTGAGACCTTCTTGCTACAAAAAATGTCAAAAATTAGCCAGGCAGGTCTAATGGCATGTCCTTGTTGTCTCAGCTACTCAAAAGGAAAAAAAACATAATTATTTAAAAAATATATACAAAATACAGAAGCTGGCTGGGTGTGATGGCTCATGCTTGTAATCCTAGCACTTTGGGAGGCCAAGGCAGGTGGATCACCTGAGGTCAGGAGTTCGAGACTAGCCTGGCCAACATGGTGAAACCCCGTCTCTACTAAAAATACAAACATTAGCTGGGCTTGGTGGCGGGCGCTTGTAATCCCAGCTACTGAGGAGGCAGAGGTTGCAGTGAGCCTAGATCATGCCATTGCACTCTGGCCTGGGAGACAAGAGTGAAACTCCATCTCAAAAAAAATAAACAAAATAAAATACAGACGCTATTGCTTTATTTTTATTTTTTTCAAATAGATACGGGGTCTTGCTATGTTGACCAGGCTGGCCTCAATGTGATCCTCCCAACCTGGCCTCCCAAAGTGCTGGGATAATAGGCGTGAGCCACCACACCTGGCCAGAAGCTATTGCTTCCTAACTCGAGCAGTATGGGCAATATCATCACTTGCATAACTTACCCTTATAACTAGTACATAATTTCTGTCAATCAATAGTTCAGATGATGTTAAATTTGATACACTGTGTTGGTTTTTTAATTACAGTTAACTACAAGCTAACTTCCAATATCTTTTAAAGTTACTTGAACTTTTGAAGAACAGCAGGTGTACGAATTAAATTTAAAACTTCTCCATAGTAGTTTGGCAAACCTGACACATCAGCTAACTGCTATCTCCTTTATACTTTAAAATGGTAAAGTCTGAATAAAACACTGACTCAGGAGGGCATGAATCTTATCTAAGCTTTATAAAGAAAAACGAAGCACACTAATGTAAAACATTAATAATTCCAACAGTTGAATGGGGCAGACACTTTAAAAGTGATCTATTATTTTTGCTGTCAGTCACTCATAAAGCCAGACAGAAAAATGTAAGAATTATCAAACTTCCAAACCACCTTTTTCCCTGTTCATGCACATATCTCCCTCGTACGTTGATACTTCCTTTGATGAGTTACCATAAATGTCGATCTTGTGACTGAAGTGTTTTTTAGTCAAGGAAAACTGATTATCCCAAAATTAAAGTGCAAAACGATAGCATGCCTGAGTAATAAAACATTAAAAACAAGTAACTCCTAAATCCTCCACACAAATGCAGAAACTTAAATATTTTTTCTCTCCCATTTTCTTCGAATCATTTTTTGGGGTGGAGGGAAATGCCTCCCAATATAGTAAATATATGAAAATGCTGGTAGCATACTTCTATATTCCTTGCCCCTCTGATACTTTCATCAATCACAAAAGACTAAGGAATTGAAAAATAGCAATTCATTTACAATAAATCTTAAGTAAAAAGACCAATATACTATGTGTTCTGGAACATAACCATATATTGTTAAATCTCTTTAACGAACAGACTGGAAATTCATTTATCACAGTCCGAAGTCCTCCCATTAACTTCCGATCCTTTTTCAGACTGCCAACTTTCAGCCACTGAAAACTTAAATATGCTTGCCCTCCTAAAATAATTCTGTCCTCTTGACAAAGGAAATCTAAGAAACTTTGAAAGAAAAAATACTTTATGAATGACTCATAAACAATTGATTCACAAAGTGTAAGTACGCTAAGAGGAAAATAAACATGAGCCAATGTATATACTGTTACTCTTTATATACCTTGAAATATTACAGAAGCTTGTGTTTGCAAGTTTTGATGGTAGTACAGCTCTAAAATAAAACCTCCGGCCGGGCGCGGTGGCTCACGCCTGTAATCCCAGCACTCTGGGAAGCCTGGGTGGGTGGATCACCTGAGGTGAGGAGTTCGAGACCAGACTGGCCAACGTGGTGAAACCCCCGTCTCTACTAATAATACAAAAAATTAGCCAGGCGTGGTGTTGCATGCCTGTAATCCCAGCTACTCGGGAGGCTGAGGCAGGAGAATCTCTTGAACCCGGGAGGTGGAGGTTGCAGTGAGCCGAGATTGCGCCACTGCACTCCAGCCTGGGTGACAAGAGCAAAACTCCGTCTGCAAAAAAAAAAAAGGAAGAGAAAAATAAAACCTCCTCCGGTAGAAAACAAGCTAATGAACCAACAAGTTTCAACGTTCAAAGTTAGAGGGGCTTCTTTCAGCGTTATTCTAGTCCATGGAGCTCAGCTGTGATGTAGACTGCTTACAGTAACCGGGAGCGGTTGCTTACTTCAGCCAACTGACAGCCCTTCTCCCTCAGCTGAGCAAAAACACGCCCCCTAAAAAGTAGTTTTTAAAAAGTCAACTTTCTAAAAAGAAATTTTAAAAAAATTGTAGTTACTATTTAACAAGACTACCATAAAATTCAGCGTCATGATGTTCAGTTACTTGAAAATTTATCAGGTATTTTTTAAAAATTCGTTTCTAAAATTTTTTTGCATTAGACCTTAGACCGCCTAAAAATAAGCTTAAAAACCTAGGAGAATAAACCAAACACATTTAAAGTTTTTGAAAATAGTCAAAGAAATAGAAGATAAGCTCAGTTTTCGGAGAATGAGATTAACAAGGAGCGAAAAACTTGAAACGGAATCCAGCGCAAGGCCAAGTTTAGCAAAGTGAGCGCTGAAGGACTCCAGACTCTTCGGAAACCTTGGGTGCTCCCTGGCCACCGCAACTTCCTGCCCCGGGCGGCTCCAGGCTCCGGGTGGCCGCTGGCTTACATACCAATGGAGTATGCAGGGACTGTACACGAAACGCAGAAGGGGAGGGAAAAGGCTGGAGTTGCTCTGCCTCCCTCCTGACCGCTGTCCACACCCGGGCAAGAAGGTATGCAGATCGCACCCCCAGAAAGGGCCTCGCCAAGTGTTTGCTTCCCAGAGTTGGCTTTCCCCACATCTCTGCCCAATGTTGTCCAGCTTTCAATAAGATCAAGGAGAAAAAGCCGAGTCCAGAAAGAAATCTTGCCCGAAGCCCTGTCCCTGTCTCGTCTGGCGACAGATCGGGGGCGGGGGGGATCGCTCACCCTCCGCTCCATTGTTCCCCCTTAAGAATTCCTTCCGACCCCCGACCCGGCGCCCCTCCCCCACCACAGCGGGCGGAGGAAAAAAACAGGCCCAGAGGCCACCCCAATTGTGGAGACCCTGCCTTTCCCAGGTCCCGCCTGACTCGCAGCCCCTCACTCACCCATCAAAATGCGCATCTGCTTCTTGCCAAATAGTCGGGAGAAGAGGGAGGAGATAGTGAGGCCCATGGCGGTAGTGGCACTTGTGATGGGCAGAAGCAGAAGGGGTTTGGGGCGACCCCGTGCTTTCTCCTTTCAAGCTCCCAGGCAAACTAAACGAGAGGGAAGAGAAAGAGCGGAGGAAGAAAGAGGGAGGCAGAAACGTCTCAGTGGCCCCTGTGCCGATGAAGATCCGGCACAGGAATAAGCCGGTAGAGGACCTGCTAGGCGACTGGCGCGGCAGCTCCGGCTCTAGCCTTTAGGCTCTGGCTGTGCCACGTCACGCGGCGGCCGCGGCGACTCCAGCAGCGGCCCGGCCCCTCCAACGCGGACAGAATCGCGTCACCGCCGCCCCATCCCCCTGCGCTTCCGGTGCGCCCGAGCCACTGCGCTTGCGCCTGCAGGGGATTGGCCAGTTTCGCTGACGAGCATCTCTCGACGGCGCCACCGCCCGGACGTGGCCCCAGGAGCCGGGAGAGGCCGGCTGAGGCACATGCGTACTGGGAGACGGACAAAGTCCCACAATACCTCGCTTCGTCACTGCCAAATCAGACTCAGGGTGAGACGCTTCCGCCCGGATGAAGGTATTGTCGGGGTGATAGTCCTTGCTTCCGGAAAGGCGAGCTGAGCATTATGGGTTAGGTGAGGAACCTCGCCCTCTTCTATTACGGTACGCGCGATGGGTATTCCCTGATGCCATGAACTTACACGTTTCACACACGGGACCAGACGCTTGCTTTAGTTGACGCATGAAGACCGGTCCGGTCTTTTGCGGAGAAAAGTGGTTAAAAGCTGACTTGTGGGCCGAGAAACTGTGGCACCCTAATGAGCTAGGGCTAGACGCTTCGACCACCACGCCAAGTGATTCTGAAGATCTCTAATTCTGTCAAGGCGAGAGCGCTCCAACACGTGTTCATCGGCTGTTGCTTTTTAAAGAGAAGGCAAGGAGGAAGTCTTGCTTTTCTTGTACTTTTTTTCCTAGAAGCAGCATTAAAGATTTACTCCTTATGTTGAGGAAGCGGAAAGCCTCTTCACTTTAAAAGTGTTTATGATCGGGCCTGGCGCGGTGACTCACCGCGCCCGGCCTGCTACACCTTTTAAAATTCACAGCAATGATAAATGTATTAGACTCATTGCCAGGATAAAGATTTAATCTATTTTTCTAGTAGTGCCGTCCTATGTGGTTCTGTAGTTGCTTATTCCAACTGGTATATTTCCATAGGATGGGGTTGAATAAGAAAAACTTGCAAACTTTCAGAAACAGTAAGTTATTTTTATATTTTTGAAGGCTTGCTGAGTAACGCTTCTCTTGGTAGCACTACCTTATCTACCCTTCAGAGACTGTTATTTCTTAGGAGTGGCCCTGGGCAATTAAAAGCAAAAACTTCTGGCCGGGCATAGTGGCTCATGCCTGTAATCCCAGCACTTTGGGAGGCCGAGGCGGGCAGATTACGAGGTCAGGAGATCGAGACCATCCTGGCTAACACGGTGAAACCCAGTCTCTACTAAAAATAGAATAAATTAACCGGGCGTGGTGGCGGGTGCCTATACTCCCAGCTACTCCGGAGGCTGAGGCAGAAGAATGGCGTGAACCCGGGAGGCGGAGGTTGCAGTGAGCGGAGATCGCGCCCCTGCACTCCAGCCTGGGCGACAGAGCGAGACTGTCTTAAAAAAACAAACAACAACAACAAAAAAACCCCAAAAACTTCTTTACTCAGAAGTACCCTCCTTTGCATTGGAGATACATGTAAAGAGTTGCTTAGCAGTTGAATAACTCAAAATTGCATTTTGGAAGCTTGCTAAGTGACAAGACCTTCTTGTATCCTTTTGTGAACCCCCAAAATATGAGACAGGCCTCAGTTAATTTAGAAAGTTAATTTTGCCAAAGTTGAGGACACGCGTCCATGACATAGCCTCAGGAGGTCTTGTAGACATGTGCCCAAGGTGATCAGAGCACGGTTTGGTTTTATACATTCTAGGGAGAAATGAGACATCAATCAATATATGTAAGATGAACATTGGTTCATTCTGGAAAGACTGGACAACTCAAAGCAAAGGCAGGAAGACTCTGAGTGGGGAGGGAGCTTCCAGGGCATAGATAGATAAGAGACAAATGGTTGCATTCCTTTGAGTTTCTGATTAGCCTCTCCAAAGGAGGCAGTCAGATATGCGTTTATCTCAGTGAGCAGAGGGGTGACTTTTTAAAGAATGGGAGGCAGGTTGGCCCTAAGCAGTTCCCAGCTTGACTTTTCTCTTTAGCTTAGTGAGGTGGAGGCCCCAAGATTTATTTTCCTTTCACACTTTAGGCCTTATGTCTGTTTTTAGTTTTATATAGTAGAATTCCTTAAAACAATCTTCAACTAATTCTTAGGGTCTTCTTAAATTCAAAAGACAAACCGTATGAGCCCTCCTCCCTGTAACTTATTCCAAATCTTAATCCATGTTTTCTGTTTAGTTATGCAAAATAAATCGAAAGAATTCTGTTCTCCATCTCTAGCCTCCAAAACCTGAACCAAAACAAAAGTTGTCAAAACAGATTTTTCAGTAAGAATACACTACACATCAAGTGGCTAATGTAAATTACAAAACAGGATGTTAATGGCAGACTGTAATATCTCTATTGTACAGATAAAAATAATCAGGGTCAGAGAGATTAAATATTCTGCCCAAGGTCACACAGCTAAAAGCAGTGGAACAGCTATAAGAACCCATTTCTTCTGGTATTAACTGGTATTTACACTCTTTTTTTTTTTTTTTTTTTAATAAATAAGTGGATTCTGGCTATGTTGCCCAGGCCTGTCTGGAACTCCTGGGCCCAAGCAATCCTTCCACCTCAGCCTCCAAAGTGTTGGGATTACAGGTGTGAGCCAGTGCACCCAGCCATTAACACTCTTAACCACTACACTATACTACCTTCTTACATTTATTTATTTATTTATTTGAGACAGGGTCTCACTTTGTCACCCAAGCTGAAGTACAGTGGCATCATCTCGGCTTACTCAACCTCCTGGGATCAAGTGATCCTCCCACCTCAGCCCCCAAAGTAGCTGGGACTACAGGTACACCACCACATTGGCTAAGTAGTGTTATTTTTTGTAGAGACAGGGTTTTGCTATGTTGCCAAGGCTGGTCTCAAACTCCTGAGCTCAACCAATCTGTCTGCCTTGGCCTCCCAAAGTACTGGGATTATGGGCCTGAGCCACTGTTCCCGGCCAAATTCTTTTCTTTTCTCTTTTCTTTTTCTTTCTTTCCTTTCTTTTCTTTCTTTCTCTTTCTTTTCTTTCCTTCATCCTTCCCTCCCCTTCCTTTCCTTTCCCTTTTCCCCTCCCTTCCCCCTTCTGTTCCCTTTTCCCTTCCCTTTTCCCTCCTCTCCCTTCCCCTCCCCTCCCTTTTTCCTCCTGCCTCAGCCTCCCAAGTAGCTGGGACCACAGACATATTCCACCATGCCCAGCTATTTTATGTATTTTTGGTAGAGTTGGCGTTTTGTAGAGACCAGCATGTTGCCCAAGCTGGTATCCAGCTGCTGAGCTCAGGCGATCTACTCGCCTTGGCCTCCCAAAGTGTTGGTAGTAGAGGTGTGAGCCACCGTGCCCAGACCCCAAATTTATTTTTATTTTATTTTATTTTTCTAGGTCAGGCATGGTGGCTCACACCTGTAATCCCAGCATGTTGGGAGGCCAAGATGGGAGACTCACTTGAGCCCAGAAGTTCCAGACCAGCCTTGGCAATATAGTGAGATGCCATTTCTATTTTAAAAAATATTTTAAAAATAAAATATTTTTCTATTCACCTTTCATCAATACAAACCCAGAAGAGAATCTTTCTTATTTTTAAAAATGAGGAAATTGAGCCCTACAAGAAAAATTGCTATAGTTTATTGATCACTTGCTAAGCCATGTACTTCATTTAATCATCGCTTTTGAACACAGTGTTGTATAAAGTTGCCCAGGCTCAAAAGCATGTACTCATAACATACTACACTAGGTAGTATGTTTTCCTCATCTCTGGTTATTTTATTTTATTTTTTTTTGCTCTGTCACCTAGGCTGGAGTGCAGTGGGGCGATCTTGGCTCACTGTAGCCTCTGCCTCCTGGGTTCCAGCGATTCTCCTGTATCAGCCTCCGGGGTAGCTGGAATTACAGGCACATGCCACTGCGCCCGGCTAATTTTTGTATTTTTAGCAGAGAGGGGGTTTCACCATGTTGGCCAGGCTGGTCTCGAACTCCTGACCTAGGTGGTCCACCCACCTCGGCCTCCCAAAATGCTGGGATTACAGGTGTGAGCCACCGCGCCCAGCCTCTGACTATTTTTCTTAGTGAGATCTTTTTAGTCACAAATATGTATATGGAATTTACATTCCAGTCCCTTGGGTTTAATAATGTACAGACAGCAGACCCCCTGTATCTTCAGGTTTCAAACCCACAGATTCAGCCAATAGCAGATGTGGAACCTGCAGATGCAGAATGGCAACTGTAAGGGCCTTGAGCATCTGCAGATTTTGGTATCACGGGGATCCTGGAACCAATCTCCCCAAATACCCAGGTACAACTATAATTATTTTTGCTGATTGTTATGTCTCATTAGAATGCAAGCTTATTAAGGAAACCATATCTCTTCCTTTTTTCTTTCCTTCTTTTTTTTTTTTTTTTTTTTTGAGACAGTCTCGCTGTGTCACCCAGGCTGGAGTGCAGTGGCGCTATCTCAGCTCACTGCAATCTCTGCCTCCTGGGTTCAGGTGATTCTCCTGCCTCAGCTGCCCAAGTAGCTGGGACTACAGGTGCACACCACCACACCCGGCTAATTTTTTTTTTTTTTTGTATTTTTAGTAGAGATGGGGTTTCACTGTGTTGACCAGGCTGGTCTTGAATGCCTGACCTCAAGTGATCTGCCCACCTCGGCCTCCCAGAGTGCTGGGATTACAGGTGTGAGCCACCATGCATGGCCTGCCTTTGAATTTTTTAAAACATTTGAGCAGATATATTCTATAAATAGCGGTACTATTTAATAGCAATAAGTGGTTACTGAGCACTTACAATATGCCATTGTACTTAATGTGCATTATCCCATTTAATCCTCTCAACAGTTTAATCCATGCCACTCACCTTGTTCTCTGCGAGACTGATTCAATTCTGTTGTAGTCCCCTTATTCATTACATGACAGTATAATTTTTGCCATTTCCTCCTAACCTTTGTAAACTCTACTTTGATCTCATCTGACTGTAATTCACCACTGCTCTTGTTTAAAGTTCACATTCTCTAAACACTTATTTATCTGCACAGTACAAGAATATCTGTGCTTCTACAGAGAGTCTTGTCCACCCACTTTCCCTTCCAGAAGGGGATTGGTATGTGAATTCTGAGTGTTTGGATCGTTTGGCCCACCCTATTACCTCTCAACAACTCAAGCTCTCTGCCATGAAGTTAAAAACCTTCCCTTACTCTCAGTGCCCTTTATTGTCTCCTCTTTTTTTGTTTTTTGAGCCAGAGTCTCGCTCTGCTGCCCAGGCTGGAATGCAGTGGCACGATCTTGGCTCACTGCACCCTCCGTCTCCTGGGTTCAAGCGATTCTCCTGCCTCAGCCTCCCGAGTAGCTGGGACTACAGGCGTGCGCCACTACGCCTGGCTAGTTTTTGTAGTTTTAGTAGAGACGGTGTTTCACCATGTTGGCCAGGCTGGTCTCCAACTCCTGACCTCAGGTAATCCACCCGCCTCGGTCTCCCAGAGGGCTGAGATTACAGGCGTGAGCCACCACGTCCGGCCTACCATTTAGCATTTATAAAAGTTTCCCAGTTAGGCCAGGTGCAGTGGCTCATGCCTGTAATCCCAGCACTTTGGGAGGCCAAGGTGGGAGTTTGAGACCAACCTGGCCAACATGGTGAAACCCCGTCTCTACTAAAAATACAAAAATTAGCCAGGCATGGTGGCGGGCGCCTGTAATCCCAACTACTCAGCAGGCTGAGGCAGGAGAATTGCTTGAACCCGGGAGGCGGAGGTTGCAGTGAGCCAAGATCGTGCCACTGCACTCTAGCCTGGGCAACACAGCGAGACTCCGTCTCAAAAAAAAAAAGGGGTTTCAAAGTTAAAGAAATTAGGTAGCTTAAAGCTAAATATCCAAGACTATTTACCAGGTACCACTGCAACATTAATAAGGTTATTTCACAAAATCTCCCTCCCCTTGCCCAAATCTCCATCCTTCCTGACTGTACAAATATTTTCATGTTTATTTTTTATTTATTTATTTTTTTTAAGACAGAGTCTTGTTCTGTCACCAGGCTGGAGTGCAGTGGCATGACTTTGGCTCACTACAACCTCTCCCTCCCAGGTTCAAGTGATTCTTGTGCCTCAGCCTCAAGAGTAGCTGGGACTACAGGCATGAGCCACCACGCCTGGCTAATTTTTGTATTTTTAGTAGAGACAGGGTTTCACATGTTGGCTAGGCTGGTCTTGAACTCCTGGCCTCAAGTGATCTGTGCTGGGATTATAAGCATGAGCCACCATGGCCGGCCAGAAATTTTTTTTTTTTTTTTTTGAGATGAAGTTTCGCTCTTATTGCCCAGGCTGGAGTGCAATGGCGCGATCTCAGCTCACCACCACCCCCGCCTCCCAGTTTCAAGTGATTCTCCTGCCTCAGCCTCCCAGGTAGCTGGGATTACAGGCATGCACCACCCTACCCAGCTAATTTTGTATTTTTAGTAGAGATGGGTTTTCTCCATGTTGGTCAGGCTGGTCTCAAACTCCTGACCTCAGGTGATCCACCCATCTCAGCCTCCCAAAGTGCTGGGATTACAGGCGTGAGCCACTGCACCCAGCCCAGAATTTTTTTTTTTTTTTTGAGATGGAGTCTCACTCTGTTGCCCAGGCTAGAATGCAGTGGCACGACCTCAGCTTACTGCAGCCTCTGCCTCCCAAGTTCAAGCAGTTCTCTGCCTCAGCCTCCCAAGTAGCTGAGATTACAGGCGCCTGCCACCACGCCTGGCTAATTTTTGTATTTTTAGTAGAGACAGGGTTTCACCTTATTGGCCAGGCTGTTCTTGAACTCCTGACCTTGTGATCCACCCACCTTGGCCTCCCAAAGTGCTGGGATACAGGCATGAGCCACCACACCCAGCAGAAATTTTTTTTAATGTATCACAGTTACTTAAATATCTTCTAAGCTACAAAACATAGAAACGAGAGAATTAATCTACAAATTTTTTTTCTCTAAAAATTAGATTTACTGATTCATGTAATACTGTCTTCATGGTAAATGGTGGTTGATAGTGTTAACAAAATAATCACCTAATGTTAAATTCATGTATCTATATGGTTCTCAAATTTTAACAGAATTCTCAAACTTAAGCCTGAGGTTTGTTAAAACTGGAATGCTAAAAGCTGGGCATGGTGGCCCACACTTGTAGTCCCAGCTACTTAGGAGGCTCATTGGAGCCTAGGAGTTAGAGTCTAGCCTGGACAACAAAGCAAGACCTCCTCTCATGTCTTTCTTTTTCTTTCTTTTTTTTTTTTTTTTGGGGGGGGTGGGTGGGACAGAGTCTCACTCTGTTACCCAGGCTGGAATGCAGTGGTATGATCGTGGCTCACTGCAACCTCTAGCTCTTGGGCTCAAGTGATCCTCTTCCCTTAGTCTCCTGAGCAGCTTGGACTATAAGCATGTGCCCCCATGCCTGGCTAATTTTTAAAATTTTTTTAGAGATGGGGTCTTGCTTTGTTGCCTAGGCTGGTCTTGAACCCCTGGCTTCAAGCAATCCTCCCACCTCAGCCTCCCGAAGTATTGTGATTAAAGGTGTGAGCCACCATGCCAGCCAAGACTCCATCTTTTAAAACAAAATAACTAACTAAATTGCTGGGACTCTCACTTCTAGCCAAGACCAAGTAACAAAAACCAGATTTACCCACTCACCTAAAATAAAAAGAAACAAACTAGGCAGCAAATATGAAATAATGGTTTTTGAAGACACTGGATACCAGGCATCAAAGGACAATGATTCCTAAAAGAGAAGGCACAAATGCAGGGAGCTGGGAGATTGTCCCAGTTTATTGCCTTGGGAATGTGTCCAAGTTGCAGCACAGAAACGGAACAGAGTAAGCCTGGTGGAGTCTTTGAGCCGAGAGTCTAGGAAAACCAAACCTTAGGACAGAATTCCAGAGAGGAGAGAGCAGCACAGAAAGAGAGAGAGCTGCAGAAGTTTCCTTAGAATATTCAGCAGAGTAATTATTAGCACATGAATCTGAGCAAACTACCCAAAACCAAGGGGAAAATCAACAGATAAGGTTAGAGGAAACATTGTCCAGGGTTGGTTGGGAACAATGCCTGGTTCTATCAATCAGCCAGATTGAAAAAAACTCATAACCTGTGGGACAGTGGGTAGAGTACTCAAAAAGGTCTTGCCTCACTGATGAAGAATAATTAATTCTAAATTGAGTACTACTCTGGACCTACCTAAAAAATTATAAAAAACCTGAAAAGATCAAATTATTTCCCAGTCATTTAACTACATCCTAGAACAAACCGCACAAGGATTTAAAGTAAAACGAAAATACACAATATCAAACAAGGTAAAATTCTGGCATCTAATACAAAATTATTGGGCATGCAAAGAGGAAGGAATACATGACCATCATGAGAGTAATTGATCAATTGAAACCAACACAGAACTGACAGAGATGTTATTTTAAATAAGTAAAGACATGTAAGATATTTTTAAAAGACTTGAGCATCTAGAAATAAAAACAATGTCTGAGATGAAAAGTACACTAGATGGAATTAACAGTAGATTAAACTACACAGAAGAAAAGATTAATAAACTTAAACTCATAGAAATAGGAACTATTCAAAATGAAACAGAAAAGAGTCAAAAAGGAAAAATGAAGAGCATTAGTGAGCTGTGAAATAGCCTCAAGTAGCCTAATACATGGGTAACTGAAGTCCCTAAAAGAAGGGAAGAGGGACAGAAAAAAATATGTTAAGAAATAATGACCAATGACCCACATTTTCCCAAATTTGGTTAAACCACACGTATAGATGCTTTACTAAGTCCAAGCACAAGAAACATGGAGAAAATTATATCAAAGTGTATTGCTATCAAATAAGTTGAAACCAGTGATAAAGAGGAAATCTTAAAAGCAGTCAGAGAAAAAGAGACTTAGGAACCATATAGGAACAAAGATAAGGGTGACATCGTATTTCTCACTGGAAACATTGCAGACAAGAAGTGGAGTAACATCTTAAAATAGGGAAAGTAAAAAAGGTCAGCCTAGAAATCTATGTCCAGCAAAAATATCTTATAAAAAGAAGGAAAAATAAAGATGCTTTCAGACATGCAAAAGTTGAAAGAATTCCTTGACAGTAAACCTATACTACCAGAAATGTTAAAGGCAGTTTTTCAGGCAAAAGAAAAATGACACCATATGGATCTATCCAACGAAATAGCATGGGAAAAGATTAAGTATAATAGTGTATATGTAAACTTTTTAATTTAAAACTTTTTTTAAAAACAGATAACTGTTTAAACAAAAATAACATACTGTGAGATTTATAACATAAAAGCAAAATTTATGAACTATAATATAAAGACTGGAAGAAAAAAATGGAAACATTATTGTAAGGTTCCTATTCTATACACAAAGTGGTATAATATCACTGAAGGTAGACTAGTAAATTAAAGATGTATATAATAGCGGGGCAGTTCCAAGATGGCCGAATAGGAACAGCTCCAGTCTACAGCTCCCAGTGTGAGTGACACAGAAGACAGGTGAGTTCTGCATTTCCAACTGAGCTTTGAAGAGAGTAGTGGTTCTCCCAGCATGGAGTCTGAGATCTGAGAACGGACAGACTGCCTACTCAAGTGGGTCCCTGACCCCCGAGTAGCCTAACTCGGAGGCATCCCCCAGTAGGGGCAGACTGACACCCCACACAGCCGGGTACCCCTCTGAGACGAAGCTTCCAGAGGAACAATCAGGCAGCAACATTTGCTGTTTAGCAATATTCATGGTTCTGCAGCCTCCGCTGCTGATACCTAGGCAAACAGGGTCTGGAGTGGACCTCCAGCAAACTCCAACAGACCTGCAGCTGAGGGTCCTGACTGTTAGAAGGAAAACTAACAAACAGGACATTTGCACCAAAACCCCACCTGTACATCACCATCATCAAAGACCAAAGGTAGATAAAACCACAAAGATGGGGAAAAACACAGCAGAAAAGCTGAAAATTCTAAAAATCAGAGCGCGTCTCCCCCTCCGAAGGAACGCAGCTCCTCACCAGCAACAGAACAAAGCTGGATGGAGAATGACTTTGATGAGTTGGGAGAAGAAGGCTTCAGACGATCAAACTTCTCCAAGCTAAAGGAGGAAGTTCAAACCCACGCAAAGAAGTAAAAAACCTTGAAAAAAGATTAGATGAATGGCTAACTAGAATAACCAGTGTAGAGAAGTCCTTAAGTGACCTGATGGAGCTGAAAACCACAGCACAAGAACTATGTGACGAATGCACAAGCTTCAGTAGCCGATTCGATCAACTGGAAGAAAGGGTATCAGTAATGGAAGATCACATGAATGAAATGAATCAAGAAGTTTAGAGAAAAGAGTAAAAATAAATGACAAAGCCTCGAAGAAATATGGGACTATGTGAAAAGACCAAATCTACGTCTGATTGGTGTACCTGAAAGTGATGGGGAGAATGGAATGGAGCCACGTTGGAAAACACTCTAAAGGATATTATCCAGGAGAACTTCCCCAACCTAGCAAGGCAGGCCAACATTCAAATTCAGGAAATACACAGAACGCCACAAAGATACTCCTCAAGAAGAGCAACTCCAAGACACATAATTGTCAGATTCACCAAAGTTGAAATGAAGGAAAAAATATTAAGGGCAGCCAGAGAGAAAGGTCGGGTTACTCACAAAGGGAAGCCCATCAGACTAACAGCTGAGCTCTCGGCAGAAACTCTACAAGCCAGAAGAGAGTGGGGGCCAATATTCAACATTCTCAAAGAAAAGAATTTTCAACCCAGAATTTCATATGCAGCCAAACTAAGCTTCATAAGCAAAGGAGAAATAAAATCCTTTACAGACAAGCAAATGCTGAGAGATTTTGTCACCACCAGGCCTGCCCTACAAGAGCTCCTGAAGGAAGCACTAAACATGGAAAGGAACAAGCAGTACCAGCCACTGCAAAAACATGCCAAATTGTAAAGACCATTGATGCTAGGAAGAAACTGCATCAAGTAATGAGCAAAATAACCAGCTAACATCATAATGACAGGATCAAATTCACACATAACAATATTAACCTTAAATGTAAATGGGCTAAATGCTCCAATTAAAAGACACAGACTGGCAAGTTGGATAAAGAGTCAAGACCCATCAGTGTGCTGTATTCAGGAGACCCATCTCATGTGCAGAGACACACATAGGCTCAAAATAAAGGCATGGAGGAAGATCTGCCAAGCAAATGGAAAACAAAAAAAGGCAGGGGTTGCAATCCTAGTCTCTGATAAAACAGACTTTAAACCAACAAAGATCAAAAGAGACAAAGAAGGCCATTACATAATGGTAAAGGGATCAATTCAACAAGAAGAGCTAACTATCCTAAATATATATGCACCCAATACAGGAGCACCCAGATTCATAAAGCAAGTCCTTAGAGACCTAGAAAGAGACTTAGACTCCCACATAATAATAACGGGAGCCTTTAACACCCCACTGTCAACATTAGACAGATCAATGAGACAGGAAGTTAACAAGGATATCCAGGAATTGAACTCAGCTCTGCACCAAGTGGACCTAATAGACATCTACAGAACTGTCCACCCCAAATTAACAAAATATACATTCTTCTCAGCACATCACACTTATTCCAAAATTGATCACATAGTTGGAAGTAAAGCACTCCTCAGCAAATGTAAAAGAACAGAAATTATAACAAACTGTCTGTCAGACAACAGTGCAATCAAACTAGAACGCAGGATTAAGAAACTCACTCAAAACCGCTCAACTACATGGAAACTGAACAACCTGCTCCTGAATGACTACTGGGTACATAGCAAAATGAAGGCAGAAATAAAGATGTTCTTTGAAACCAATGAGAACAAAGACACAACATACCAGAATCTCTGGGACACATTTAAAGCAGTGTGTAGAGGGAAATTTGTAGCACTAAATGCCCACAAGAGAAAGCAGGAAAGGTCTAAAATTGACACCCTAACATCACAATTGACAGAACTAGAGAAGCAAGAGCAAACACATTGAAAAGCTAACAGAAGGCAAGAAATAACTAAGATCAGAGCAGAACTGAAGGAGATACAGACACAAAAAAATCCTTCAAAAAAATCAATGAATCCAGGAGCTGTTTTTTTGAAAAGATCAACAAAATTGATAGACTGCAAGCAAGACTAATAAGAAGAGAGAGAAGAATCAAATAGACGCAATAAAAAATGATAAGGGGGATATCACCACCAATCCCACAGAAATACAAACTACCATCAGAGAATACTATAAACACCTTTATGAAAATAAACTAGAAAATCTAGAAGAAATGGATACATTCCTGGACACATACACCCTCCCAAGACTAAACCAGGAAGAAGTCGAATCCCTGAATAGACCAATAACAGGCTCTGAAATTGAGGCAATAATTAATAGCCTACCAACCAAAAAAAGTCCAGGACCAGAGAGATTCACAGCCGAATTCTACCAGAGGTACAGGGAGGAGCTGGTACCATTCCTTCTGAAACTATTCCAATCAACAGAAAAAGAGGGAATCCTCCATAACTCATTTTATGAGGCCAGCATCATCCTGATACCAAAGGCTGGCAGAGACACAACAAAAAAAGAGAATTTTAGACCAATATCCCTGATAAACATCAATGCAAAAATTCTCAATAAAATACTGGCAAACCAAATCCAGCAGCACACCAAAAAGCTTATCCATCATAATCAAGTAGGCTTCATCCCTGGGATGCAAGGCTGGTTCAACATACGCAAATCAGTAAACGTAATCCAGCATATAAACAGAACCAAAGAGAAAAACCACATGATTATCTCAATAGATGCAGAAAAGGCCTTTAACAAAATTCAACAACGCTTCATGCTAAAAACTCTTAATAAATTAGGTATTGATGGGACGTATCTCAAAATAATCAGAGCTATTTATGACAAACCCACAGCCAATATCATCCTGAATGGGCAAAAACTGGAAGCATTCCCTTTGAAAACTGGCACAAGACGGGGATGCCCTCTCTCACCGCTCCTATTCAACATAGTGTTGGAAGTTCTGGCCAGGGCAATCAGGCAGGAGAAATAAATAAAGGGTATTCAATTAGGAAAAGAGGAAGTCAAATTGTCCCTGTTTGCAGATGACATGACTGTATATTTAGAAAACCCCATCATCTCCGCCCAAAATCTCCTTAACCTGATAGGCAACTTCAGCAAAGTCTCAGGATACAAAATCAATATGCAAAAATCACAAACATTCTTATACACCAATAACAGACAAACAGAGAGCCAAATCATGAGTGAACTCCCATTCACAATTGCTTCAAAGAGAATAAAATACCTAGGAATCCAACTTACAAGGGATGTGAGGGACCTCTTCAAAGAGAACTACAAACCACTGCTCGAGGAAATAAAGGAGGACACAAACAAATGGAAGAACATTCCATGCTTATGGATAGGAAGAATCAATATCGTGAAAATGGCCATACTGCCCAAGGTAATTTATAGATTCAATGCCATCCCCATCAAGCTACCAATGACTTTCTTCACAGAACTGGAAAAAACTACCTTAAAGTTCATATGGAACCCAAAAAGAGCCCGCATTGCCAAGACAATCCTAAGCCAAAAGAACAAAGCTGGAGGCATCACGCTACATGACTTCAAACTATATTACAAGGCTACAGTAACCAAAACAGCATGGTACTGGTACCAAAACAGAGATATAGACCAATGGAACAGAACAGAGCCCTCAGAAATAATACACATCTACAACCATCTGATCTTTGACAAACCTGACAAAAACAAGAAATGGAGAAAGGATTCCCTATTTAATAAATGGTGCTGGGAAAACTGGCTAGCCATACGTAGAAAGCTGAAACTGGATCCCTTCCTTACACCTTATACAAAAATTAAGTCAAGATGGATTAAAGATTTAAATGTTAGACCTAAAACCATAAAAACCCTAGAAGAAAACCTAGGCAATACCATTCAGGACATAGGCATGGGCAAGGACTTCATGTCTAAAACACCAAAAGCAATGGCAACAAAAGCCAAAATTGACAAATGGGATCTAATTAAACTAAAGAGCTTCTGCACAGCAAAAGAAACTACCATCTGAGTGAACAGGCAACCTACAGAATGGGAGAAAATTTTTGCAATCTACTCATCTGACAAAGGGCTAATATCTAGAATCTACAAAGAACTTAAACAAACTTAACAGGAAAAAAACAAACAACCCCATCAAAAAGTGGGAGAAGGATATGAACAGACACTTCTCAAAAGAAGACATTTATGCAGACAACAGACACATGAAAAAATGCTCATCATCACTGGCCATCAAAGAAATGCAAATCAAAACCACAATGAGATACCATCTCACACCAGTTAGAATGGCAATCATTAAAACGTCAGGAAACAACAGGTGCTAGAGAGGATGTGGAGAAATAGGAACACTTTTACACTGTTGGTGGGACTGTAAACTAGTTCAACCATTGTGGAAGATAGTGTGGCGCTTTGTCAAGGATCTAAAACTAGAAATACCATTTGACCCAGCCATCCCATTACTGGGTATATACCCAAAGGATTATAAATCATGCTGCTATAAAGATGTTATAGCATGCCCACGTATGTTTATCGCGGCACTATTCACAATAGCAAAGACTTGGAACCAACCCAAATGTCCATCAATGAGAGACTGGATTAAGAAAATGTGGCACATATACACCATGGAATACTATGCAGCCATAAAAAAGGGTGAGTTCACGTCCTTTATAGGGGCATGGATGAAGCTGGAAACCATCATTCTCAGCAAACTATCACAAGGACAAAAAACCAAACATCGTATGTTCTCACTCATAGGTGGGAATTGAACAATGAGAACATTTGGACACAGGAAGGGGAACATCACACACCAGGGCCTGTTGTGGGGTGGGGGGAGGGGGGAGGGATAGCATTAGGAGATATACCTAATGTAAATGACAAGTTAATTGGTGCAGCACACCAACATGGCACATGTATACATATGTAACCAACCTGCACATTGTACACATGTACCCTAGAACTTAAAGTATAATAATAAAAAAAGATGTATATACCTTAAAGTAACCACTAAAATAATAAAAGAACATATACTTAATAATCACTCAAAAGAGATAAAGTGAAACCATTAAAAATATTCCATTATGGTGGCTCATGCCTGTAATCCCAACACTTTTGGAGGCCGAGGCGGGCGGATCACAAAGCCAGGAGATTGAGACCATCCTGACCAACATGGTGAAACCCCGTGTCTACTAAAAATACAAAAATTAGTTGGGTGTGGTGGTGCACGCCTGTAGTCCCAGTTACTCAGGAGGCTGAGGCAAGAGAATCACTTGAACCGGGGAAGTGGAGGTTGCAGTGAGCTGATATTATGCCACTGCACTTCAGCCTGGTGACAGAGTGAGAGTCCACCTCAAAAAAAAAAAAAAAAATTCTATTAATTTGAAAGAACCCAGGAAAAAAAGGAAAGAGAACAAAGACCAGATAAGACAAACAGAAAACAAATAGCAAGATAATAGACTGTATCCTAACTCTATAATTACGTTAATGAAATGAAATAAACATACCAATTAAAAAGGCAAACATTGAGTAAAAAAGCAAGAATGAACTATACGCTACATACAAAAACCTTTTTCTTTTTTTGGTGACGGAGTCTCGCTCTGTTACCCAGGCTGGAGTCCAGTGGCATGATCTCGGCTCACTGCAGCCTCCACCTCCCGGGTTCAAGCGATTTTCCTGCCTCAGCCTCCCAAGTAGCTGGGACTACAGGCGCCTGCGACCGCGTCTGGCTAATTTTTTGTATTTTAGTAGAGATGGGGTTTCACCATGTTACCCAGGCTGGTCTCAAACTCCTGAGCTCAGGCAATTTGCCTGCCTCGGCCTCCCAAAGTGCTAGGATTACAGGCGTGAGCCACTGCCTGGCCATAAAAAAAAAAAAACAACTTTTTTTTTTTTTTTTGAGACAATCTTACTCTGTCACCCAGGCTAGAGTGCAGTGGCACGATCTCGGCTCACTGCAACCTCTGCTGCCCGGGTTCAGGTGATTCTCCTGCCTCAGCCTCCCAAGTAGCTGCGATTACAAGCGCCTGCCACCGCACCTGGGTAATTTTTGTATTTTTCGTAGAGACAGGGTTTCACCATCTTGGTCAGGCTGGTCTGGAACTCCTGACCTTGTGATCTGTCCACCTCAGCCTCCCAAAGTGCTGGGATTACAGGTGTGAGCCACCATGCCTGGACTAAAAAACTTAAAATATAAAGACATAGGCTGGGCACCTGTGGCTCACGCCTGTAATCCCAGCACTTTTGGAGGCCGAGGAGGGCGGATCACGAGGTCAGGAGATTGAGACCATCCTGGCTAACACGGTGAAACCCCGTCTCTACTAAAAATACAAAAAAATTAGCCGGGCATGGTGGCAGGCACCTGTAGTCCCAGCTACTTGGGAGGCTGAGGCAGGAGAATGGCGTGAACCTGGGAGGTGGAGCTTGCAGTGAGCCGAGGTCACACCACTGCACTCCAGCCTGGATGACAGAGCGAGACTCCATCTCAAAAAAAAAAAAAAAAAAAAAAAGAAATATGAAGACACAAATAGGTTAAGAGTGTAAGTATGGAAAAGATATACCCTGCTAACTAACACTAGTCAAAAGAAAGCCAGGATAATTCTACTAATATCAGATAAAGTAGATTTTAGAATAAAGAATACATGAATCCACAATTATTATAGTCAAGAGATTTCAATAGCCCTCTCTTATATATACAACAAACAGGCAGAAAATCTGACATGAACAATACTATCAGCCAACTTGACCTAACTGACATTTATAAAACACTCCACCCAACAACAGCAAAATACACATTTTTGTTCTCAAGTGTGTACCCAGAACATTTACCAAGATAAACTATATTCTGGGCCATAAAACAAATCTTAAATCGGAAAGGATTCAAGTCATACAAAGTATGTTCACAGACCACACTGAAATTAAATTAGAAGTCAATAACAAAAAGATATTTGGAAAATCTGCTGCTTTAGTTTGTGTTTTTAGAAAAAAAATTTTGAAGGGGATATCTCCAAGTATTTGGAAAGTAACACTCTTCTAAATAACTCCTGGATCAAGAAGTCATTATATAAAAAAGACACCTGCCGGACACGGTGGCTCACGCCTGTAATCCGTTTTTTTTTTTTTGTTTTTTGTTTTTTTTTTTTTTTTTTGAGAGGAGTCTTGCTCTGTTGCCCAGACTGGAGTGCAGTGGCGCGATCTCGGCTCACTGCAAGCTCCACCTCCTGGGTTCACGCCATTCTCCCGCCTCAGCCTCCCGAGTAGCTGAGACTTACAGGCGCCTGCCAACACGCCCGGCTAAATTTTTTGGTATTTTTTAGCAGAGGGAGGCCGAGGCGGGTGTAATCATTTTTTTCTAAAAACACAAAGGTCAGGAGTTCAAGACCAGCCTGACCAAGATGATGAAAACCCGTCTCTACGAAAAATACAAAAATTAGTCGGGCGTGGTGGCAGGCGCTTGTAATACCAGCTACTTGGGAGGCTGAGGCAGGAGAATCGCTTGAATCCGGGCGGCAGATGTTGGAGTGAGCCGAGATCGTGCCACTGCATTCTAGCCTGGGTAACAAAGTGGGACTGTGTCTCAAAAAAAAAAAAAGTTTTTTTTATGGCTGGGCAGTGGCTCCGCCTGTAATCCTGGGACCACAGGCACCCGCCACTGCACCTGGCTAATTTTTTGTATTTTAGTAGAGACGGGGTTTCACCGTGTTGTCCAGGCTGGTCTCAAACTCCTGAGCTCAGACAGCTCGCCCCCCTCGGCCTCCCAAAGTGCTAGGAAAAAGAACTGGAAGCCCTTATCTTAAATGAAATAACTCAAACAGAAAGTTAATACTAATGAGCTCACTTATAAGTAGGAGCTGAACAATATGTACACATGGAAAAAGAAATTATAAGGTATTTTGAATTGAATGAAAATAAATATAGAATATACTATAATTTGTGCGATGACACTAAACCAGTACTTAGGGGGAAGTTTATAGCACTAAAAGCTTATATTAGAAAAGAAGATGGTCTCATGTCAACAACTTCAACTTCTACCTTGAGTAACTAAAAAAAGAGAGAGAAAATTAAAACCAAAGTAAACAAAAGAAAGACTAAAGCAGAAGTCTGTGAAATTGAAAGAAAAATATAGGCCAGGCGTGAGCCAGCACCTTGGGAGGCCGAGGCGGGTGGATCATTTGAGGTCAGGAGTTTGAGACCAGCCTGGCCAACATGGTGAAACCTCGTCTCTACTAAAAACTTAAAGGTTAGCTGGGCATGGTGGTGTGCTCCTGTAATCCTGGCAACCCAGGAGGCTGAGGCAGGAGAATTGCTTGAACCCAGGAGACGGA
The DNA here is from genome assembly GCF_000001405.40 of Homo sapiens. Classification (NCBI taxonomy): domain Eukaryota; kingdom Metazoa; phylum Chordata; class Mammalia; order Primates; family Hominidae; genus Homo; species Homo sapiens. The sequence goes on from NC_000003.12 coordinate 57,615,739, forward strand.
GGTTGCAGTGACCCAAGATCATGCTACTGTACCCCAGTCTGGATGCCAGAGCGAGACTCTATCTCAAGAAAAAAAAAATACAGAAAATCAATAAATACAATAAATATAACCAAAACGTGGTTATTTGAGATCAGTAAAATGGATAAGCCTCTAATATCAGGAATGAGAGGTTACATCACTACAGGGTCTCCAGATATTAAAAGGATAATGAGGGAATAATTTCATGTCCATAAATTTGACAACTTAGATGAAATGGACAAATTTCTTGAAAGACAAACTGCCAAAGCTCACTTTAAATAAACAGGCCAGGCGTGCTGCTCATGCCTGTAATCCTAGCACTTTGAGAAGCCAAGGCAAGAGGATCACTTGAGCCCAGTAGTTGGAGAGCAGCCTGGGCAACATGGCAAAACCTCATCTCTACAAAAAATGCAAAAAATTAGCCAGGTATGGTGGTGTACAGCTGTACTCCCAGCTACTCAGGAGGCTGATGTGGCAGAATCACTTGAGCCCAGCAGAGAGAGGCTGCAGTGAGACATGATTGCACCACTGTAGTAGCCTGGGCTACAAAGTGACACCTTGTCTCAAAGAAAAAAGAAGAAGGAAGAAGAAGAAAAGGAGGAGGAGGAGGAGGAGGCAGGGGGGAGGAGGAGAAGGAGAAGAAGAAGAGGCGGAAGAGGCGGAGGGAGGAGCAGGAGGAAGAGAAGGAAGATGAAGAGTAGGAGGAGGAGAAAGAAGGAAGAAGAAAGAAGGAGGAAGAGGAGGAGGAAGAGGAAGAGGAGAAGGAGAAGAAACAGACTACCTTAATAGCCTTGTATCTATTTTAAAAGTTAAAAATGTAGTTAAACACCATCCCATAGAAAATTCTACGTCCAAATAGCTTAACTGCTAAATTCTACCAGACTTTTAAGGAAGACATAATACCAATTTGACACAAACTTCCAACTCATTCTGTGAAGCCTGATACCAAAAGCAGACAAAGACATTACCAAAAAAATGACAAACCAGCTGGGTGTGGTGGCTCATGCCTGTAATCCTAGCACTTTCGGAGGCCAAGGCAGGTGGATTGCCTGAGCTCAGGAGTTCAAGACCAGCCTGGGCAACACGGTGAAACTCCATCTCTACTAAAATACAAAAAATTAGCTAGGCATGGTGGTGCATGCCTGTAGTCCCAGCTACTCAAGAGGCTAAGGCAGGAGAATTGCTTGAACCCGGGAAGCGGAGGTTGCAGTGAGTCAAGATCACATCACTGCACTCCAGCCTGGGTGACAGAGCGAGACTCCATCTCAAAACAAAACAAAACAAGAAAATGACAAACCAGTATGTCTCATGAACATAGATGTAAAAATTCAAAAAAAATTTAGCAAAGATCATAAAAAATATTCTAGGCCAGGCACAGTGACTCATGTCTGCGATCCTTGCTCTTTGGGAGGCTGAAGCGGGAGGATCATTTGAGCTCAGGAGTTCGAGACCAGCCTGGGCAACACAGTGAGACCTCATCTCTACCAAAAATTTAAAAATTAGCCAGGTGTAGTGACACAAGCCTGTAGTCCCAGTTACTTACAGGCTGAGGCTAGAGGATTGCTTAAGCCCGGGAGGTCAAGGATGCAGTGAGCTATGATCAAGCCACTGCACTCCAGCCTGGGTGACAAAGCAAGATCCTGTCTAATAAAAAGTAGTAAAAATAGAACTATCATTTGACCTAGCAATCCCATTACAGGGTATATACCCAAAGGAAAATAAATCATTCTACCAAAAAAATACCTGCACTCATGTGTTTATTGCAGCACTATTCACAATAGCAAAGACATGGAATCCACCCAGGTGCCCATCAAGAGTGGATAGGGCCAGGCTCGGTGGCTCACACCTGTAATTCCAGCACTTTGGGAGGCCGAGGTGGGAGGATCACTTGGGCCCAAGAGTTTGAGGCCAGCCTGGGCAACACTGTGAAAGCTCATCTCTACAAAGAAATTTTTTTTAAATTAGCCAAGTGTAGTGGCACACACCTGTGGTCCCAGCTACCAGGAAGGCTGAGGTCGGGGGACCCCTTGAGCCTGGGAGGTCAAGGCTGCAGTGAGCTGAGATATTGTGCCACCACACTCTAGCCTGGGCAACAGAGTGAGTGAGACTCTGCCTTAAAAAAAAAAAACAAAAAAACCATAGTGGATTGGATAAAGAAAATGTGGTACATATACACCAAGGAATACTATATACCCATAAAAAAGAACAAAATCGAGTCCTTCGCAACAAAGTGGATGCAGCTGGAGGCCATTATCCTTAGCAAATTAATGCAGAAACAGAAAACCAAATACTGCAAGTTCTAACCTATAAGTGGGAACTAAACACTGGGTACACACAGACACAAAGATGGGAACAATAAACACTGGAGATTCCAAAAGTGAGGAGGAAGGGAGGGAGGCAACAGTTGAAAAAATACTTATAAGGTACTATGTCCACTACTTCAGCGATGGGATCCTTAGAAGCCCAAATCTCAGCATCACACAATATATCCATGTAACAAACTTGCACATATCCTCTCTGAATCTTAAAGAAATTCTATTGATTTGATAAATGAGGTTAATAACAGGTTTAACATAAATCAATCATATTTACAAATTTAAAAGGCTATACAGTCATCTCAATAGATGCAGATACAAATGCATTTGTTTTATGGTAGATCTTTTTTGTTTGTTTGTTTGTTTTTTGAGACAGGGTCTCACTCTGTTGCCCAGGCTTGAGTGCATGGTACGGTGATGGCTCACTGCAGCCTCAACCTCCCAGGCTCAATCAATCCTCCCATCTCAGTCTCCCAAGTAGCTGGGACTACAGGCATGAACCACCATGATCTGCTTAATTTTAGTTTGCTTTTGTGTTTTTTTTTTTTTTTTTTTTGAGATGGAGTTTCGCTCGTTGCCCAGGCTGGAGTGCAATGGCGCGATCTCAGCTCACTGCAACCTCCTCCTCCTGGGTTCAAGCGATTCTCCTGCCTCAGCCTCCTGAGTAGCTGGGATTACAGGCGTGCACCACCACATCTGGCTAATTTTGTATTTTTAGTAGAGACAGGGTTTCACCATGTTGCCCAGGCTAGTCTCAAACTCCTGGGCTCAAGTGATCTGCTTGCCTCAGCCTCCCAAAGTGCTGGGATTACAGGTGTAAGCCACTCCACCTGGCCAACAAATGTGTTTGTCAATATATTTGTTAAATGTATATTAATATACACACTTGTTAAATACATTTAACGAATTAAATAATTTGATAAATACATTTAACAAATTAAATACATTTGTCAAATACTTTATATGTAGCCCATTATTGATAAAAACTCTCAGGCAGGCCGGGTGCAGTGGCTCACGCCTGTAATCCCAGCACTTTGAGAGGCCAAGGTGGGCGGATCATGAGGTCAAGAGATTGAGACCATCTGGCTAACACGGTGAAACCCCGTCTTTACTAAAAATACAAAAAATTAGCCGGGTGTGGTGGCGGGTGCCTGTAGTCCCAGCTACTCGGGAGGCTGAGGCAGGAGAATGGTGTGAACCCAGGAGGCGGAGGTTGCAGTGAGCCGAGATCGTGCCACTGCACTCCAGCCTGGGTGACAGAGCAAGACTCCATCTCAAAAACAAAACAAAACAAAACAAAACAACAACAAAAAAACACCTCTCAGGCAAACTAGAAACAGAAAGGGACTTCATCAACTTGATAAAGAATATCTACATGTTGTATGAAAGGAGAGAAGGTTAGCACTTCCCTTGGCAAGGTTGGAAGAGGCCCTCAGGCCTGACAACATGCATATGGTTAAGGCATTGCCACCTACTTCGTGGCATCTAACCATCGTTACTTTTGCTGGGTGCGGTGGCTCACGCCTGTAATCCCAGCACTTTGGAAGCCAAGGTAGGTGGATCATGAGGTCAGGAGATGGAGACCATCCTAGCAAACATGGTGAAACTCCGTCTCTACTAAAATACAAAAATTAGCTGGGCGTGGTGGTGGGCCTGTAGTCCTAGCTACTCAGGAGGCTGAGGCAGGACAGTTGCTTAAACCCGGGAGGCAGAGGTTGCAGTGAGCCAAGATCACACCACTGCACTCCAGCCCGGGCAACAGAGCAAGACTCTGTCTCAAAAAATAAATAAATAAATCAAATAAAAAATAAAAAAAAGAACATCTATAAAAAACCTACAGCTAGTATCATAATTAGTGATGAAAAATTGAGGCCGGGCATGGTGGCTCACGCCTGTAATCCCAGCACTTTGGGAGGCTGAGGCAGATGGATCACGAGGTCAGGAGTTTGAGACCAGCCTGGCCAAGATGGTAAAACCCCATTTCAACTGAAAATACAAAAATTAGCTGGGCGCAGTGGCGGGCGCCTGTAATCCCAGCTACTCGGGAGGCTGAGGCAGGAGAATCACTTGAACCTGGGAGATGGAGGTTGCAGTGAGCTGAGATCGTGCCACTGCACTCCAGCCTGGGTGACAGAGCAGGACTCCATCTCAAGAAAACAGAAAGAAAAATTTAATGCTTTTAAGATCAGAAACAAAGAGCCGGACAAAGTGGTACATGTCTGTAATCCCAACTACTCAGGAGGCTGAGGCAGGAGGATCATTTGAGCCCAGGAGTTTGAGAGCACCCTCAGCAACATGGCAGAATCCCCTCTCCAAAAAAAAAAAGGTTTTAAAAAAGAAAATTTTTTAAAAAATGAGTATGTCTGCTCTTACCAATGCTATTCAACATTGCATTGGGGATTCTAGCCAGCGCAATCAAAGAAAAATAAATAAAGGTCATCCAGATTGGAAAGAAGAAGTAAAACAGTCTTTATTCACAGATGGCATAGTCTTCTATGTAAAAAATCTGATGGAGTCTTCAAAAAAGGCTACTAGAATAAATGAGTATAGCAAGATTGTAGGATACAAGATCAATATATAAAAACTATATGGACCGTACTACTATTTTGAACTAAATTTTTGAAAAATTGTAAATTTAAATTTTAAAAAAATATCATTTGCAACATCAAAAATATGATACGCTTAGAGATAAATCTGACAGAAGATATGAAAGACATGTTGATAATTACAAAACATTGCTGAGAGAAAGAAAACATACATAAATGGAAAACAAACATACATATACTTTGTTCATGGTTCAGAAGACTTGAAATTATTCAGTTCTCCCTCAAATTTATCTATAAATTCAATGCAATCCCACTCAAAATCCCAGCAGGAATTTGTGTAGAAATTCGTAAGCTGATTTTAGAATTTGTATGGAAATGTAAAGTAATTAAGTAAGCAAAACAGCCTTTAAAAAGGACACAAACTGGAGGGCTAACACCACTCAGTTTCAACAATAAAGCTACAGTAATCAAGCAATGTGGTACTGGCATAAAGATAGACATATACACCATTGGCACAGAATAGGAAGTGTAAAAATAAACCCACATATATATATGGACAACTGAATTCTGACAAAGGTACAACAAAGCCAATGCAACTGATTTTTGGAAATAATAATAATAACCTTTCAACAAATGGTGCTGGGACAATTGGATATTCATATGCAAAAAACAAAAAATCCTTAAATCCATACTTCACATACACATTAAAACTAATTCCAAATAGTTATAAACCTAAATGCAAAACCTAGAACTGTAAAACTGCTAGAAGAGGCTGAGCGCGTTGGCTAACGCCTGTAATCCCAGCACTTTGAGAGGCTGAGGCAGATGGATCACTTGAGGTCAGGAGTTGGAGACCAGCCTGGCCAATATGGTGAAACCCCATCTCTTCTAAAAATACAAAAATTAGCCAGGCGTGGTGGTGCACGCCTGTAATCCCAGCTACTGGGGAGGTTGAGGCAGGAGAATTGCTTGAACCCGGTTGCAGTGAGCTGAGATTGCACCATTGCACTCCAGCCTGGGTGACAGAGCAAGAGTCTGTCTCAAAAATAAAATAAAATAAAAATAATAGAAGAAAACATAGGTCTTTGTGACCTTGGGTAAGAACACAACACTTAAAAGAACAAATTCATAAGTAGAACTAAATCAAAATTAAAAACTGCTTTTCAAAAGACACTTTAAAAAATGAAAAAAAAAAAGTCATAAACTAGGGGTGGGGGGATCTTTGCAATGCATGTATCTGAAAAAGAACTAGTATCAAGAACATATGGAGAGCTCTGGCTGGGCTCAGTGGCTCACGCCTGTAATCCCAGCACTTTGGGAGCCCAAGGTGGGTGGATCGCTTAAGGTCAAGAGTCCAAGAGCAGCCTGGCCAACATGGCGAAACCCCATCTCTACTAAAAATACAAAAATTAGCCAGGCATGCTGGCGGGTGTCTGTAATCCTAGCTACTCGGGAGGCTGAGGCAGGAGAATCACTTGAACCCGGGAGGTGGAGGTTGCGGTGAGCCAAGATAGTGCCACTGTATTCCAGCCTGCGCAACAGAGTGAGACTCTGTCTCAAAAACCAAATCAAACCAAAACCAAAACAAACAAAAAGAACATTATAGAGAACTCTCAAGGCACAACCATAGGAAGTTACATAATAAGCAAAAGGTTTGAGCACTTTACCAAGAAGATACAGAGAAGGCTAATAAGCACATGAAAAGATGCTCAGCATCAAAGGTCATTAGCAAAATGTAAATTAAAATCTCAATAAAGTACCAATACAGTACCTATTAGAATGGCTGACATTAAAAAGGCTGACCATACAAAATGTTAGTTGGGACATGGAACAGCTGGAACTTTCATACAATACTTATAGAAAACAAAATAGTACAACCACTTTGGAACAGTTTGGCAATCTCTTAAAAAGTTAAACATTCACCCACCATATGACCCAGACATCCCCCTCATACCACTCCTAGGTATTTACCCAAGAAAAAAGGAAATATATATCCATCCAAGGACTAGTACATGAGTGTTCACAGCAGCTTTATCTGTAATAGCCAAAAACTAGAAACAATCCAAATGTCTATCAACAGGTAAGTGGGTAAAAAATGTGTTATACCCATATAACAAAATACTACTTACCAATAAAAAGAAATGATCTGCTGATACAGGCAACAACCTGAATGAATCTCAAAATCATAATGCTGAGTCAAAGAAGTCAGACTCCCATCCCCCAAAAAACAGAAAGAGTATATACTGTATGATTCCACTTACATAAAACTCTAGAAAATACAAACTATAGTGACGGAAAACATCTATACTGGTTGTTTGGGGGAGACAGGAGTGCAAATGGGCATAAGGAAATTTTGGGGGTGATGAATATGTTCACTATCTTGGCTGTGATGATGGTTTTATGGGTGTATTCAAATGTGAAAACTTATCAAATTATACACTTTAAATATGTTCAGCTTATTGTATGTCTATTGTACCTCAATAAAGCTGTTTTTAAAAAGTATGATTTGTAGCTGGGAAAGGTGGCTCACACCTGTAATCCCAGCACTTTGGGAGGTGGAGGCGGGAGGACTGCTTGAGTCCAAGGAGTTTCAGACCAGCCTGGGCAACACCGTGAGAACTCATCTCTACAAAACAACAACAAACAAACAAACAAACAAAAAACTGATTTGTTGAGTTCTACCACCAGAGCCTTTGATTATAAAAATATTTACCCATTTCACTAAATGAATGCAATCATTTCAAGTTTCCTACTGAAGTATAAAAATTCATTCACTTACGGCTGGGCGTGGTGGCTCACATCTGTAATCCCAGCACTTTGGGAGGCTGAGGCGGGTGGATCACCTAAGGTCAGGAGTTTGAGACCAACCTGACCAACATGGTGAAACCCCATCTCGACTAAAAGTACAAAAATTAGCTGGGTATGGTGGCGCACGCCTGTAATCCCAGCTACTGGGGAGGCTGAGGCAGGAGAATAGCTTGAACCTGGGAGGTGGAGGTTGCAGTGAGCTGAGATGGCGCCATTGCACTTCAGCCTGGGTGACAGAGCAAGACTCCCTCTCAAAAAAATAAAATCACTCACTTAATAAGAAGTATAACTCTGGAATATAAAGTTACTATTTTCCAAAAATATTTCAGTAAATGTAGAAGCAATTTATACCATAATGTATTCAGACTGGCTGACATGGAAAGGGACAGGCAAAAACATGTAGGATCCATGAAGTCCGGCTTTCTAACAGTTAACACAGAAATAGTATAATGATGACAAGAATGGGGAGGCAAAATAAACAGAACAACACAAGTCTAGTGGTGAAGCTAGTAAAATGGAATGAGGCATGATTATCAAACAACAAAATCTTTTAAAATTTTTTAAAAATATTTTTTCTTTTATAGACAGGGTCTCACTCTGCTGCTCAGGCTGAGTGAAGTGGCATGATCACAGCTCACTGCAGCCTCGAACTCCTGGGCATGCACTATCCTCCCACCTTAGCCTCCCAAGTAGCTGGGACCACAGGCATGTACCACCATGTCTGACTACTTTTTTTTTTTTTTGAGGCGGAGTCTCGCTCTGTCGCCCAGGCTGGAGTGCAGTGGGGCGATCTCGGCTCACTGCAAGCTCCGCCTCCCAGGTTCACACCATTCTCCTGCCTCAGCCTCCCCAGTAGCTACGAATACAGGCGCCCGCCACCACGCCTGGCTAATTTTTTGTATTTTTAGTAGAGACAGGGTTTCACTGTGTTAGCCAGGATGGTCTCGATCTCCTGACCTTGTGATCCACCCATCTCAGCCTCCCAAAGTGCTGGGATTACAGGCGTGAGCCCATGCCCGGCCATCTGACTACTTTTAAAAAACTTTTTTTAGAGATGGGGTCTCAGGTGCAGTGGCTCATGCCTGTAATCCCAGGACTTTGGGAAGCCAAGACAGATCACTTGAGGTCAGGAGTTCGAGACCAGCCTGGCCAACATGGTGAAACCCCGTCTCTACTAAAAATACAAAAATTAGCCAGGTGTGGTGGCACATACTTGTAATCCCAGCTACTTGAGAGGCCGAGGCAGGAGGACGGCTTCAACCTGGGAGGTGGAGATTGCAGTGAGCAGAGATCACACCACTGCACTCCAACCTGGGTGACAGTGCAAGACTCCGTCTCAAGAAAAAAAAAAGAATAATATAATGTAGTTGCTACTTTTAAAAAAGAAGAGGAAGAAGTAAAAATAATTGGGAGATTTGGGTTTTTAAAAAGGTAGCAAATGAAGGAGAATCTAGCAATAATTGAGTTTATTCAACTAAAATAATTATTTTTTTGAGACAGGTCTTGCTCTGTCACCCAGGCGGGAGTGCAGTGGTGTGATTATGGCTCACTGCAGCCTCAATCTCCTAGGCTGAGGCCATCCCCTCACCCACCTGAGCCACCTGAGTAGCTGAGACTGCAGGCATGTGCCACCATGCTCTGCTAATTTTTTGATTTTTTGTAGAGACGGGGTCTCACTTTGTTTGCCTAGGCAGATCTTGAACTCCTGAGCTTAAACGATCCTCCTGCCTCAGCCTCCTGAAGTGCTGAGATTACAGGTATGAGCCACCACATACGACCAATATTTTTACCAGAATATTTCATAAAATCAATGCACTGCTAGGAAAGATATGAAGTCACTTAACTGATCTGTCTAAACAGAACTGTTCACCTGTTCATAGTGAAGTACACAGGGTTTTCATTTGAAGTCCTTAAAAAAACAAACAACCTGGCAGGAAACAAAAGGAATCTCATAATGACGAGTTTCATTAACTATGCATTTTCTCCAAGCAGTCCAACCCCATTCAGAAATAACACAAAATATCCAAGTGCTTTAAAATCCAAGGCCTTTAATTTAGTTTTTGGTAATGACCATAAATGCCTTCACAAAACCTCTTTTTCACTGTAAATAGAAGGCACTAGGCATTACATAATACCCTTAAAGCAGTGATTCCTCCTGATGCTGGTAGAGATAAAACATTTAATGTCAGGGTTTACATAGTAACAAATTCTTCTTAAAAAAAAAAAGACAAATCTAAAAATCACGCACCAAAAATTATCAGTCACTCTTTCCCAGGTTCCCAGTGCAAATTTACATCATTTTTACAAGTACATAGTTTGAAATTAAGAGATAAACTAGGTATGATATGGTTTTCAACATGTGTTAGGTTTCAGTTAAATACAGTAAAAATGAAGACACCATTATCATGCTAATTGGCATCTTTTGCTACTGTTTAGCTGTGCAAAATAGACTTGAAATGATACATCCTGTAGTGGCATAATTTAAAAGATCCTTGATATGACACCAACAACTTACAAATTCTGGTCACAAACTGTATATAAATTGTACAATTATTAAAATATACCTTTTTGAAAAATAATAAGATGACCATTTATACCTAAATAAGGTTTCCCAGAAAGTTATGAAATACTTTTAGCATATAAAAGTAGTTGCTCCTTTTCTGAAAAGTCAGCTGTTGTTTCACAAAATAACTCATATGATCCAAGGCAAACGATTTCTTTCAAATGCCATATTCTCTCTATGACTTTGAGGTATGCTTCAAGAGACTGTATCCATAAGAACAGGGCACATTTGGGTATTAGACCACAGTTACAAACGCAAGGAGTCTTTCTTGGGTCAGGAATGCCCTTAAGAGTTATATCGACAGAGAACAAAAGATAGCTTCTGAAGCCATATCCTTTACAAATACATACAACTAAATTTGGTTATTTAGAGGATAATTCAAGACACAGCTATTAACCACATGCTGTGTCATGTGTGCCTATTTTAGTTAGTGGCTTCTGGCCAGGTGCGGTGGCTCACACCTGTAATCCCAGCACTTTGGGAGGCCGAGGCGGGCGGATCACCTGAGGTCGGGAGTTTGAGACCAGCCTGACCAACATGGAGAAACCCCATCTCTACTAAAAATACAAAATTAGCCAGGCGTGGTGGCACATACCTGTAATCCCAGCTACTCAGGAGGCTGAGGCAGGACAATCACTTGCACCCGGGAGGTGGAGGTTGCAGTCAGCCGAGATTGCGCCATTGCACTCCAGCCTGGGCAACAAGAGCAAAACTCCATCTCAAAAAAAAAAAAAGTGGCTTCTGTAGGATACTCTTATTCAAACACAAACCAAACAACCCTACTCTACCAAATCACATTCTTCTATTTTTGGCAAGGTAGTATTGTTTAAACAAAACAGAAACAAAAACAACAACAACAAAAGCTAACCATGACAGTGACTCAGGCGAAAGTTCCCATGTCAAACAATAGTAGGAAAAGTGTTTTAAGAAACATTAATGTTGGGAAAAATAAAACGCTACCAAACAAATAATGCCAGAAATCAATCTTATCATCACTCAAATAAGTATCACATAAAAAACTCATGAATGCCTTTGAAATAAGAATAGTTCAGTTTAAAAAAATAGCTGATTATGAGATTTATAATTAAAATGTCTTTGAAAAGCAGCCAAGTTCATTAGTTTAAACATTTAATAATATTTAAATTAGTATTTATTTAATTTTTTATTTTTGTTGAGACACAGTCTCACTGTGTCACCCAAGCTGGAGTCCAGGGGTGTAATCTCAGCTCACTGCAACCTCCGCCTCCCAGGTTCAAGTGATTCTCACATCTCAGCCTCCCAAGTAGCTGGGATTACAGGCGCGTGCCACCATGCCTGGCTAATTTTTGTATTTTTACTAGAGACGGGGTTTCACCATGTTGGCCAGGCTGGTCTTGGACTCTCGACCTTAAGTGACCTGTCCACCTTGGCCTCCCAAAGTGCTAGGATTACAGGCGTGAGCCACCACACCCAGCCTAATGTTTAAATTAGTAAAGGGTAAGAGAAAATAAACTCTTCCATCATTAATACTAGATGCCTTCTTGTCTTTGGAGAAACTGGTAACATTAAATTTTGAAAATGGAAGGGAAAATAATGAAAATCTATATGACAACTGAAAAAAACCCATCATGTCTATTAATAAACACAATGGGTAGCAAGAAACTTTTTTTTTAAACAATGATCACTCAACAGAATACCTTATAAAATTACGTATCATAATGAAGCTAAGGAAAAGCTTCAAGACTAGCAGCTGAACTGTGAAACATGTAGGACAACAGAAGGCACTACATAAGCATCAATTCCTTCTAACCATAGGACAGTTCAGTCTTTCTGTTCTTAAGAAGATAGCCAGTGTGAATGTTATTTTTATATCCCCCTGAGTTTTAACATGATTGGGCAAAGCAGCACCAATTTAAAAAAATATCTGCAATGCCAGCACTGCAGTATGAAATCACTAATACTGATGGCCCACAAGTCTCTCATAAGAGCACTTTAGAACATGATTAAAAATATAGAAATGCCTTTCGGTGTTTCAGTATTAAAGTGGAACCACCACAGATATCCACTTTAAAAAGTAATGCACTAAAAAGGTCTGTTTATACAATACAGTCTTTCTACCCTGTAACTAGCATTCATGGCAATTTTCCACTCCGCTGCCACTGAGAGATCTCCTTTGTGCGTCTGGTTGAAATGTCAGTATGCTTCATGATGCATAATCCTTTTTGGCTGGAAAATCTTGGCAAATATCATGTCATGCCCGTTTTGAGCAGTATGCCTTGCAAGTCCTCTGGCAATGCTAAGATAATGGCATCTATGTGTGTCCGTAACTTTTCCATAGTGTCAGGTTTCACAGGTAAGTGCTCTCGATCAGCCTGCAACTACATAAGGAACATTTCATAACATTTAAATTATCCTCAGAATCTGTATTAATACATTACATTCTCTAAATAAACCATTTTAAAGGTCTAACAATTAGATACTTTCAGTCTTAGACCAGAAATTACAGAAACTAAAAAAGCAAGGAGCATTCTATTTAAACAATTCGTTATTGAGCTCAATAAAAGGCTTCTATGTAAATTCATAATAATACCTAGAAATATAAGTGACAATGTTTTTATAGAGCTTATTAGATTCTATATACATAACGTTAGAATAATATGGCATCATTATGGTCTGTTTCAGTGACCAAGTATTTTCAGCAGTATCTACCATCAATTGACCAATTTCAAGCCCTCTCATTTAAAAAGTTACTTCTGCGAACTATCATGGGTTGTCAGCTCACATGAGAGGACAATGTCTTCAAAGAAAAGTCAATTTAATCTTTGGCTGTTTTGGCTACATACCAGCTTATTTTTCAGCTTCAAGACAAGGTCTACTGTTTCTACTTCTGTGTGTTTCTGGATCCAGAGAAGTAAGTCCTAGAATAAATAAAGTCCCAAATCAGTAAGTTCTCAAAATAATATTCAAACCTCTCTATTTCAATAGGTAAGGCTACTGTGAAGGAAAGACAAGAAGGAAAAGGAGAACAAAGTATTTAACCCAGATATAGCATTATAGTGCAAGAATAATTCTCATAATATTCTAATAACTGTTAGATAATTTTCTGCATTAGCCAGAATAATTGTCTCATATTTGGAAGTAAAACAAAATGTACTGAGGTGGCTTTTTTAGATCAAGCAAGAAAAACAAAATTGCAGCTCAAACTGTAACAGTAACCCCCACTTCCACTAAGTAGTGACTAATTTATAAGGAACATTAGTTAACAAATCAAGAGAACTGAACATGAATTTACTACTGGATGTACACTTCGTGTTTTCGGATATGCTCTTCCTGGGCTTATGTTGCAGGTGCATTCATCATATTCCTTTTCTCAAAGCCACAGTGACTGGGAGTTTATGAGTAGAAAGTTAACACTGAGGTTAGCACACCTCACATTTAAAGCTAAATATAAATGAAAGTGAGACTATTCCTTTTATTTTCACAAGTAGTTTAATTTAAAATAGGCTGGTAATACAGAACATAAAAAAAAAATCAGTCCGCTTTTTTTTTTTTTTTTTTTTTTGAGACGGAGTCTCGCTCTGTCGCCCAGGCTGGAGCACAGTGGCGCGATCTCAGCTCACTGCAAGCTCCGCCTCCCGGGTTCACGCCATTCTCCTGCCTCAGCCTCCCGAGTAGCTGGGACTACAGGCGCCTGCCACCACGCCCGGCTAATTTTTTTTTTTTTTTTTGTATTTTCAGTAGAGATGGGGTTTCACCGTGTTAGCCAGGATGGTCTCCATCTCCTGACCTCGTGATCCACCCACCTCAGCCTCCCAAAGTGCTGGGATTACAGGCGTGAGCCACTGCACCCGGCCAGTCCACATTTCTAAAAGTGTTAATACTAACTAAAAAAGGTAAATACATCATACAGAAAAAGATGTGGAGTTAGGCTTCTTGGATTAGAATCCTTACTCTACCCAGTAATGTGCTGGTAAATATTTAACAAGTGGTTCTCCAAAAGAGGTCTCTGGTTTGTAGCATTTGCCAATTTCTGTGGTGTAGTACTCCCACTGTAGGCTATTTCAAGCTGCCAACCTGAGGTTACTGAATACAGAGCTGAGAAGAGATGTGCACATTTGGCTCTTGTGAGCCAATGCAAGTGGACTCCAGCACACTGTTGGCTCCACTACTTAGCAGGGATGTGATCTGAGGCAAGTCATTTAACTTCTAAGCCAAAAGTTTCCCATGATGCAGTTCATAACACACCTACCTCAAAGAATCATTGTAAAGATTAAAAGAGATTATCTATATAAAGCCCCTATAATGTCCTTGGCACATAGCACATGATCTAGAAAAGTTAGTCATCATTACTATTTATAAAGAGTGGATAAAGGGTACAATCTTCAACTTCTAAGCATAATTATCTTTATTTTCAACAGTTGTTAATCATTACACAAACACACAGTTTTCGAACCTCTTCACAAAGAGCTTCTAGATGGAGTGCCTCCAATTTTTGGGTCATTTCCTTCCTCCGGGTCTTAAACCAGCCATCAAAATTTGGAGACTTTAGGAAATGCCTATAAAAATACATTTTAAAAAAGTAAAGTTTGATTATAACTTATTTCCTTTCCTCAATACCTTTCCTAGTCAGAGAACCATGTCAAACTTTAGTAGAATTTTTTAAAAAGAATAAGCTTAAGTTTAGCTTTTTGTTTTGCTTTTAAATAAAGCACGACACATGGGTGTAAAACAGGGAAAAAAGACTAACCGGTAAAGTCCAATCCAATCGCCTTTTATTCTAGAGGTTAGCTGAGGTCCTGTTTTCTCAAGTGTTTTCATAAATTCTTCTGGAAGAAACTGTCTTAATTGAGGTGGACTCTAGAAAACAGGACATATAATATTTAGAAATTAGGAGTGGATATGTTCACAGAAGTTAATTACAGTTAGAGGACCCAAATAGATTTGAATATATTCATACCTTCCATGGGGAAATACTTTTCTGCAAAGGCATCAAGCTTGCCACATATCTTTCCTAAAACCAAGAAAAAAGTTAATAAAAGGAGTGTCTTCAAAAATATTTAAACAGACCTACTTAAAAGGAATGGGTCTTTTAAGTTTTTAATCATATGCCCTTTCAATGGACAGCAACAACTCCATCACTCCCCACAAGAGATATAGCTAAATTTAGACTGACTTGGGAAGTCAGATTTCAAATAAAAATTCAACTAAATCTTAGATAAACCAAGGGGACTACATTTTTTCTTTTTTGAGACAGAGCCTTGTTCTGTTGCGCAGGCTGGAGTGCAATGGCATGATCTCGGCTCACTACAACCTCTGCCCCCCGGGTTCAAGCGATTCTCCCGCCTCAGTCTCCCAAGCAGCTGGGATTACAGGCGTGCGCCACCACGCCTGGCTAATTTTGTATTTTTAGTAGAGATGGGGTTTTACCATGTTGGTCAGGCTGGTCTCGAACTCCTGACCTCATGATCCACCTGCCTCAGCCTCCCAAAGTGCTGGGATTACAGGCGTGAACTACCGCGCCCAACAACGCGGTCCATTTTTTAACGATAATAGTTAACCTTACTGAGCAACTATAGGCCAGATAATGCACTCAACATTTTACATGCATGATCTCTTGTAATCCTTGGAATGATCCTATGTGGTAGGTATTATTAGGAAACTGAGGCTTCTTCAAAAGGCTAAATAACCTGACCAAGGTAATACAATTTAGACTTGAAATGAGGTCTACTTGACTTTGGTCTCTGCTCTCTTTTTTTTTTTTTTTTTTTTTTTTGAGACGGAGTCTCACTCTTTCGCCCAAGCTGGACTGCAGTGGCGCTATCCCGGCTCACTGCAAGCTCTGCCTCTTGGGTTCATGCCATTCTCCTGCCTCAGCCTCCCGAGTAGCTGGGATTACAGGCGCCCACCACCACGCCCGGCTAATTTTTTGTATTTTTAGTAGAGACGGGGTTTCACCGTGTTAGCCAGGATGGTCTTGATCTCCTGACCTCGTGATCCGCCCGCCTCGGCCTCCCAAAGTGCTGGGATTACAGGCGTGAGCCACCGCGCCCGGCCTTTTTTTTTTTTTTTTTGAGACGGAGTCTCACTCTTTCGCCCAGGCTGAGTGCAGTGGCGCGATCTCAGCTCACTGCAACCTCCGCCTCCCGGGTTCAAGTGATTCTCCTGCCTCAGCCTCTAGAGCAGCTGGGACTACAGGTGCGTGCCACCATGCCTGGCCAATTTTTTGTATTTTTAGTAGAGACGAGACGGGGTTTCACCGTGTTAGCCAGGATGGTCTCGATCTCCTGACCTCGTGATCTGCCCGCCTCAGTCTCCAAAAGTGCTGGGATTACAGACGTGAGCCACCACGCCCAGTCCATGCTCTTTTTTTTTTTAAGAGAGTCTTGCTGTTGCCCAGGATGGAGTGCAGTCGTGCAATCACAGCCTACTGTAGTCTCAAAGTCCTGGCCTTAAGCAATCCTCTTACCTTCGCCTCCCAAAGTGGCAGGCCTGAGCCACTGTGCCCAGCCTAGTCCATGCTCATAAGCACTACAGTAAAGTTTATTTATTCAAACAAATAGATTTAATGGAATAAATAACTTGACACCCAAAGACCAAGAAATAATATTTCTTTCTAAAATATAACAGCAAAGATCTCCAGGATGCCCTATATAATGTTCATAGATATATTACTTTATATTAATAACTGCAAAAAGTTTCTCTATGATGCAGTTTCCAGAGCAGGGCCACATCATGGTACTCCCTATACTTTAATATGACATCCTTCTGAATTTCTTACAATAACCACATTGTCTAGTCATTTATTCCATAAATATTTGAGTGCTACCATATGCCAGTCTGACGAATTAATAACAAGCAAGACAGATATAGTCCCTGTTATCATAGAGCTACAGCCTCATAGACATTATATCAAATTGTATTCAAGATAAGTATCAGAAAGAAGCTCTACTATAATCTTCTTTTAAGGTGAAAAATGTAGTAACTACATAACATTTCATATAAAGTATATCATTTAAGATTCACAACAGTCTTGAAAAGGTACTTAGGAAAGTGGAATCAGCCATATTTCACAGGTGAGAAAATTGAGGGTCAGAGAGAGGGAGTGACTTACCAAAGTTGAACAGTTAACACTAGAACAGATAATCCAGGTCTCTTGCAAAGGGGTTTATTTTTAATCACTAAATATACCAGGCTGGCAAAACACACAACTTAAGATATGGTTTTGGAGGGCGGGAAAAACATTTATATACCCTTCACCAAATCATTAAATTATGCAAAAATTTATTTATTAACTTACTAATGGAATGATGAAACTTTGTGTCAGTTCCAAAAAATAGCGTCGAAGAATAACACTTTGAGCCTCAGAAGGACGTTTCTGTTGTACACCCTTAAAAGAGGAAATAATGAGAATCTGTATTCTAGTGTTGGAATATAAAACAATGGATAACTATCAGATTCAATTGCTATGTAAATATACATTTATACTTGATATTTAAAAAACTAGAACTTCACCTTGAAGTAATTTAATGTGAAGTTCATTGTGCAATATCCTGTGAAAATAATCTTTACCGGAGCAAAACATAAGAGTTCTTAGCTTAGGGAATACTGTTCATCCCATACTGTGAAAATGTGAGTTCACGGCTGGGCACCGTGGCTCACGTCTGTAATCCCAACACTTTGGGAAGGTGAGGTGGGTGGATTACCTGAGGTCAGGGGCTCAGGACCAGCCTGGCCATCATGGTGAAACCCCGTCTCTACTAAAAAATACAAAAATTAGCTGGGTGTGGTGGCGGGCACCTGTAATCCCAGCTACTTGGAAGGCTGAGACAGAAGAATTGCTTGAACCTGGGGAGGTGGAGGCTGCAGTGAGCCGAGATTGTGCTATTGCACTCCAGCCTGGGCAACAAGAGCGAAACTCCATCTCAAAAAAAAAAAAGTGAGTTCACTATAAAGACAATCTTTATTTTATATTTGCTATACTATACTATTTACATTAAAAAAAATGGTAACAGTCCCCTACTGTTAGATGCTATCATGGTAGAATCTATGGCTTTTTCACTATAATTTCCAAGTTTCTAGAAAGACTGACACTCATGTGTAGCTACAGCCCCAAATTCATGCCCATACTGTTGCTAACTTAGTCTCCTGATTTTCATAAAACTTTGAATCAAAAAAGAGACCCTGGCAGGGCACGGTGGCTGACGCCTGTAATCCCAGGACTTTGGGAGACCGAGGTGGGCGTATCACTTAAGGCCAGGAGTTCGAGACCAGCCTGGCCAACATGGTGAAACCCCGTCTCTACTAAAAACACAGAAATTAGCCAGGCATGATGGTGCACACCTGTAATTCCAGCTGCTCAGGAGGCTGAGGCATGAGAATCACTTGAACCCGGGAGGTGGAGGTTGCAGTGAGCTGAGATCACATCACTGCACTCCAGCCTGGGTGATAGAGTGAGACTCTGTCTCCCAAAAAAAAAAAAAAAAAGGAGAGATCCTATTTCACATTAGTATACATAAAGGACATATTGCGTAACTGGATATTACATACCTGAACAAGGAAATTTAAATTAATAATATGAGCAACTAATTACCTTCTGTAATTGTTTTATGATCTCTTCATCTCTATTTAAATATGGCTTATATGAAGTATAAACTCCTAAGAGCAAAGAAAAGAAGGTAAACAAAAAAACCCAAGTACCATATAAATATATATTTAAAAATCAATAAAAGTCAATACCAGGTTTGGAATCCAGAGTCTTTAGATTCTTCAGTTTTTTCACTTTAACCTGCTTAGGAATTTCACCTGAAGGAAGCAGCATAAAGATTTTTATAATTATTCTAATCATACATATTACAAAATTGGAACTTTATAAGATTTATAATCTGTTTATTACTTAAGTATGTTATAATGAAAGGATTCTTAACATCTATTAATATGTTAAGGGTTCATTCTTGGTATTTTAAAACTGGATAACAAGAATACTGGATTACTACAACAGTACAGAAATAATTCATGTAAATTATATAAAATGGATATTTGATCTTTCATTAATATCTATCATTACTTAAATTTTTCCCTTTTTGTCACTCAACCTGTAATTTAAAATCTATATGCCAAATACATAAAACTGAAAATTTAGATGCTGAATAGGAATAAAATACCCTTTAAGTATAAATGGAATAGAGAGCAATTCTTAAATGACTATGCAGATGTAGTCTTCAAGGGTTTGTGGGGTTTTGTTTTGTTTTGTTTTGTTTTGTTTTTGATGCCTCCTCAAATTCAGCTTTTCCATTATAGAAACTTACACTGCCAGCAAGTGGTGATGGTGTGTGCAGCAACCACAGGTCTGAGCCACAGATGGACAGGACTCCTGAGCAGGCTGCTATGTTGAATAGCTTGTGTAGTATATGCAGGCCCTGGTCTTAGGGTCAAAGAAAGCTAACACCTAAACAACCCTTATAACAGACAGAAAAATACCTCAAGATACACTTAAAAGTGTCATGAACAAACCTAATTTCAAAGATTTTCTCCACCCTCCCTCTTCTCTGCATAAGGGTTAAAAGAACCTAAGAACTGAAAGACAATCTAGAGATTATATTATTATAGAGATTATAATATAATTGAAGCCTCTAAATTCACAAAATGCCTTTGTTTAAATAGTTACATAGATCAAACTGCTAATTGTGGTATATCTGGGGGTGAGATTTTAAGAACAAGGAACATTTTCCTTTGCAATCTTATATTGCTAAAAAATTTTAAGAGTATGTATTATGATAAAACAGCTATTTCTATAAACTTTTTACTTTGAAGTACAGTTGAACATTGAACAGCATGGGTTTAAACTGTGCATATTCACTTATACATGATTTTTTTTCCTGCCTCTGCCACCCCTGAGTTAGCAAGACCATTCCCTCCTCTTCCTCTTCAACCTACTCAGTGTGAAGGCTATGAGGATGAAGACTTTTATGATGATCCACTTCCACTTAATGAACAGTCAATATATATTTTATCTTCCTCATGATTTTCTTAGTAACATTTTATTTCCCCTAGCTTACTTTATTATAAGGATACAATATATAATACATAAAACATACAAAATGTGTGTTAATTGACTGTTTATGTTATTGCTAAGGCTCTGATCAACAGTAGGCTGTTAGAACTTAAGTTATGGAGGAGTTAAAGGTATACACAGATTTTCTACTACACAGGAAGTTGGCATTCCTAATCCCTGTATTGTTCAAGGGTTAATTGTAATTTCAGTTTTGCAGAGAAGCTGCCAAGTAATACAGTCTATAAAGGAAAGAGTGAAAGAGATTAAAAGAAAATTAGTCTATACTCCAAATGTGTCAACTGTCCCAGTAATAATTTTAAACAGATACTTGTTAAAAAAGCAGTATCATGGATACACAGACTTATTTTTTCATTGATTCAGTAAATATTAAGTAAATGCAAGATACTGGCAATACAGGAACAAAACAGCTAATTACCCGTATCAATGAGCCACAGTCTAACAGCAAAATATGATACAGAGAAATGACAATATGGAGGGAAAGGTGCTGGGATAGAATTATGAACAAGATACTACGGAGACACAGAAGAGTGTCCTGGCCAAAGAAGAGTAAGAAAATTATTGAGGATTCCTAAAGGAGGTAACAGTTAAGCCAACTTGTAAGAGAGATAAAAAGTTGGCCGGGCGTGGTGGCTCACGCCTGTAATCTCAGCACTTTGGAAAGCTGAGGCGGGTGGATCACCTGAGGTCAGGAGTTCCAGACCATCCTGGCCAACATGGGGAAGCCCTGTCTCCACTAAAAATACAAAAATTAGCTGGGCATGGTGGCACACGCCTGTAGTCCCAGCTACTCGGGAGGCTGACACAGGAGAATCACTTGAACCCAGAAGGCAGAGGCTGCAGTAAGCCGAGATTGTGTCACTACACTCCAGCCTGGGTGACAGAGCGAGACTCTGTCTCAAAAAAAAAAAAAAAAAAAAAAAGTTATCCATAGGAAGGAGAAAAGGCCTTTTGAGTAAAAAGTTAAATACAGAAGCATGAACATGTTGCTCAAAGAGTTGCAGATAATGGTAAGGACAATAATAGCCACCATTTACTGAAGATGTCCTCCGTGCCAGTCTCTGGTCCAAGAATACTGCACAAATTATCACATTTAATCTTCACAATAAGAGTTTATTTATGATGCCCATTTCACAGATGAAGAAACTAAAGCATGGGCAGAACTTGATATTTACCTGGTATGCACCAGAACCAGCTGGTTACTGCCATCATTCATTCTGATTAATGAGTGCCCTATTAAGACAGGTTGTTAGCTCTGTCATAACTAGACACAGAGGAACATCTTGTCAAGGATGTGGGTGCACTAAAACTAGGTACAATCCAGAAAAAGCAATCCCTTTATATCAGGAGGAATGATCCTTCTGCAAGGTTAACACTAAATATATGTTTCTGGTAAAGTTTCAGGACACAGGAGAGCAAAATCTTAATTCTGCTGTGCCTTCCCTCTTGGTTCTAAAGAAGATGTTTTTTTCTCTAATTTTACTGACCCTGCCAGATTTTTTTTTTCCTTGTAGAACTCACAGTCTATCTCAGGTTTCAAAGCCAGAATCCTGAGCAGGGCTGTGTTGCACAACTTGTGCAGCATTTGCAGTGGGCCTGGGTGTTTTTTAACTCAACAAGCAGAAAAATACTCCAAGATATAAACCACTCATAAATTAAAAGATATATGAGATTTCATGACTATGACACCAAATATACAAGCAATACAAAGAAAAAATAAATAAGACTTCAAAAAAAAAAAAAGCAGAAGAAAAAGAACAGAAGAAAACAAAAAAAATAAATAAATAAGACTATTAAATTATAAACTCCTGTGCACAGGCCGGGCACAGTGGCTCACGCTTGTAACCCCAGCACTTTGGGAGGCTGAGGTGAGTGGATCACGAGGTCAGGAATTCGAGACCAGCCTGGCCAACATGGTGAAACCCCATCTCTACTAAAAATACAAAAATCAGCTGAGTGTGGTGGCGCACACCTGTAATCCCAGCTACTGGGGAGGCTGAGACAGGAGAATCACTTGAACCCAGGAGGCGAAGGTTGCAGTGAGCCAAGATCATGCCACCGTACTCCAGCCTGGAAGACAGACCAAGACTCCATCTCAAAAAATAAATAAATAAAATAAACTTCTGTGCATCAAAGGACACCATCAAGAGAGCAAAAAGACAATACAAAATAGAAGAAAATATTCACAAAGCATATATCTAATAAGGATTACTATTCAGAATATATAAAGAATTCCTATAACTAAAAAAAAAAAACCCATTCAAACAACTCTATTAAAAGTGGGCAAAGGACTTGAATAGACATTTCTCCAAAGAAAATATATAAATGGCCAATAAACAGGCTGGGTGTGGTGGCTCACGCCTACAATTGCAGCACTTTGGGAGGCCAAGGCGGGTGGATCACCTGAGGTCAGGAGTTCGAGACCAGCCTGGCCAACATGGTGAATCCCTGTCTCTACTAAAAATACAAAAATTAGCTGGGTGTGGTGGTGCATGCCTGTAATCTCAGCGACTCGGGGAGCTAAGGCAGGAGAATTGCTTGAACCCGGGAGGTGGAGGTTGCAGTGAGCCAAGATTGCGCCACTGCACTCCAGCCAGGCAACAGGGTGAGACTCCGTTTCAAAAATAAATAAATAACTAAATAAATAAATAAATAAAATGGCCAATAAACAATGGAAAGATACTCAATATCACCGATCATGAGGGAAATGAAAATGAAACCCACAATAAAATACTAACTCATGCCCATTAGGATGGTTACTATCAAAAAAAATGAAAAATAACAGGCCAGGTGTGGTGGCTCCCACCTGTAATCCCAACACTTTGGGAGGCCAAGGCAGGAGGACTGCTTGAGCACAGGAGTTTAGGACCAGCAACATTGCAAGATCCTGTCTCTACAGAAAAAATAAAAAATTAGCCAGGCGTGGTGGCGTGCACCTGTACTCCCAGCTACTCGGGAGGCTGAGGCAGAAGGATCACTTGGGCCCAGGAGTTCAAGGTTACAGTGAGCTATGATTGTGCCAATGCACTCCAGCCTGAGCAACAGCACAAGACCCTATCACACACACACACAAAAAGACAAAATATTTAAATAGACATTTCACCAAAGATATATGAATGAAAGGAAGTAGATGAAAAAGTGCTCACCATCATTAGTCATTAGAGAAAAGCAAATTAACATCACCATTTCAAACATTCTAGAATGGCCATAATGAAAATGACAACATCAAATGTTGGCAGAGATGTTAAGAAATAGGAACCCTCATACATTGCTGGTAAGAATGTAAACTGATGGGCCACTTTGGCAAACAGTTTGGTGATTTCTTAAACAGATTTATCAATTCATGCTGCTCTACCAATGATTTTGTGCAAAAGTTATCTACCTACATCTAGCAGAGAGACTTCTTCCACTGGAAAGAGAAAACAATCAGTAGTCTACTACATTATAATTAATAGTCTAAATTAGTAGGCCCAAACCATGAAAATGTCAAGATTAAATTAAGATTTAAAAAAATTTATCATATCATCTCATATCCAAGACTCTAGCAACTGTTGTTCTCTGTATTATCATTAATACTCAGACAGAACAGTAACAGAATGGCAGGGGACCATGCCATTTACAGAGTACCATGCATCAGGCACTGTGTTTAATCCTCCTAGCAGACAAAAAATTTGAGGCTTAAAGATGCTATTCAGCCTATTAGCACACAGTTCTGATTGCCAAGATGAAGCCCTTTGCTTTTTCCTCTATTTCATAAGGCTTCTAAAAATTTCAGTAAGACCGAGTCCAGAATTTGTAAACAGTACTATTTAAAATGTTATCCTTGATTCTAATACTTCCATTTAGATATATGTATATACCAGAAGGAATATCTTGTAAAATCAGATGATTAAGTCATGTTTTAAATATATCTATGTATAACAAAAGGAACAAGTTTTAAAAGTAGTGGTTGCTGGCCAGGCGCAGTGGCTCAGCCTGTAATCCCAGCACTTTGGGAAGCCGAGGTGGGCGGTCTGGAGGTCTGGAGTTTGAGACCAAACTGGCCAACATGGTGAAACCCCGTCTCTACTAAAAATACAAAAATTAGCCAGGCGTGGTGGTGGGCGCCTGTAATCCCAGCTCCTTGGGAGGCTGAGGCAGGAGAATCTCCTGAACCCGTGAAGCAGAGATTGCAGTGAGCCGAGATCATGCCACTGCACTCCAGCCTGGGTGACAGAGTGAGACTCTGTCTCAAAAAAAAAAAACAAAAAAAAACAAAAAACAAAAAAGGTAGTGGCAGGGAGTGGTGGCTCACACCTGTAATCCCAGCACTTTGGGAGGCCAAGGTGGGCAGATCACCTGAGCTCAGGAGTTTGAGACCAGCCTTGCCAACATGGCAAAACCCCGTCTCTATTAAAAATACAAAAATTAGCCGGGCAAGGAGGTGGGTGCCTGTAATCCCAGCTACTTGGGAGGCTGAGGCAGGAGAAACACTTGAACCTGGGAGAGCCGAGATAGTGCCACTGTACTCCAGCCTGGGCAACAGAGTGAGACTCTGTCACATAAATAGATAAATGTAGTACATTATAAAGTTATTAGAAAATAACTTTATAATCCCAACTATTTCAGTGGAAAATTCATGAATGTCCATTGTCATGTCGGAGAGATGTCTTCCATTGGAAGGAGAAAATAGTCAGTAGTCCGCTACATTACAATTAATAAAACAGTCTAAATTACTACGCCCAAACCATGAAATAAATGTCAAGATTAAATTAAGATTTAAAAAATTTTCTCATATCTTCTCATACGCAAGACTCATGTCCTTAATTAATGTACCATTTAGTTGTCATCTAGGTTAACAAAACTTCCAACCTCAGAATTCATATACTTAAACATCTGTTAAACTCCTACCATGAACAAGGTACTGTATGTCTTTTCCATATGAAAAGACACTTTGAACCGCTCCCTAAATCAATAACCTGTGCTACAGGGACATATACTTGTTTTGAGACCTAGCTGTGTATTTTGTGATAAGTTGGGAATAATTCTAGTTTTCTATAAGGTTTTACTCAAGCAGTATTGGAAAGTTCTGTTTTATTGGGCTTCTATATATATAGAAAGTTCTGTTTTATTGGGCTTTTAAATATATATATAGTATATTTAAATATATATTTATATATATTTAAATATTTAAGTAATAAAAATATATATTTAAATATTTAAATATATATTATATATTTATATTCAATGTTATATTAAAATATATATTTAAATATTATATATTTAAATATATATTTATATTCAATATATTATATTAAAATATATATTTAAGTATATATTTAATATATATAAAGCTAACATTTTTAAGACTTCATTTTACTATAATTCTATAAGTGTTATATTATTATTCTATAATAATATAACACTATAAGTATATTTTTTGGTAGGAGGACATGACAGATTATACATATTATAAGAGCCTGCATATTTTAGTGGGAAATTAGCAGGAAATTATACCCTTCTCCAAAGGCCTTGAAGAAAGCTGCCATCAACATAAAAAATAATCAAGGATGAAAAGAAAGAAACCTGTTCAGCAACACTGCACACTAGAAACAGAACACCAAGTTTATACTTTACCTGTAGGTTTAAGGTCTCCTATTCGAATAATGTGTGGCCAGTGCTGGAGTGTCTTAGCAAAAAAAGGGTTGGTTACTCCTAATATAACTGAGGGCCTATAAAAAACAAAACAAAACAAAATAAAAAAGGTGAGAAAAAGATGAATGCTAAATCAGTGAAGAATAGTTTACTTTTTTTTTCAATGAACAATACACAGATTGATTTTTCCTTTATTCAACACATTACATATCAACTACATGCCAGGCAACACGTTTTACACTAGACATAAAAAGACGAAAGGACACGGTCCTTCCAGCAGCACACAGGAAGAAAGATATACACACCCAGTTATGATGCCAAAATTAGAAGACAGTGAAGGTGGTTTAAAATGCACAACAATTAGCCGAGCGCGGTGATTCACGCCTGTAATCCCAGCACTTTCGGAGGCTGAGGCGGGCAGATCACGAGGTTAGGAGTTCGAGGCCAACCTGGCCAACATGGTGAAACCCCATCTCTACTAAAATTACAAAAAATTAGCTGGGCGTACTGGTGGGCACCTGTAATCCCAGCTACTCAGGAGGCTGAGGCAGGAGAATTGCTTGAAACCAGGAGGCGGAGGTTGCAGTGAGCTGAGATTGCATCACTGCACTCCAGCCTGGGCAGCAGAGTGAGACTCTGTCTCAAAAAAAAAAAAAAAAAAAAAGCATAATAATCACAAAGGAGAACCTATGTCTACCAGGGGATTAAAGGACAGCCTCACCAAGGAGGTAATATTTACAGGAAGACGTGAAAGATGAGTGGGCGTTTTTTGCCAAGTGGATGAGAGAGGGAAGAGTGATGCAGAACAAACTATGTGCAAAGCAATGAAGTGACATTATGGCCTGTCTGTAGAACTACACAGAGTTTAGCATTCCTGGAGCAAAAGCAGAAAGGATGAATAGTCAGAAATGAGAATATTGTTGCCCGATCATTAGAGCCATGTTAGTATGCTAAGAAGTTTAGATGTTATCTTACAGGCAAAGGGAAACTACCAGATAACCAAGTGGAGGAATGCCGCATGAAAGAAAAAGCACTTATTAGAAAGATCAATCGGCCAGGCGCGGTGGCTCACGCCTGTAATCCCAGCCCTTTGGGAAGGCCGAGGTGGGCAGATCACCTGAGGTCAGGAGTTCGAGACCAACCTGGCCAACACGGTGAAACCCCATCTCTACTAAAAATACAAAAATTAGCCAGGTGTGGTGGCAGGCGCCTGTAATCCCAGCTACTGGGGAGGCTGAGGCAGGAGAATCACTTGAACCCAGGAGGTGGAGGTTGCAGTGAGCCAAGATCGCGCCATCACACTCCAACTTGGGGGACAAGAGCGAGACTTCATCTCAAAAAAAAAAAAAAAAGAAAGATCACTCTGGAAGAAATTTGGAAGTTATCTTATGAGGAGAGAAGGGGTTGAGGGAAAAGCAAATTTGGATATGCAAAACATGAGAGGCAGTAAGACTGGAAAGGGAGCAATAGAAAGAAGATAAGAAATGTAATCAGAGATATTTTAGGATATCAAACTGACAGAATTTGGTAAAATTTAATGTGGGGCATGTTACAAAGGAGAAATTTATGACAAGGTTTTGAGAACTAAGTGAAAACTAATGCCATCCATGAAAAGAAAGAAGAGGTATGAGATTAGGGGAGAAAAGAGGGAGACAAAAATAATTCAGTTTGCACATGTTTAGTTTCAGATGCCATTAAGACTTCTATCTTCTATGGGGCAATGTGCTTAAAACATCCCCCTCCCCCCACAACACACACACACGCCTGGTTATATAGGTCTGGACCTCACAGAGATATTGGCTAGAAAGATATATTTCAGTCATTAACATGGGGTATTAACAGAAGCCATGGGTACAGATAAGACTGTACAGAAAGGGCCAGGCACGGTGGCTCACGTCTGTAATCCCAGCACTTTGGGAGGCTGAGGCGGGTGGATCACTTGAGGTCAGGAGTTCGAGCCAGTCTGGCCAACATGATGAAACCCCATCTCCACTAAAAATACAAAAATTAGCTGGGTGTGGTGGTGCATGCCTGTAATCCCAGCTACTTGGGAGGCTGAGGTAGGAGAATCACTTGAACCCAGGAGGTGAAGTTTGCAGTGAGCTGAGGTCATGCCACTGCACTCCAGCCCAGGCAACAGAGCGAGACTCTGTCTCAAAAAAAAAAAAAAAACTGTACAGAAATAATTATCAGTCTGGGCCAGGCGTGGTGGCTCATGCCTGTAATCCCAACACTTTTGGGAAGCCAAGGTGGGCAGATCACGAGGTCAGGAGTTCAAGACCAGTCTGGCCAATATAGTGAAACCCTGTCTCTACTAAAAATACAAAAAATTAGCTGGGTGTGATAGTGTGCACCTGTAATCCCAGCTACTTGGGAGGCTAAAGCAGGAGAATCTCGTGAACCCGGGAGGCGGAGGTTGCAGTAAACCAAGATGGCGCCATTGCACTCCCTCCTGGATGACAGTGCCAG
The DNA here is from genome assembly GCF_000001405.40 of Homo sapiens. Classification (NCBI taxonomy): domain Eukaryota; kingdom Metazoa; phylum Chordata; class Mammalia; order Primates; family Hominidae; genus Homo; species Homo sapiens. Next base: position 57,644,140 of record NC_000003.12, read on the forward strand.
ACTCCATCTCAAAAAAAAAAAAAAAAAACTATCAGTCTGAAATCAGAACTCAGAACACAATACCTAGCGAACACCAACATTTAAGGGATTCGTAGAGAAAAGAAGTCTGCAAAGAAGATTGGGATGCACCACAAGACAGCCCAGGAGAGAACAGTATTAGAGATTTACAAAAAAATTTTTTTTGAGACAGGGTCTCACTCTGTTCCCCAGGGCTGGAGTCCAGTGGCACGATCTGAGTTCACTGCAACCTCTGCCTCCTAGGCTCAAGCCATCCTCCCACCTCAGCCTCATGAGTAGCTGGGACTACAGATGCATGCCACCACATCCAGCTAATTTTTGTATTTTTTTTGTGGAGACAGGGTTTTGCCATGTTGCCCAGGCTGGTCTCTAACTCCTGGACTTAAGTGATCTGCCCGCCTCAGCCTACCAAAGTGCTGGGATTACAGGCATGGGCCATCACGACTGGCTGGTGATTAAAATATTTTTAAGGTTAAAAGTGTAAATGTTACAAGAAAGAAGAGGTGGCAGACCAGCCTGGGCAACAGGGAAGGGAGGGGAGGGGAGGGGAGGGGAGAGGAGGGGAGAGGAGGGGAAGGGAGGGGAGGGGTGGGGAGGGGAGGGGAGGGGTGAGGAGGGGAGGGGAGGGGTGGGGAGGGGAGGGGTGGGGAGGGGAGGGGAGGGGGAAAGACAGAAAGAAAAGGAAAAACAGGGCAATGATATGCCCACTGGGTGAAACAGTGAGAAGGGTATTGATGATCTGGCAAGAACAAATTCAGTGAATATGAAGAAGTCAATCCGCAGTTGACTAGAAGCAACCAGAAAATCAGGAAGTGGAGATCGTACATGCAGATTTTTGTTGTTGCTTTAGAAATCTAGCTGTAAAAAGAAGGTGAGCGATAGAGCAAGAGCTAAAAGGGAAAGGGTAAGATTATTTTTTCTTTTTACAGATTGAAAAGATTTTTCATAAAGAAGTACAACTGAAAGTACAACCCAGTCGCTATTAATGACAATATAGCTTCCATTAATAAATAAAATCACGTGGGCCGGGTGTGGTGGCTCACACCTGTAATCCCAGCACTTTGTGAGGCTGAGGCAGGCAGATCACAAAGTCAGGAATTCGAGATCAGCCTGATCAACATGGTGAAACCCTGTCTCTACTAAAAATACAAAAATTAGCCGGGCGTGGTGGCGCATGCCTGTAATCCCAGCTACTCAGGAGGCTGAGGCAGGAGACTCTCTTGAACCCAGGAGGCAGAGGTTGCAGTGAGCCGAGATCATGCCACTGCACTCCAGCCTGGGCGACAGAGCAAACCTCTGTCTCAAAAATAAATAAATAAAAATAAATACATAAAATCGCTCAAATAAGGTACTAACTCTTAAAATCTAAAATTATTTCCAGCAGCTCCTCAAACTTTCCTTTTATAAGATCATTCTGCCTATAAGCTTTTATTACCAAAAATAATTCTACACAATTTTGGTTATAAAGGTAATACCTGGTCAATAGAAGTTATTTTTACTTACGGAGCTTGGGTACGGGTAGTATATTCTTTGAATTCACTATCATGAATAGTGAAATAAGGTCGGAAATCACTGAAGTACTTTAATGGAGAAATACAGCTGTGGAGCAGGAAGAACATGTAAAATAAAGGACACAGAAATTAAAGGTCCTAATCTATAACTAGAAAACATCTATACAAACGGTATACACACAAAGGGATACTTTGTTTATTTTAATAAATGGTAAACTCATTTCACAGAATTAGAAAGACAGATATATGTAATGTGAAATGGCATACTGAAAGAACACACTGGGTTTGGGGCAGAAGATGCGGTGAAATTCTGGCTCTACTGTTCACTAGCTATGTGCCTTTGACTCTACACTGATCATTCACACAAGTAATATTTATCAAGGAACAACTTCATGTAATGAATCAATGTGCCTGCCACTCAGAACAACAAAGGCATGGTTCCAGCCCTCAGGGAGCCTGAATCAATTTTCTCATCCATAAAATGGTGCTATAATAAGCATTACCTTCTGATAGGGTTTTTGCATGGATCAATGCAATAATGGGTGGGGAAAAATACGACAGGTGGGAAGTGCTGCAAATATCACCAACAGGTTAAGTACTGCAGCATCCAAAAAAAAAACCCAGAAATAGTAACCAAATAGACTCACTTAACAAGTGCCAATACAGTCTCTGATGATTCCGATGGTGATGGCGCCATAACCACAAGGGGCTCCCCCAACAGCACCAGCTCCCAGAGCATCTGACTATGAAGGAAAACTGGGCAGAAACACCTGAAAGGTGATGCACAGTAGAAATACTTTTTAATGTAGCCAATCCTGTTTTTAAAATTCCTACATAATCTTTCTAAAAACTCCACATTGATATAAATTCTTCCTGCTATTTGTATCCTGATCTGATACACAAATTCATTTAGAATATGGTGATGTATAGAGACATAAGTCCCTTTTATCCACATAAAAATATCTATCAATTTGACTCATCCTAATTTTTACAAAATTAAATGTAATATATTGACACACAGAATAACTGACAATAAAAGCATATAATTCTCAAATTGTTGTACCATATGATCGATCTATTTTATCAATATTGCTTTGATACTTTGAATTTCAATCCTAAATATTTTTAAGGAAATAAGAAAAATTAATTTTCCAAGGGCACTTATTGGATATACTTAACTTAAAACCCAATACTTCTGACATTAAAGAATGATGACAAATCACAAGGGGGAGTGCTAATGCTGAACAAGAGCGAAACTCCTGGGCAGATACTCCCTCTACAGAAGTGCTGAGTATTTTTACAGCAGCCCTGGAATTGGGTGGAGGCCTGTTGGGACACAACTCTGCTAGTATGTTACCAGGCCTAAGACACTTGGTAACTTTCACTTATTTAGGAATTTCCTCCTGGCTTGGTAAAAAATTTTCCTAGTAGATTAGGGGGGAAAATCTTATCTATTTATGAAAATCACAACCAATCCACTCAGTTGAAAAGACACACATGCAAATAAAAAAGAAAAGAAAAATCAAACAACAATTAAGTGCAAAAATATGCAACAAATTATGAGATGGAAATTAGGGGAGTTAATTTTAACTATTCAAAAACAAGATAAGTGCCACAAAAGAAACAAACAACAACAAAAAAACAGCTCATGGGTAAGGCAAAGGAGCTCTTCCTCTTCCCTTCCTAAACAACTCAGTCCTAAAGCAGAACATGGTAGGTATCTCTGCCATGAGGGAAAGAGAGCCGTATTGACCAGGGAGGCGTGTCAGAGCTTATGTAAGGTAAGGTGGACATCTACATGCAGATAGTGGCCTACTGTGGAACTGCTGGAGCCCAAATGTGGTGAGCAATGTATACATGTGTGGGGATTATTTGGTTTCAGTTCACAGAGCCCAGGAAGCACAGACAGGTAGCCTGATGAGTAGCATCAAAGACAGAATGAGTTGAGGAGGTTGTCACAATGTGGGACCACCTGGCATAAGGTGTCAGAGCAGAGAAATGAGGGTATCTCCATGGAGAAGTACCCTGGAGTAGGGTAAGCACACAAGCAGGGTAAGGAGAGCACTCATGTGAGGCTTGACCTGGTGTTGAGAGTCAGAGCCCAAAAAGGGGAAGATGGCACCCACCTGGAGATGTGGTCTAGTGGGACAGAGTAACCTGAATGAGACAGGAGGGTATCCATGGGGGTGGGGGTGGGGGGTCAATCCAACAAGAAGAATCAGAGAGTGAGCAGGGTAAGGAGGGTATCCATGCAGAAGGGAAGCCAGGTGTAGAATGTCAGGGCCCAGTGGGGATGAGAAAACTATTAGCTTGGGGGACAAAGTTGCAGCAGAGTCCTAGCCAGAGCAATCAGAGAAGAGAAAGAAATAAAGAGCATGCAAATTGGTAATGAGGAATTTAAACTGTCACTGTTTGCTGATGACATCATATACCTAGAAAACCTTAAAAACTCATCCAAAAACCTCCTAGAACTGGTAAATGAATTCAGCAAAGTTTCCGAATACAAAATTAATGTACACAAATCAGTAGCTCTCCTATACACCAACAGCAACCAAGCTGAGAATCAAATCAACCCCTTTTACAATAGCTGCAATACATAAAATACTAAGGAATATACTTACTCAAGGAGGTGAAAGACCTCTACAGGGAAAATGACAAAACACTGCTGAAAAAAATCACAGACGACACAAACAAATGGAAACACATCCTATGCTCATGGATGGGTAGAGTCAATATTGTAAAAATGACCATACTGCCAAAAGCAATCTACAAATTCAACGCAATTCCCATCAATGCCCTCCTTACACTGCTTGTTCCCATCATTCGTCACAGAACTAGAAAAAACAATCCTAAAATTCATATGGAACCAAAAAAGAGCCTGCATAGCTAAAGTAAGACTAAGCAAAAAGAACAAATCTGGAAGCAATACATTATCTGCCTTCAAACTACACTGTAAAGCCATAGTCATCAAAACAGCATGGTACTGGTATAAAAATAGGCATATAGACCAATGGAACAGAACAGAGAACCCAGAGATAAAGCCAAATGCTTACAGTCAACTGATCTTCAACAAAGCAAACAAAAACATAAAGTGGGGAAAAGACACCCTATTTAACAAATGGTGCTGAGATAATTGGCAAGCCACATGTAGAAGAATGAAACTGGATCCTCATCTCTCATCCTTTACAAAAACAAACTCAAGATTAATCAAAAACTTAAATCTAAGACCTGAAATCATAAAATTTCTAGAAGATAACATTGGAAAAAACCCATCCAGGCATAAACCTAGGCAAAGACTTCATGACCAAGAACCCAAAAGCAAATGCAACAAAACAAAGATAAATAGATGGGACTTATTTTGCTTCTGTACAGCAAAAGAAATAATCAGCAGAGTAAACAGACAACTCACAGAATAGGAGAAAATCTTCACAATCTATACATCCAAACAAAGGACAAATATCCAGAATCTATAAGGAACTTAAATCAGCAAGAACAAAATAAACAATCCCATCAAAAAGTGGGCTAAGGACATGAATAGACAATTCTCAAAAGAAGATATACAAATTGCCAACAAACATTAAAAAATGCTTAACATCACTAATTATCAGGGAAATGCAAATCAAACCCACAATGCACTAGTACCTCACTCCTGCAAGAATAGCCATAATCAAAAAATCAAAAAATAATAAATGTTGGTGTGGATGTGGTGAAAAGGGAATACTTTTACACTGTTGGTAGAAATGTAAACTAGTACAACCACTATGGAAAACCGTACAGAGATTCCTTAAAGAACTAAAAGTAGATCTACCATTTGATCCAGCAATCCCACTACTGGGTATCTACCCAGAGGAAAGGAAGTCATAAAAAAAAAAAAAAGATTCTTGCACATGCATGTTTATAGCAGCACAATGCACAATTGCAAAAATATGGAACAAGCCCAAATGCCCATCAATCAATGAGTGAAAAAAAAAAAATATATATATATATAGTTGTATGTGTGTATATATATATTTGTCCCCCATGCTAATACTTTTCTCATCTCCCCTGGGCCCTGACATTCTACACCTGGCTTCCCTTCTGCATGGATACCCTCCTTACCCTGCTCACTCTCTGATTCTCCTTGTTGGATTGACCCCCCACCCCCACCCCCATGGATACCCTCCTGTCTCATTCAGGTTACTCTATCCCACTAGACCACGTCTCCAAGTGGGTGCCATCTTCCCCTTTTTGGGCTCTGACTCTCTGTATATATATACACACACACACACACACACCGTGGAATACTACTCAGCCATAAAAAGGAATGAAATAAAGGCATTCAGAGCGCCCTAGATGGAATTGGAGACCATTATTCTAAAGTAACTTAGGAATGGAAAACCAAACATCATATGTTCTCACTCATAAGTGGGAGCTAAGCTATGAGGATGCAAAGACATAAGAATGATACTATGAACTTTGGGAACTCAGTGGGGAAAGGGAGGGAGGGGGTGAGGGATAAAAAGACTACATATTGGGTACAGTGTACATTCCTCGTGTGATGGGTATATCAAAATCTCAGAAATCATCACTAAAGAACTTATTCATGCAACCAAACACCACCTATTCCCCAAAAACCTTTTGAAATAAACAAAAAACCTAAAAAAAAAAAAGTTGCAGCAGAGATGCAGCATTGATTACTAACAGAGGTATTGATTAAATCAGTTAATAAAAAATAATTTAATATATGAGTGTGTATATATACATGCATTTACATACACACACACACACACACACACACATACATACACACACACACATCCTAGCTTTGTCCACTTGAGAGGGTCTAAAAGCAATGATATCTCAATATCAATAAGCACACCAAGTGCCCAGATCTTGTCTTCTAAATCTTATTCTCTGCTAAAAAGAACAAAGGCTTTTTAGAGAAATGGCTGGTTCTAGGGCTTGGGAAGAGAAAATACAAGATGATCTGGAACCCAAGAGAATGGAAAACATGTCCACACAAAGACGTATACACAAATGTGGACAGTAGCATTATTCATAATAACCAAAAGTGTAAACCATCCAAACCTGCATCAAAAGGTGAATGGATAGACAAAATGTAGTATATCCACATGGAATTTTTTTTTTTTTTTTGAGATGGAGTTTTGCTCTTGTTGCCCAGACTGGAGTGCAATGGCGCGATCTTGGCTCACCACAACCTCCGCCTCCCAGATTCAAGAGATTCTCCTGCCTCAGCATCCAGAGTAGCTGGGATTACAGGCATGTGCCACCACACCCGGCTAGTTTTGTATTTTTAGTAGAGATGGGGTTTCTCCATGCCAGTCAGACTGGTCTCGAACTCCCGATCTCAGATGATCTGACCACCTTGGCCTCCCAAAGTGCTTGGATTACAGGCGTGAGCCACTGCACCTGGCCCATCCACATGGAATATTATTCAACCATTAAAAAAATGAAGTACAGACAGTCCCCATGTTACAATGGGTCGACTTACAATTTTTAACTTTATGATGTTGCAAAAGCAGTACGCATTCAGTATGCTCCTCAACATATGACAGACTTACCTCCAGATAAGCCCATTGTAAACTGAAAATATCAAAAACGCACTTTCAACTTACAATTTGCAAACTTACAATGGGTTTAACAGGACATAACCCCCTTATAAGTCTAGGAGCATCTGTACTGATTCATGATACTGCACAGATGAACCTTATAAACATTATTCTGGGTGAAGGAAGACAGACACAAAAGGTCACATTTTGTATGATTCTAGTTAAATGTAATGTCCAAAACAGGCAAGTCCATAGAGACAGAAAGTAAATTAGTAATGGCAAGGGGCTGGGAAGAAGAGGGAATGGGAACTGCTAATAGGTACAGGGTTATGTTTTGAGGTGATGAAAATGTTCTGGAATTAGCAGTGATGGTTGCACAACTTTGTGAATATATTAAAAAACTAGTGAATTGTACTTTAAAAGGTTGAATATTGTATGATATGATAATTACAAACCAGTTTATTTAATTACCAAAAAAAAAAAAGATAAACCCGGAATATCTCACACCAGAAAGCAAGACAGTGTTCAAAGAATGACAGAGATATGGCAAAAGAACATAGAAGCCACCCTGTACTAAGTTCTCACTGGCTAAACTGGGACAATTTGAATATCAAAATAGGTAATAATGGATTAGAATCTATTGAATAAAACAAGAAATCAGAGTCCAAACAGATATATAAAAATAGTGTGGTGATTTAAAATATGTCCAGGCTGTGCATGGTGGCTCACTCCTGTAACCCCAACACCTAGGTGGGAGGATCACTTGAGGCAAGAGTTTAAGACTGGCCTGGGTAACATAGCAAGACACCCTCTCTACAAAAATAATAAAATAAAAATAAAAATAAATAAATAAATAACATCTGTCCACAAATTCTTTGACAGTCCTTTCAAAACATGGAGCCTAATTCTCCCGTTCTTGAGCGCGGACTGGATTACTGGTTTGATTGTAATTAACAGAATACGGTAGAAATGACAATGTACAACTTTGAAGGCTGAGTCATACGGGACACTGTGGCTTCAGCCTTCTCTCAGTGCTTGCTCTGGGAAAAGTTAGCTGCCATGTTGTGAGAACATTAGGCAGCCCTATGGAGAAGTCCATAAGGCTAGGGCTGAGACCTCCTAACAACAGCCACAGAGAACTGCGATCTCCAGCCAAGCTGTGCGAGTAAGCCTTGTAGGGAAGCAGACTCTCCAGACTCCTATGTCCAACTGACTGAAACCACAGATAACAACTTGACTGCAACCACATAAAAAACTCTGAGCCAGAACTACCCACCTAAGCAGCTCCCAGATTTCCAGCCCTCAGAAACTGTGTGAAATAATGTTTGTTCTTTTAAGCCTAAGTATTGGGATAATTTGTTACACATCAATAAATAACATATATAGTTTCAAATATCTCCCCCAAAAATACCTAATTACAAAAGAAAAAACAATTAACTTATCAGTGGAGAAGCTTGGAGGATACCACATTAATCAAGTTATCAAACTGAACATCATCAATAACAAGTCAAGCTCAACTTATATGCCACCTCCTGACAGATGCAGAGCCTCAATCTAATCAGGAGTAAATACCAGACAATCCTAAACTGAGGAGTTTCTGCAAAATAACTGTCCTGTAATCTGCAAAATATCAGGATCATGAAAGTCAGAGACTAAAGAACTATTCTAGACTGAAGATGACTAATGAGATGTGACAGCTACATGCAACAGATGATTCTCAACTAGACATTATTGTAACAACTGGTAACATTTGAACTGGTCTTAGTATTAGATGATATTAACTTATCAATGTTGATTTTACCAATTTTGATGGTTGCGTTGTATACTTGTTTGTAGGAAATAGACTCTAAAGTATTAAGAGATGACAGGGCACCAAGTCGCCAGCTTACTACCAAATGGTTTGGGAAAAAAGTCTTCTGTATTGTACTTACTACTTTTCTGTTGGTTTGTAAAAATAAGCAAAGGAAAAATGAAAAAGGCCTACATGAAAACATCTCACCAACTGACTTTAATAGTGGGATTCCTTTAAGGCACCAAGTTGCAAATTATTGTCTTTCAAGTATATTAATATATTATTAGCAAAGGGCACACATAGAAGATAGGAAGTATAGTTACAAGATAAATCATTCTTTGAAAGCTTTGTATTATACTGATAATATGTTATCAAAGTTGTTTTTTTGGGTGGGAGGTAAGTTTTTAATATTCAGGAAAGGAAACTTCTCTCGAACTAAAAAATATTAGTAGTAGGCCGGGCGCGGTGGCTCACGCCTGTAATCCCAGCACTTTGGGAGGCTGAGGCGGGCAGATCGTGAGGTCAGGAGATCGAGACCATCCTGGCTAACAACGGTGAAACCCCGTCTCTACTAAAAATAAAAAAAATTAGCCGGATGTAGTGGCACAAGCCTGTAGTCCCAGCTACTCGGGAGGCTGAGGCAGGAGAATTGCTTGAACCCAGGAGGCGGAGGTTGCAGTGAGCCGAGATCGCACCACTGCACTCCGGCCTGGGCGACAGAGCGAGACTCCATCTAAAAAAAAAAAAAAAAAAAGGTAGCGTGCTCCAAATTAACTGCAGTATAGGATTACTGAAATGAAGGTCTGTAAGGAAATCACTGGGTTTTTTTTTTTTAGTACCACATTTATATTCCCATTCTGGCGTATCATGCCTTTATGCTAAGCTCCCACCACCAAAACAGCCATGCCTTGGGAAAATAATTAGAAATTCACTTTTTTTTTTTTTTTTTTTTTTTTGAGATGGAGTCTCACTCTGTCACCCAGGCTGGAGTGCAGTGGCACGATCTCAGCTCACTGCAAGCTCCACCTCCCGGGTTCACACCATTCTCTTGCCTCAGCCTCCCAAGTAGCTGGGACCACAGGTGCCCGCCACCACGCCCGGCTAATTTTTTTTTTTTTTGTATTTTTAGTAGAGACGGGGTTTCACCGTGTTAGCCAGGATGGTCTCGATCTCCTGACCTCGTGATCCACCTGCCTTGGCCTCCCAAAGTGCCGGGATTACAGGTGTGAGCCACCGTGCCCAGCCAGAAATTCACTTCTAAGAATTAAACAGTGGTTTCAACCTTTTGAGAAAGATATAGTATGTTATTATAATCTGAAACCTAAACCCAAAGGAAATCAACATGTGTCAGATAGCATCAGATACATTTTATGTGGTGACAGGCTTTCTCAATCTCTGAAACATAGAAACAGCTATAACTGTTGTCTACTCAGCCAATGCGGTAGAAAGCCAAAATAACTTGTTTCTCAAGTCACAATAGGGAACAGGGGAGAGAAGCAGGTGGCAGGAGGTGATAACTGATGTGTCTCTCATTGTACTAGGAACAAATAGCAAATATCATCAAGTAAAATGTCCCTGACTCTAAGGCAAGAAAATGTCTATTTCTTTCAACAGAAAACTGCCCTTCAATTCTAATCTCACCTCAAAAACAGAATGAGGAAACTATTTCTGTGATCAAGAAAGCTGAAACCAAAGGCGTGGTCCATGGAATAGACCTTGACCTAGTGAAAGGAGCGCCTACACTCAACTGTATCTCTGCTACTCAAATTCAAATGCCTTTCTAGGTCTCTTTACTTTGCTTTCAAGCTCAGTCTTGGTGTAAATCTATCACCTTCAATATAACTGGATAAATATGTAAACTTTCATTCACACTAATAAACGTGAAATGTAAGCTCTACAGAAACAAAAAGCACAGTCACAAATAAAGCATTAATCTAATCATTAGATATTAAATGCTTGATATAATACTATCACTGTGTGAGATTATTTTTCAAAATTTGGTTTTCTCATCTCTTGGAAAACAAGAATTTTTTTTTTTTTTTGAGATGGAGTCTCATTCTGTTGCCCAGGCTGGAGTGCAGTGGCACGATCTCAGCTCACTGCAACCTCCGTCTCCTGGGTTCAAGCAATTCTCCTGCCTCAGCCTCCTGAGTAGCTGAGATTACAGGCGGCCCGCCACCATGCCCAGCTAGTTTTTGTATTTTTAGTAGAGACGGGGTTTCACCATGTTGGTCAGGCTGGTCTCAAAATCCTGACCTCATGATCCGCCCGCCTCGGCCTCCCAAAGTGCTGGGATTACAGGCGTGAGCCACTGCATCTGGCGGGAAACAAGAATTTAAAAACAACAAACTTACTTGCCCCACTCTTAAAACAATATTATGTAATTCATATCCAGGAGACAAGACATGTGCTAATCAAAGGTGTTAGTGATGGGGGTAATTAACTAAGGGTTGAGCATCCCTAATGTGAAAATCTACATTACAAAATGTTCCCAAATCCAAAAGGTTTTGAGCATTGACATGATGCCACAAGTGGAAAATTCTACTTATGACCTCAAGGTAAGTCAAAGTCAAAATGCAATCAAAATTTAGTTGCATGCACAAAATCATTAAAAATATTTTTTTAAATTACGTTCAGGCTATGTGTATAAGGTGTATATGAAGCATAAGTGACCCTTGTGTTTAAACTTGGGCCCATCCCCAAGATATCTCATTATGTATATGCAAAAATCCCCAAATGCAAAAAAGTCCAAAATCCAAAACACTTCTGATTCTGACCATTTCAGATATGGGATATGCAAGATTACCACAAAAGCTAAGATAATCAGTAACAAACAATAAAGCGTAAGACTCATACCCAGAAGTTCAAAAGAAAAAATGTCCAATAATTGAACTCTATATTAATTTATGCCAATTCTGCAAATTATTCCTTAATGAGTCAAGTATCAAAACGAGAAATGTACACATTCTTCTTAGTATATTTTGCCTGTAATATTTATTCATTTTGGGGACACTCCCTCTTTTCATCCTAATAATGCCATAACATGTACTTTTTAAGAAAATTAATTTGTTTTAAAAGTCACATTTATAATTTATATGCAGTAAAATTTACCCTTACCAAAGATCTAGAATAGTTCCATCACCTCACGAAATGCCCGCAGCCCTTATGTAGTAGATTTCCTCCCCCAGCCCCAGGTAACCACTGATCTGATTTCTGTCCCTATAGTTTTATCTTTTCCAGAACATCATATAAATGGAATCATTCAGTATCTTTAAATTATCTGGAAACTTTCACTTAGCATAATGCTTTTGGAAGTCTTTCACATTGTTGCATGTATCAACTGTTCCTTCTTTTTTTTAACTGCTGAATAGTATTCCATGTGCATTCATGTATTACATTTTGTTTGTCCATTTACCAGTTGATGGATACTTCGGTTGTGTATAGTTTTATACTGTTATGAATAAAGCTACTATATAGACATTTGCATACAGGTCTTCATGTAGACACATTTTCATTTTTATTGAATAAATACCTAGAAATAGGATGACTGTACTGTGCTAGAGCAACATATAAAACTAACCAATCTTTTTTTTTTTTAAACTAACCAATCTTTTGAAGCAGTATTCCATGTAGTTTACAAGTCATAAAAAACAAACAAAAAGGTCAGCCAGGCGCAGTGGCTCACACCTGTAATCCCAGCACTCTGGGAGGGCAAGGCAGGTGGATCACTTGAGGTCAGGAGTTCGAGACCAGCCTGGACAACATGGTGAAACCCCATCTCTACTAAAAATACAAAAATGTAGCCAGACATGGTGGTGTGCACCTGTAGTCCCAGCTACTTGGGTGGCTGAGGCAGGAGAATCGCTTGAACCTGGGAGGTGGAGGCTGCTGTGAGCCAAGACTGCAGCAGTGCACTCCAGCCTAGGCAATAGAGTGAGACTCTGTCTCAAAAATAAAAGAAAAAAGATCCCACCAAAAAAATCCATTTTAAGTCTTTCATGACTTTTTGAGCATTTCGTAACTGCTCATTTATAGCAGTGGTTTTTCAAGCTGGCCTATACATCAGAACTACCTGGGGAACTAGAACTTGGGTACCAATCCAAAGATTTAGCTGCTCTGGGTAAAGGCACAAACATTACTTTTTATTTTTCCTCTATTTCTTTTCTAAGTGCTAACAGTATCTCTTTTTTGTTTTTTCATTTTCCATGTTGACATTTTTCAAACATACAGAAAAGTAAAAACAACAGTGTGAGAAACATCATATACATATCACTCAGATTTAATGATTAATATTTGCCATTTTTCACGTCATCTATTTTTTCTTACTGAAGTATTTTAAAATAGAACACAAACATCATGACATTTCACTCCCAAATAAAATGCATCTCTTTTTTAAAAAAGCATGTTTTCTAACATTATTACAATATAATTCTCACACTAAACCAAACAAAAATATTTTTACATATAATACATATTCTATATTTAAATTTCCCTAATTGTCAAAGCTTATAACATGTACCCAGGGATGAACCATTGATTTATAACATGTAAAACATAACTATTTTCTTCCAATTTTTTCCACATCCTATATAATATTCATTTTTTAAATAAATTAACACCACCACCACAAAGCAAAAGGAAGTCAGTTAATAAAATTTTTTATTCTTTACCTGAAAATATCCACCTCATGAACAGTAGGTAAAATAACAGATATATTTGTGTCCACCTGAGAGATAGAAAAGAAAAATAAAAGAAGGTATCACCAAAATTTATGGAAAATTTTAAAATATATCTATCTCATGATCAATAAGCCATGCTGCCCTGTCTAACTTTTAAGATTCTCTTCCTTTAGGAACAGCCAGAGAGGGAATGGGTCTTACCAATATTCCCTAATATAGCAGAAAATCAAAAATAATGCAGATAACATGGATAAAGAATTAATCCCGGCCAGGCATGACAGCTCATGCCTGTAATCCCAGCACTTTGGTAGGACAAGGCGGGCGGATCACAAGGTCAGGATATCGAGACCATCCTGGCTAACACGGTGAAATCCCATCTCTACTAAAAATACAAAAAATTAGCCAGGCATGGGGGCAGGCGCCTGTAGTCCCAGCTACTCGGGAGGCTGAGGCAGGAGAATGGCGTGAACCCGGGAGGTGAAGCTTGCAGTGAGCCGAGATTGCACCACTGCACTGCAGCCTAGGTGACAGAGCGAGACTCCATCTCAAAAAAAAAAAAAGAATTAATCCCAAGCTCATGCCTGTAATCCTAGCACTTTGGGAATCCAGGAAGGAGGATCACTTGATGCCAGGAGTTCGAGACCAGCCTGGGTAACAGAGTGAAATCCCATCCCTACAAAAAATATTAAAAATTAGCCAGGCATGGTGGCATGCACCGTAGTCCTAGCTACTTAGGAGGCTGAGGTGGGAGAATCACTTCAGCCCAGGAATTGGAGGCTGCATGAACTACGATTGTGCCACCGTACTCCAGCCTGGGAGACAGAGGGAGACCCTGTCCTTGTTTAAGAAAAAATTAATCCAATAGTAAATCAGATTAATTTGCAACTGTATGAAATACTCCCATTAATACTGGTTGATATGTAACAGAAATACTAGTTTTCCTACTGCTATCTGTTTTTTATTCAATTCAAAGAACAAAGTACAACAAAAAAATGTACACCAGTTAAAACATTTCAAATGAAAACTTCAACCCCACCCATGAACAGATGGTGCTTTTGGAAAAATAAAGGGCAATTGTAACTACAGAATCCTTTTAACTGAGTTTTCTAAAATCAGAAGTCTGCTGGTCACTCTCCTAAGAGGTTCTGCCAGAATCAAAGCTTATTGAAAAAAATTCACTTTCCCCTTTTCCTCACAATTAAAATATAAATTCTGAGTTCTCCAGTCTCTACTGGAGAAATAACAAGAAAAAAGACCCTAAGAAACATTAGAAAATATATTACCAATTCATTAAAAATTATTTAATGGGACATTTCAGTAATATTCAGAAATATGTAATAAACTCAAGAAACTCTGCATTTGCTAGTTTAAAAATTCTGTTAAAGAGACTATATATGTGCTGGATCATTCTACCATAGTACCACACTACCTGCTGAGTTAACTGCACTATTTGAGTTGTCCCAGGCTTGTCATGACATGTGGGAATCCGTACCTAAAAGAAAGACAGGAAATTATTTTTGGTTATAAAAGAATGGAGGATGAGAAGTGCTGTATCCTGCTGCTAAAAAGGTATGGTCAGTAATGCCAAAAAAGCTACAAAAACAAAATTATCTATGTCAGAGTTAAAAACTAAGGTCATATTTATTTTTAGTCACAGCAGAAAGTAAGTAAATCAAGGTCTCCATACCCACACACACACAGTAATCACTAACTCCCTGAGAAGCAAGTATGTTGAAAAACAAAATGGACATCAGCTTCATACTGCTTCCTGTTTATTGTTCAAATCTTTGCTTCATTAATATACACACACCCAAACACACCCTCTCAAGCTTGCCAAATTTTTGGATAAATCTCACAGGAAACAATGAGAACACTCAATCCAGAACTATCAGTATTACTTTTGATGATTTCCCAAGGAAAAACACAATACAGATCCTACAAAAATGGCCAAATGCAGAGAGAGAACATTGTCAAAAATAAGTCCTACTCGACAGTGACTTGCAAAGCACTTAGGGTACAACCTATACAAAGTCTGAGAGCAAAATGCTAATTCATTTAAAAGAAAAATCTAACAGAGAACAAAACCCTGGGATGAACATGTGTGGTCTGACATCACGTGTTAAGAACATCACTTAGGACTAAGAACCAATGGCTTTCCCAATTTCTCTTAATTTTTATTAATTCATACTCAATTCTACCAAGTAATCTGTTTCTGCATATCACTCATCTCTGGAGGCACTGGCAGGGCCATGGAATTGCAGAACTCCAGGAGGTAGCATTTACATATACATGTATTACATACAAATGACACTCTTCTGCAAACTCTACAGGATGCCATGAGATCAGAGGTGCCTGAAGTTGTGTGACTAATGGTTCTAGGAAGCAAAATGTATTGCAATATCTCTATAATGCCTCACATCAATGACAAACAAGGGAAAGCAATAACATGATTAATATTAATAGAAGGTTAAAAAAGCAAAGCCCATGTGTGAGCTTCCTACAAAGTTCTTTTTTTTTTTTTTTGAGACAGGGTCTCGCTTTTGTCCTGCAGGCTGGAATGCAGTGATGCAAACCTGGCTCACTGCAGTCTCAACTTCCCAGGCTCAAGCAATATCCCAAGTACCTAGGACTACAGGTGTGCACCACCATGCCCCGTTAATTTTTTTATTTTTTGTAGAGACAAGGTTTCACCATGTTGCCCAGGGTGGTCTTCAACACTTGGGCTCAAGGGATCCACCCGCCTCGGCCTCCCAAAGTGCTCACAGGTGTGATCACAGGTGTGAGCCACCACGCCTGTCCAAAAGTTCTTTAAAAAGATCACAATTAGCCTAGGAAACATGGCAAGATTCTGTCTACAAAAAGTTTAAAAATTAGCCAGGTGTGTTGGTGCATGCCTGTGGTCCTGGCTACTTGTGGGGCTGAAGTGGGAGGATTGCTTGAGCCCGGAAAGTTGAGGCTGCAGTGAGCTGTGATCATGCCACTGTACTCCAGCCTGGGTGACAGCACAAGACCCTGTCTCAAAAAAATAAAAATAAAAATAAAAAGGAGACAATTGAGATATAAGATATTACCTTCATTACCACCCCCATGATTGGCAGGTGTAATGTTTTCCCTGGCACTGGGGCAGGCCATCGATCAACATCATTACAAGCTGAAAAATATAATAAAATATTTTCTTAGAATAAGTGAAAATATCAAAGTATTAAAAATGAGGCATTAGAAATAAGAACACTACTTTCCATACAGCAGAAAAAATATACCTGGAAGAATGAGAGATAAAAGGCAAAAGAAAAGTCAAAGTGATGAAAACATTTTATATTTCACTCAGAAATACACATGTTCTAGGATATAAATTGGTTAATTTATATCCTAAGTATTAAAGGGAGTTTTTGTATTCATTTATTACTACTAATTAGCTACAAAAGCACATCAACTGGCAAAGGCCTTCCATCTGTAGCAAGTGACATAAGGATTTTTCAATAGTACTCTGAGTATTAGAACTGTCAACTCGATATTCATTTATTATTATTCTAATAATAACAGGCATCATCAAAGTAGTTAAAGGAGATAACAAAAGACAGTTTTGGATATCTGCAGGTACAGATGCCAGAAAAATAGTTTTATACCTTTCTCCTATCATATATTCCTTAAGTTCCTACCTGAATTTTTATAAATTGTTATAAATCAACTTCATTTTTATCACTTATTTCCAGTAAAAATTTTAAAACTCCTGCATAAAGGTATATGTTAAACTTACCTGCTTCCAAATAAGGTTCATTCTTTTCAAAATACTCTGGTGCTATCTGTTTGAGCACAGTGTGAAAAAAATGAATATAAGGTAGTTTGCTGATCAAAACCAAGGACTGAGGAAAAAACAAAAACAATGTTTTAAAAATTGCTTTGTCATTCATTTCTTGCATAATCAATTACTAACAAGCTAAATTCAGCAAAAAGTGTGGATTTTAAAATAAAAAGGCTTTTACAGTGGATAGTTAAAAGGAAACAAAACCATAGCTGCAGAACACAAAAAGTTTAACCTTATTGCTACACTTTAAGAGCATAATGGCATGTAACAGATTTTCCTGCTCTTCAAAAAAAGAATTTCCTATCAACAAACTAATGTCATGAGTAACTTCAAAAGTCTAGCTCCTGTTATCCTTACAATAGCAATATCAGGAATTAGCCATATGAACTTTCCCTATTAAAGAAAGAGTAAATTTTGATACTTTTCCAAAAGACTTATGAGTTATATTTTACAGTTCAACTGTCATAGCCACATAGTTGGAAATTGTAACCTTATGGTTTGATCATTTCAGATACAAATTATCCCAATTTTTAAACATTTTTTTTTTTTCTTAAAAACCACTTTTTATCTTTCTAACACCAATTAGCAGTCAGGGCAAATTCTGAGTACAAAAGGGAAAGGTATGTCTTGCTAGCTGGGATTAAATAGGAAAGATTATTTTCTTTATTTTTGTTTCTTTCTTTTCTTTTTTCTTTTTTTTTTTTTTTTTTTTTTTGAGACAAGGTCTCACTCTGTCACCCAGGCTGCAGTGCAATGGTGTGATCATGGCTCACTGCTGCCTCAACCTCATGGGCTCAGGTGATCCTCCGACCTCAGCCTCCTGAGTAGCTGGGACTACAGGTGTATGCCATCAAGTCTGGCTATTTTTTGGGGGTCAGGGTGGATTTTTGGTAGAGATAGCGTTTTGCCATGTTGCCCAGGCTGGTCTCAAACTCCTAGACTTAAGCAATCTGCCCACCTTGTCCTCCCGAAGTGTTGGGATTACAAGTGTAAGCCACTGTGACCTACCTGATTCTTTTTAAGAAACAAAAAGAATTGTACATTTGGAATAGAAACAATAATGGCTAAGATGTTGCTAAAGTTTATTTACTGGCTCTTAAAAAAAATATAATAGTTCAGGCGTTTATTAGTTGCAACAATATTACAATCTGTTTATTCCTTCCCTTATTCTAAAATGTAAAACTTAAGTGGACTCCTCTGGCTTTTGACAGAATCCTGTGCAATAACTGTAACTTACTGTCAGGAATCTAGCACAGAGAGCAAAAATTCAATAGAGGTTAAACATATAGAGACAGGTGTCTATAATATAATAATAATAAAAAAAAGATAAAATATAAACCCAAGGCCAGGCACGGTGGCTCATGCCTGTAATCCCAGCACTTTGGGAAGTCGAGGTGGGTGGATCACCTGAAGTCAGGAGTTCGAGACCAGCCTGGCCAACATGGTGAGACCCCGTCTCTATTAAAAATACAAAAATTAGCTGGGCATGGTAGTGCACACCTGTAATGCCAGCTACTTGTGAGGTGCCTGTAATCCCAGCTACTCGGGAATACAGTACCTGTACTCCCAGCTACTTGAACCTGGGAGGCAGAAGTTGCAGTGAGCCGAGATCACACCACTGAACTCCAGCCTGGGCGACAAGAGCAAAACTCCATATCAAAAAAAAAAAAAAAAAAAAAAATCTATATATAAGCCAGGTGCAGTAGCTCACACCTGTAATTCCAGCACTCTGGGAAGCTGAGGCATGTGGATCACAAGGTCAAGAGTTCAAGACCAGCCTGGCCAAGATGGTGAAACTCCGTCTCTACTAAAAATACAAAAAATTAGCCAGGCGTCGGGCGGGCACCTGTAATCCCAGCTACTTGGGAGACGGAGGCACAGAATTGCTTGAACCCAGGAGGCAGAGGTTGCAGTCAGCCGAGATCGTGCCTCTGCACTCCAGCCTGGGTGACAGAGCGAGACTCCACCTCAAAAAAAAAAAAAAAAAAAAAAAAATATATATATACACACACACACACACATATATATAGCATGTTTAAAGATAAAATACCAAAGACTTTAAAGACTCTTAAATCTAACACTTTCTATTTTTCTAATCACAAAATAAAAAATACTTTTTTTATTAGTGTGTATGACAATTACCTTCTGAAAGTAGCCTCTTTTTAGAGTTTTATCTCGAACTTGTCGGAAATACACATATCCATAAAAATAAGCAGGATCCTTCTAAGAAGAAAGTGACAAGTAAGTGTGTGTGGGGGGGTACATATATATGTATCTATATCTATATCCATATCTATATCTTTTAATATTAACATCAGGCTCCTTTATAAACCCAAATCAAGACATGAGATATACACGAAGAGCTAGTTACGCTTTTCCAGCAACAAACAATAATCATGACAGCAACAGCCAGATCAGAACCTTCTAACTCTTGACATGGTCCATATGATGTGTGTAAAAGCTTAAAATTAAAACAAAAAAACCCTCCTAACTTGCCCAAAGATGGCAAAGTACTAATTACAATCTAAGTACTAAAGTCAAATTTTCCCCCTATAACTTACTCAGCTTACATTCTTTATTCGTATCTATACTAGGTGACTGAAGTTAAAAAAAAATCAAATTCTGTTTTCTCCAATGTTTTATTTAGTTTCTACAAAATTCTACCTACAATTTTGAGATTGTCAAGGATAAGGGATCAATCTTAAAACAAAATGAGGTATCCTAACATACAATTTCAAGAGAGAAAATAAAAGGAGTTAAATGACAATGTGAATCTTATATAGTCAGTTACACGTTAACCCAATAATAATGAAGCATAACAATGTTTATCAACATACAATCTGAAAGGTAATTGCATTCCAAAAATTTAAGAAGCATTTACATCTTAATGGAGTAAACTTTGGCTCAGTTCCTTATTTGATTATTATTCCTTAAACAAATATATATTGACCACCTACTTTGAACAGGGTGATGTGTTAGAGAAGATAAAAAGATGCATAAGACACAGTTCTTCCTCAAGGATATCATGATTTAGGAGGGATAAGAAAGGAGAAAAATGAGGCCAGGTGCAGTGGCTCATGCCTGTAATCCCAGCAGTTTGGGAGGCCAAGGTGGGCGGATCATGAGGTCAGGAGATCAAGACCATCCTGGCCAACATGGTGAATCCCTGTCTCTACTAAAAATACAAAAATTAGCTGGGTGTGGTGGCACGTGCCTGTAATCCCAACTACTCAGGAGGCTGAGGCAGGAGAATCGCTTGAACCCAGGAGGCAGAGGTTGCAGTGAGCTGAGATCACGCCACTGCACTCCAGCCTGGTGACAGAGCAAGACTCCATCTCAGAAAAAAGAAGTAGAAAAATGAATATTATTGTAATAGGAGGATGGGTACCATGAAAAAACACAAAGTGTTACAGGAAAGCCAAGGGGAAAAAGTAAAGATTTCATGGAGGCAGCTGTTTTTGAATTGGGAATTGAAGGATGAATATGACTTAAACAAAGACAAAGGCATTCCAAGTTGAAAGGGCTAGGAGTTTCAGTAAAAACACAAAAGACAGAAAAATACATGCTATCTCAGGAAAAAGCACATAGTTCAGTTTGATTAAAATACGGCACATATATGGCACACATAGAAAGGAGATGAGGGTGAAACTTTGATGATGAAGTTCTTATTTTGGAAGGTCCAAAAAGTGAGGACAAGGAAGTAGTACTATACCTCTTTACTCGTTAAACAATTTGTAGTCATTTTAGATTTTACTTATATAATATATATGTACACTTTAGCTGGCAACACTGTATAAGGTATATTGTGCTGGAATAAAACAAGAGGTGGGATGACCTTGGGTAAGTTTCTTATGCTCAATAGCCCTCAATTCCCTCATCTACAAAAGGATCTCTCTTGGAGCACTGTAGGGAGGATTAATTAGATGATATATGCTTATTAATACAGTATCTAGAACATACAAAGCCCTAACAAATAACAGCTATTATTATCATTGGTTGGAAGAATATATTAGTAGTGACAGCAAGGAGGAGATGGCTCTAAGAGACATTTCACAGGTAGTATCTCTGCCATTAGTGGAACCAGGGAGGTAAACTGTAAAAACTGTTATCAGGCAAATTATGTCAAAGTCACACTGGATGTGCTGATAGGGCATCCAGATGAAAACGTTCCTCATGTACTTAAAAAAAAATCTAGGCTGTAAGGTCATCTGAATTATTAAAATGTTTTAAATAAATAATAACTAAAACAAGGCTCATTCAAAAATCAAAAAGAGACAACTATGTTATCAAGTATGACTACCTCAACTCTAGATGATAGTTACTGTACAGTACAACTCCACTCCCACATCTAATTCAAGAATTTATTAACAAATGAAAGAAAATTACCTCAACATTCTAATCCATTTTTATAAATCACAGTGACATTATGTTTCAAACATAGTAACTGTATAAAGTCCCTTTCATTCAGATGCTGAATCCTTATGAATAAGACTCACTTTGGAAATTCAGCTATATAATATAGTAGCAAAACAAAAGCAAAATATTTCTGAATGGTGTCAGCGGTAACTGAATAAATGAGTTCTAAAGTTTCCTCTCACATGGACATTTTCCTATGACTACTTTTCCAACCTTTAAGTAAACTGGTAAATCTTTGTCAAATTGATCCAGGAGACAATGCAGCGACACCCTCCTCCCAGAAGACTGTCGAAATCTAAAACAAAACTGGGTATCTCCAAGACAACCTAATGAAAATAAAAATGAAATAAATTAAGGATAGCTTAGTATAACATTTATCCAGTTTCATCAATTTTAGAGCTGAAAAAAATCCTATCAATCATTTTAACCCATTCTGTCATGTTTTGGAGGAAAAAAAGAAAATCCTAAGAGTTCCAGTGACTTGCTCAAAGCCATCCTTGCTGGTTAGAGGCAAAGCCAGAAGTAAAACATGCATCTTAACTCCTAAGTCTCTTTACTATTTTTCCTATTCCATATCCCTCATGTAATTAAACATTTTTGGAATATATCTGCATATAATGTTGACTCACAAACATAATAATGAGCAAAAGATGCCAAACACAAAATAACACATATTGTTCAAATCCACTTTTATAAAATGTTTTGAAAGCAGGAAAAACTAAACTGTCGTGCTTAGGGATGCATGGCTGGGTGATAAAAGTATAAAAAAAAGAAAAGTATTGTTATAAGAAAGGATAGTGGTTACATTTGGAGGAAAGATTCACCTCAATTTCCTTGTCAACAAAATCAAGGAGTACTATTAGATAATCTCTAAAGTCACTTCCAGCAGTAACACTCAAAGACACTAAAATAAAATTCCCCAA
This sequence comes from Homo sapiens, assembly GCF_000001405.40. Classification (NCBI taxonomy): domain Eukaryota; kingdom Metazoa; phylum Chordata; class Mammalia; order Primates; family Hominidae; genus Homo; species Homo sapiens. The sequence continues at coordinate 57,666,833 of NC_000003.12, forward strand.
TTTGACCTATGACTGTACTGAATTCCAAGCATCTTACCCAATACGATCACTAAGAAAACTAAAGATCTACAAGATCCAAAAAGATATAAAAGTTATGCTATGAGCACCATAGCTTTCTGATGATTCACTGAAAAATAGAAAAATTTTAATGGAAATTGACTTTTTCTTTTACAAACGTAGTTATAAGAATTAACTTACATAATTTTATTTTTTTGAGACAGAGTCTCGCTCTGTTGCCCAGGCTGGAGTGCAGTGGCGGGATCTAGGCTCACTGCAACCTTCACTGCTCGGGTTCAAGAGATTATCCTGCCTCAGCCTCCTGAGTAGCTGGGATTACAGGTGCGTGCCACCACGCCTGGCCAATTTTTTGTATTTTTAGTAGAGATGGGGTTTCACCATGTTGGCCAGGTTGGTCTCACACTCCTGATCTCAGGTGATCTGCCTCCCAAAGTGCTAGGATTACAGGCGTAAGCCACTGTGCCTGGCCTTTTTAAAAAAAATTTCACTAGAGATGGGGTCTTGCTATGTTGCCCAGGCTGGTCTTGAACTCCTGGGCTCAAGTGATCCTCCCACGTCAGCCTCCCAAAGTGCTGGGATTACAGGCGAGAGCCACCACACCTGGCCTTAAAATGTTATTTTTATATTTGTACAAACATAGCTACAGAGTGGATCAAAATGCCTAAGACTAAGACAAAACGTGAAGCTTCAAGAGCCAGCCCCCTCCCTTGACCCTCAGCTTATATAGTCACTCTCTCTGTGATTAGGGTGGTTAAGCTAGGTTGCTGAGAAACAGTATTTTAGACCAGAGCTTCTCACAATTTATTCCATAGACTGACGCCAGTCCATAAACTCTTGTTACTGTTCCATAACCAAATAAATATGCAAGTTGAGAATATATATTTAGAAACTTTCATAGCAACTTGATATTGCTGTAATAAATTTGGACTTTTAGACCAGACACAGTGGCTCACGCCCGTAATCCCAGCACTTCAGAAGGCCAAGGCAGGTGGATCTCCTGAGGTCAGGAGTTTGAGACCAGCCTGGCCAACACGGTGAAACCCCATCTCTACTAAAAATATAAAAATTAGCCGGATGCGGTGGCAGGCACCTGTAATCCCAGCTACTCAGGAGGCTGAGGCAGGAGAATTTCTTGAACACAGTAGGCAGAGGTTGCAGTGAGCCGAGATCACACCACTACCTCCAGCCTGGGCAACAGAGCAAGACCCTATCTCAAAAAAAAAAATTAGACTTTTATTTTACATTTCTTTTTTTTCCTCATTTCATTTTATTTTTCTAACAATTCAATTAAATTGTTTTTCAAAAATATTGGTCCATAACTGACTGGAAATATTAAAAACCCCAACTGGCCCTTCAACACGGTATGAGAAGTGCTGCTTTAGCAACTGGGAAGTGTAAAGCACATGATGATGTCCCTGCTGTCTACAAAGAAGAAATGTGTTGAGACGAATATTGTCTGCATGTCAAGTCCATCCAGAACAAGGAGGATTAATGTTTCCCTCAGATTCATCATTGCTTCAAACTCTCTCTACTAATGCTGAGTTTTTTTCTCTGGACATGTTTAAAATACAGTGACTTCTGTCCTTGGGCACTCATCACAGCTTAAGCCTCAGGAACACCTACATCCAGATGATGTTAATGGTAAATGATAAGGAAAAAAACACTGGACAAATATTTATCAGAGGGAAGGCCCTCTTTAAACTTAGGCTCCTAAAGATAAAAGCCATTCAAATGAAACAAAAAACTGAAACCTAAAAAACCAACCAAACAAAGCTTTTTTAAAGTCAGGAGAATCTAAGGTGGCGGAGGGGCGGGGAAGGGCAAACGATTCCAATCTCAAAAGCATTTTTATCTGTGTCATTTTTTCATCCAGTCTAACATGCTGTTTAAGTGGGTATACAATGGAAATAAAGGCTTGATTTATGTCTCTTTCCTAAAGACTGCTCTACTGTGTCTGGACTTTCTTCTACAGCAATTAAAGGTTATCCTGGGAAATAACAAATTCATTTCAAAGTTGGTACAGTAATCCTTTTTTTTCTTGAGATGGAGTCTCACTCCGTCGCCCAGCCTGGAGTGCAGTGGCACAATCTCGGCTCACTGCAACCTCAGCATCCCTGATTCAAGAGATTCTCCTGCCTCAGCCTCCTGAGTAGCTGGGACTACGGGCACACACCACCACGCCCAGCTAATTTTGTATATTCAGTAGAGATGGGGTTTCACCATGTTGGCCAGGCTGGTCTCGAATTCCTGATCTCAAGTTATCTGTCCGCCTCAGCCTCCCAAAGTCCTGAGATTACAGGTGTGAGCAACTGCACCCGGCCTCCAATTTTCATTTAATAAACACATAAAAAAACCAAACTGTATGGATAACTACAACTGAAAATAGCAATTTCAAATATTTACAAAACATATAGTCTCTTGCTACCTAGGACAATGATGATCTGTTAAGACAGCAAAGTGCCTGCTTTCAGGTCTTTTGTAGATTTTCCTTGTACCAACCATACTTCAAGTCACAAGAACCACACTTCATTTGATGTGCAGCACATAAAAAAAGCATTAAATAATATCTATGAGAAAAAAATCAGTCAGGCGTGGTAGCTCACACCTCTAATCTCAGCACTTTGGGAGGCGGAGGTGAGCGGATCACAAGGTCAGGAGATCAAGACCATCCTGGCTAACACAGTGAAACCCCATCTCTACTAAAAATGCAAAAAATTAGCCAGGCGTGGTGGTGGGCACCTGTAGTCCCAGCTACTCGGGAGGCTGAGGCAGGAGAATGGCGTGAACCCGGGAGGCAGAGCTTGCAGTGAGTGGAGATCGCGCCACTGCGCTCCAGCCTGGGCAACAGAGCGAGACTCCATCTCAAAAAAAAAGAAAAGAAAAAAAATCAGCCGGGTGCAGTGGTTCACACCTGTAATCCCAGCACTTTGGAAGCCTGAGGCAGGCGAATCACTTGAGGTCGGGAGTTCATGACCAGCCTGGCCAACACAGTGAAACCCCATCTCTACTAAACATACAAAAATTAGCCAGGCATGGTGGCAGGCAAAGGTGTCCCAGCTACTTGGGAGGCTGAGGCAGGAGAATCACTTGAACTGGGAGGCGGAGGTTGCAGTGAGCTGCGATCGTGCCACTGCACTCCAGCCTGGGTGACAGAGCAAAACTCCATCTCAAAAAAAAAAAAAAAAAAGAAAAAAGAAAAAAAAAATCTGTAGGTCATTCATAAGCCAAAAGTACTTAAAAATTTTTTTGATAATGACACATGCAGAGGCTATAAAACTAGATATAGGCTATCTAAACACCACAGAATTAACTTCTTAGCCTTGATGTATGCATGCGGGGGACTTTTCCTCTACCATCTTAGGTTCACTAACTGGGGCCTGTGAAATAAACAGACAACAGATTAACGAGAAAAGATTTAGTTCGAATGCATACAAAGGCTTCAGAGAAAAAAAGTAAAAACCCAAAGAGGTGGTTAAACTTGGGAGCTTAGATACCATTTTAACAAAAGAAACTAAAATGCAGACAAAGGAAAAAGGATTTGGACTTCTAGGGGTGGTAATCTGTGGGAAGGTAAACATATGGGTAAAACTAATGAAAGATAAGGGTTATTTTAGCAAGGCTTATTTATGCAGAATTAAGCTGGTACCATCTCCAGTGATAAAGAGTTTTCTCTGGTGATTCAGAATTTTCTCCTCTTCCTGGTATGGGAAAGGGAAGGGGTGACACCTTCACAAAAGGAAATGTATGTCCTGCTTTTAGGCATATAGGGGGAGGGTAAAGGGCTCTTTTTGCATCTGCTGTTTCTCAGTTGCCTTCAACTCAAAATAATTCTTAAGCCAAAGTGGTATATTTGGGGGTGGTATATTCTGATCCCCTTCATGCTCATATAGAGAAGTGAAAAAGAGAGAGGAGCCATGACAACCAGCTATGATCTGAAAGAGAAGAGCATCCAGCATAATTCACTGGGATTCCATGCAGAAAGTCAGTTCATTCTGCAATCCATACAACTCAGCTTACTCTGAGACCTGGAAATCTAACCCATCACAGTATATAAGAAGTGTATGTACAGATTTTATAAGAAAAATGTTAACTGAAATGAAGATACATTCCTACAAGACCTCTGCATCATTATTTCATAAATGGGTCAAAAACACCAAAATAATTCCAGGTCAGAAAAAACCCCTTACTGGGATCTCTAAAAGGCAGTATCTAATTTACCAAGATACCACTTTTCTTTCATATAGTTCACCAAAGCTGAGTTCCAAATGGATAGGAAAAAAATTCTGGAAGCATTTATACAGAAAGGAGAAAATGCTAAAAAAAATTTTGTTTAACTGTCAAATCTCTCAAATCAGATTAAATGAACTAACTAGCACAATATTAGAAGTAACCGGCCGGGTGTGGTGGCTCACGCCTGTAATCCCAGGACTTTGGGAGGCCGAGGTGGGCAGATCACGAGGTCAAGAGATCGAGACCATCCTGGCTAACATGGTGAAACCCCGTCTCTACTAAAAATACAAAAACAAAAAATTAGCCGGGACTGGTGGCAGGCGCCTGTGGTCCCAGCTACTCGGGAGGCTGAGGTGAGAGAATGGTGTGAACCCGGGAGGCGGAGCTTGCAGTGAGCTGAGATCGCGTCACTGCACTCCAGCCTGGGTGACAGAGCGAGACTCCATCTCAAAAAAAAAAAAAGGAAGTAACCACAAAAGGAAAGAAAACTAGACTGTCTCTGCTATAGGGTTATAACTGTGTGTGGCCTGAGAAGCTAAATGTTTTGGTCACTATAAGCCAAGAAAAGCTAGTTTGAAAGTGAAACACAAGAGGTAACCTGAAGGATGTCAACGATTAGGACCACACAAAAGGAAGAGCTTGAAAGAGACTAACAAAACCAAGCTCAACAATAAACAGACCCTTGTATGTTTTTTTCTATACACCAAGCACTACGCCAAGGCTTTACCTATATTAACCCATATAAACTACTGCACGTAACTTATGGCCTTGCTTCCTAACCAAATTTATCCTGGCTTTTTTTAGGTTCACTGCTTTTACAGAGTTCCTGGTAAGCTCCCAAATTCTGAACTGAAAGTAAACTACATACTATATAAACTATTTAATACATACTCCACGAATCCCAAATATACCAATGTCGCTGATTTTCAACCTCTTCACTATTTTAAGAGTTTATTGTTCCTTGATGGTTTACCTCATCACACCATAACAGTTATTTTAAGAGTTGAAGCTACTAAAATCAACGATGACATGACTAGGCATCATTAAAATAGGAATAAAAATCATTGATCTGTTTGCAATCTAATATGCTATTTCAATCAATTTTCATACATTAACAGTATAACCAGTATTCTTAGTATAAAATTAAACAGAAACACTGTATGAAAAACAGTTACCTGAATTTGAATCTGGAAAAGACAAATAGCAAATATTGGTTTTCTGAAAAAGAAAACAAAAGTGATGTATGCTGACACATACATAATCAATAAAAACAAACAGAAATATAACAGTAAACTATACAGAGCAGTATTTTTACTTACTTCTCTGTCAGTAAGTTTGGAATGCTGAGGATAAATTACCTGGAAGAAAAGAGTTAAATTTTGTTAAACATATTATAAACATTAGTTATAAACATATTATAGGCCAGGCACGGTGGCTCACGCTGGTAATCCCAGCACTTTGGGAGCCCAAGGCAGGCGGATCACTTGAGGTCAGGTGTTTAAGACCAACCTGGCCAACATGCCGAAACCCCGTCTCTACTAAAATTACAAAAATTAGCCAGGTGTGGTGGCATGCACCTGTAGTCCCACCTACTCGGGAGGCTGAGGCAGGAGGATCACTTGAACCCGGGAGACAGAGATCGTAGTAAGCCGAGATCATGCCACTGCACTCCAGCCTGGGTGACAGAGCAAGACCCCGTCTCAAATCAAACAAACAAACAAAAAAATATATATATATAACATTAGTCTAAAATAGTAGTTGGTTATGGTCAAATCACTTTCAGAAATAGTTCACAGATGCACGGATAAAGAAAATGCAGTACATATACATAATGGGATATTATTCAGCCATTAAAAAAATGAAATCCAGGCCAGGCATATTGGCTCACACCTGTAATCTCAGCACTTTGGGAGGCTGAGACGTGCAGAGTTCAATACCAGCCTGGTCAACATGATGAAACCCCATCTCTACTAAAATACAAAAATTAGCTGGGTGTGGTGGCTCATGCTTGTAATCCCAGCTACTCGGGAGCCTGAGACATGAGAATCACTTGAACCCAGGAGACGGAGGTTGCAGTGAGCTGAGATTACGCCACTGCACTCCAGCCTGGGCGACAGAATGACATTTCGTATCAAAAAAAAAAAAAAAAAAAGAAAGAAAAAGAAAAAAAAAAAATAATGAAATCCTGTCATTTGCAACAGCATGGGTAGAACTGTTAAGTGAAATAAGCCAGGCACAGAAAGACAAATATCACATGTTCTCACTCATATGTAAGGGCTAAAAAGAGGAACTCACAGAGATAGAAAATAGAATAATGATGGTAAGTTACCAGAGGCTGGGAAGAGTAGTAAGAGTTTGAGAGGGGGGAATAAAGAACGGTTAAGGGCTACAAAAATACAATTAGATAGAAGGAATAAGATCTAGTGTTTGGTAGCACAATAGGACAACCACAGTTAAAAATAATTTATTGTGTATTTCAAAATCACTAAAGAGTAGAACTGGAATGTTCCCAACACAAAGAAATGATAAATGCTTGAAGTGATGGATATCCCAATAACTCTATTTGATCATTATACATTGCATGTCTGCATCAAAATATCACATGTACCCCATATATATGTGCAACTATTATATATCCACAATAATGAAGTTTTTTTTGTGCTTTTTTTGTTTTTGTTTTTGAGAAGGAGTTTCACTCTTGTTGCCCAGGCTTGAGTGCAATGGTGTGATCTTGGCTTACTGTAACCTCCACCTCCCAGGTTCAAGTGATTCTTCCCCTCCCGGGTTCAAGCAAATCTCCTGCCTCAGCCTCCTGAGTAGCTGGAATTACAGGCATGTGCCACCACACCCAGCCAATTTTGTATTTTTAGTAGAGATGAGGATTTCACCATGTTGGTCAGGGTGGTCTCGAAATCCTGACCTCAGGTGATCCACCTGCCTTGGCCTCCCAAAGTGCTGGGATTTCAGGCGTGAGCCACCGTGCCCAGTCAAGAATATTTTTTTAAAAATACTGGGAAGCCGGCCGGGTGCAGTGGCTCACGCCTGTAATCCCAGCACTTTGGGAGGCTGAGGTGGGAGGATCACGAGGGCAGGAGATCGAGACCATACGGTGAAACCCCGTCTCTACTAAAAATACAAAAAAATTAGCTGGGCGTGGTGGCGTGTGCCTGTAGTCCCAGCTGCTGGGGAAGCTGAGGCAGGAGAATGGCGTGAACCTGGGAGGTGGAGGTTGCAGCGAGCCAAGATCGCGCCACTGCACTCCAGCCTGGGTGACAGAGCAAGACCCCGTCTCAAAAAAAAAAAAGAAATTGGGAGGCCGAGGCAGGTGGATCACAAGGTCAGGAGTTCAAGACCAGCCTGGCCAACAAGGTAAAACCCCATCTCTACTAAAAATACAAAAATTAGCTGAACATGGTGGTACATGCCTGTAATCCCAGCTACTCCGGAGGCTGAAGCAGGAGAATTGCTTGAACCTGGACCTGTGAGGTGGAGGTAGCAGTGGGCCCAAGATCGTGCCACTGCACTCCAGCCTGGGCTACAGAGCAAGACTCTTATCTCAAAAAATAAATAAATAAGATAAAATAAATAAATAACTAGTTCTGCAGCACTATTCACAATAGCAAAGCCATTAAATCAAATTAAATGCCCATCAATGAGAGACTGGATAAAGAAAATGTGGTACATATATACCACGAAATACTATGCAGCCATAAAAAAAGAATGGGATCATGTCTTTTATGGGAACACGGATGAAGCTGGAGGCTATTATCCTCAGCTAACTAATGCAGGAACTGAAAACCAAATACTGCATATTGTCTCTTATAAGTGGGAGGAGCTAAATAATGAGACCTTATGAACACAAAGAAGGAAACAACAGACACTGGGGTCTACTTGATGGTGGAGGGTGGGAGGAGGGAGAGGAGCAGAAAAGATAACTATTGGATACTGGGCTTAACACCTGGGTGATGAAATAATCTGCACAACAAACCCCTGAGACATGAGTTTATGTACATGTTTATGTAACAAACTTTTACATGTACCCAGAAACCTAAAATAAAAGTTAAAAGACAAAAAGCAAAACAAAAAGAAACAGTTCACAAACTTTAATAATGAAACAAGGGGGAAAGCTGGGAGCATTGAGTAATATTTACATTAGGTAAAAAAAGTTTTTGGTTTAAAGTTATCTCCAAAAGATTGGTAAAATCATTAAGTTATCAAGAACCATTTACCAATTGACTAATAACTCAAAGCTTACTGAGTCTTCTTTGGTAGCCTATAATCTAAAGAGAAAATAATCTTCAGCTGGCGTCTACTTCAGTAAATAATATTTTTCAACTGACTCCAACAAGTAATACACATCCTAACTACTTAGTTATTAGTAAAAGAAAAATGAAACGGAAAAATAATTATCTGCAGTTTAAGAAACCTCAAGGACCATCTCCACAATAAAGGCTATCCTAATTCTCTCTGGTCCCTTTAAAGGATCATTATGCATTTTCTTAGGTTATTTTAGTGTCTGCAGTGACCACAACCACCTTCTGATGAAACTCCTGCCCCACAGCCCCTGCAAGGAAGCAGGGCTAGGTCAGATCAGCTACCAGCAGAACAAACAATAGTAAACAACACACCCAAGGGCACACACTCTACAAGCCAACCAAACTCTATGTTATAACCAACCTGACCTCCTTAGGAGATGAACATAACATTTATCAAAGTGACAAAAATTACACACTCAGTGCTTGACTAGTCAACTGGCACTATACATTAGTCACAGAAGGCATCTTGTGTGCATTGGTAGTAATGCCTCTCTCATGCCACCAATTATCAAAGGCCAGTGATTTTCAAACATTATACCGGAGGTGCCTCAAAGGCCACCTGGTGGTACTAATGGCTGTCTTAGGAGAGTCAGGCCCCCCAAGCACATAAAGGCTGCAGCGAGCCAAGATCATGCCACTCCACTCCAGCCTGGATGACAGGGTGAGACCCTCTCTCTCTCAAAAAAAAAAGTCCTTCTTGGCCAGGTGCCATGGCTCATACCTGTAATCCTAACACTTTGGGAGGCCGGGGTGGGCAGGTCACTTGAGGCCAGGAGTTCGAGATCAGCCTGGCTAACATGGCGAAACCATGTCTCTACTAAAAATACAAAAAACTTAGCCAGGCATGGTGGTGGGCACTTGTAATCCCAGCTACTCAGGAGGCTGAGGCACAAGAATGGCTTGAACCTGGGAGGCAGAGGTTGCAGTGAGCTGAAATCACACCACTGCCCTTCAGCCTGGCAAAAGAATAAGATTATTTAAAAAAAAAAAAAAAAAAAAAAAGGCCTTCTCTTGCTGTTACAAGATGTCTTAGAAAAAATCCTTCTCTAATCTTTTAACAGTTAAATCCTTGTTTCCAAAAGCATGGCACACATGCCAGTGGAGATGTTATATGGCGCAGAGCCCTTCTAAAATTTTAATAGTTATATGTACTGTACTTAATTTAATGTGTATTAGGAAAAAAGACCTAACACTCAAAATCAATATATCATGGATACAAATGCTTAAGATATAGCTAAGTAAAAAAAAGGGGCAGAGGGATGTGAAGAATCCAGTTAAAGAAAAATATTAATAGTACAAATAATATGACAAGGAATGACTGAAACTTAGAAAACAATGAATTAAGTTTTTGTAGATTTTCTTCTAACATTTTATGGGCTTTTTCTTTAATTCTGAGCTATAGCTCAAACTGCTATTTTTTATTTTTATTTATTTTTTATTTTTTTGAGACAGAGTCTCGCTCTGTCACCCAGGCTGGAGTGCAATGGTGTGATCTCAGCTCACTGCAACCTCCACCTCCCAGGTTCAAGCGATTCTTGTGCCTCAGCCACCCAAGTAGCTGGGATTACAGGTGTGCACCACCATGCCCAGTTAATTCTTGTATTTTTAGTAGAGACAGGGTTTCACCATGTTGGCTAGGCTGGTCTTGAGTGCCTGACCTCAAGTGATCCACCCGCCTTGGCCTCCCAAAGTGTTAGAATTACAGGCATGAGCCACCGTGCCCAGCCTCAAACTGTTATTTTTTAAATCGTCAACTTTCCCAACACTATTTGCTCCAAACAAACAAAAAACTATTTCCCATTGATATGTAAGGCTCTAATGGTACCTTCTATTCCTATGGCCTATCATTTTAATCAATTCTCTACAGTGAAAGACAGCAGGAAGATGGACAGAAACCAAGTCCTTACATTATTTCAACTATAAATTCAATTGTGCCTTGAGTCAGGCTTACCTGTGAACTTTGCAATAACATGAATCAATAAACTTTGTTTTCTTATGCCAGTTTGGGCTAACTTTGTTGTCCTTTTTTTTTTTTTTTTTTTTTTTTTGAGACAGAGTCTCCAGAGTCTCATTCTGTCACCAAGGCTAGAGTACAGTGGCACAACTGTGGCTCACCCCAGCCTCGACTTCCAGGGCTCAAGCAATCCTCTCACCTTAGCCTCCTCAGTAGCTGGGACTACAGACATGCACCACCACACCTGGCTAATTTTTAAATTTTCTGTAGATATGGAGTCTTGCCATGTTGCCCAGGCTGGTCTCAAACTCCTGGCCTCAAATGATCCTCCTGCCTCCCACCTCCCAAATTGCTGGGATTATAGGCCACTACATCCGGCCTTCCTGTCACTTTTAACAGAAAGAATCATGGTTGCTTTTTTTCCTTGATGGCAGAAAGCACTACTGTATCTTAATTCATTAGATCTCAACATTCTTCCTGGCTTTGTATCAGACTGCATTTATGGGAAGTTTGACTCTTTCCCCTATCAGCTGGGATTAATATAATCCTTCTCAGTTCCTAAATAGAAGCACTTGGTAAGGGTTAGTTATATCCCATTCTTTGTAAGTTGTTATATCATCTTTAATATCCAACCATCTAAATGCTGAACTACTCAGCCATTTTTGTCAAAATCACTAACTCATCACAATATCTCATTAAACCAGTCCAATACATCTTATTTAGCCATTCCTAAAGGAAATGATTCTTTTTTAAAAAAAAGAACTTTCTGTTATAATCCACTTAGACTAAATACCAAATTCTTTTGGCATTCATAGGATAATTTCTCCTGATACTTTTTCCAGGATAAATATAGATTTATAGAATATAGATGTTTAAATTTCAACAAAGATATCTCTACAGCTTATCAGAAATCAATAGGAGATTCTCCCAGCACATAAATGCCTTGATAAACAGCTACTATTTTCTTCTGAGAAACACGTTCTTCAAGACCCATAAAGAGTACCTCACACACTGAACTGCCCTCAGAGGGGGCATAAAATGGTGGTTGGTTTCTACAAAGAGAACAAAAATAGTTTAAGATAAGATTTTTTTTTCCAGGCAATTGGGGAGATAAGAAATACAGTTGGGGCTCAAATCCAGAGATATCTAGTCCAGTTAGATGGTGCTATGGACTGAATCCCCCAAAAATTCACGTTAAAGCTCTAACCTCCAATCATATTTAGAGACAGGGCCTTTGGGAGGTAATTAGGTCATGAGTGTAGAGCTCACATGATGGCACTTGTGCCCTTATAAGAGGAAACACAAGAGATCTCTCTCTCTTTCTCTCTACCATGTGAGGACATAGCAAGAACACAGCCATCTGCAAGCCAGGAAGAGGACCCTCACCAGGAACAAAATTGGTAAGCAACTTCATTTTAAACTTTCCCCAGCCTCCAGAACCAAGAGAAATAGATTTCTGTTATTTAAGACATGCAGGCCAGGTGTGATGGCTTTTGCCAGTAATGCCAGCACTTTGGGAGACCAAGGCAGGTAGATTACTTGAGGCCAGGAGTGACCAGTCTGGCCAACATGGCAAAACCCTGTCTCTGCTAAAATTACAAAAATTAGCTGGGCATGGTGGCACACACCTGTAATCACAGCTACTCAGGAAGCTGAGGCACAAGTATGGCTTGAATCCAGAAGGTGGAGGTTGCAGTGAGCCCAGATGGTGCTACCGCACTCCACCCTGGACGACAGAGTGAGACCCTGTCTCAAAACAAAAACAAAACAAAACAAAATGATACCCAGTCTTTTGGTATTTTGTTATAGTAGCCATAGCAGACTAATACAGATGGTTTGTGGGAAGACAAGGCAAATATCTGAAAACAGGATGCACTGGTATGGTTACCATATGCACACATCCTATTCTTTTATCTTTCTAGCTTTTAGGAAACACAGTTAACTAGATATTCCCACCTGCCCTCACAGAAGGCAACAGACAAAATATTAGCATTTTGCCTTCTTTCTTTTTCATTGTTGTTGTTACTTCTTATTCCACCATCCTAAGCCAAATCTTCAGCTTCTTCCTATCATCTCTTCTTCACTTCAATTTTTTCTTTAAAGCCCAAATTTTCTTTAAAGTTCACATTTACTCACCTTGACTTTGGGCAAAAATAAATGAATACAGCTCTGCATCTTCAAACTCTTAAGAGGCAGTGGGGAAGGATGGAAAGTACAGTACTGGTACCAAAACCATGTTTTGGTCCTAATTAGATGTGTCCTTGTGGGAAATCATTAGCCAGTCTATGCCTCAGTTTCTGCTTCCATAACATGAGGGTGTACCTTCCACATCAATGGTCCATTGTTGCTCACTGATGAAGTGGGGCAAGGTGAGCCTGAAGAAGTAAGGAGAGAGAAGACTATGTAGGGGATTGTGGGCTACATTAAAGAAGCTGCTGGAGAATTTTTAACCTTGAATGAGTCAAAAATACAGGCTGGGAAGGCGGGAGCTCAGCCACTACTGGTGAGGAACTATAGGAATTACAAATGCAACAGACAGCCTAACAGCAGCTCGGGAGGAAAAGCGAGATATAGAGATGGTACAGGGTGCTGAGCAGGATTATGGACAGAAATTTGTGAGAAACTAGAACTGTTAGAAGAGCAGCAGCAGCAGTGGGAACAATGGACTGTATGTTCTTTGAAGCACAAAAGTTAACTTCAGGTGGAGTAAGTTACTTTTATAACTCTTACCTAATCTCAAAATAAAGTTTAAAAAAATAACAGCTCTAATTCACAGCATATACAATAGTCAATTCAAAGTGGATCAAAGGCCTAAATGTAAGAGCTAAATCTATATAACTCTTGGAAGAAAACAGTAATACATCTTCACAACCTTGAATTAGGCAATGTTTTCTTAGACATGACACCAAAAGCACAAACAACAAAAGGAAACATAAATAAATTGGATATCATCAAAATTTAAAACCTTGCTTCAATAACAACAAAAACCCCAAGGTGATAGCGGTATTAGGAGGTGAAACCTTTGGGAGGCGATCAAGTCGTGAGGGCAGAGCCCTCATGATTGAGATTAATGCTCTTATCAAAGAGACCCGAGAGCTAGCTCTCCACCATGCAAAGACACTGCCAGAAGGTGCCATCTATGAATCAGAAAGAGTACCCTCACCAAACCCCATATCAGCCAGTACCTTGATCTTGGACTTGTGAGCCTCCAGAGCTATGAGAAATAAACAGATATTGTTTATAAGCTGCCCAGTTTGTGGTATTTTGTGAGAAGCCTGAACAGGCTAAGACACAATTAATATAACTAATAAGGGTCTAGTATATAAAATACATAAAGAACTCTTAAAATATAACAATAAAAAGACAAATAACCCAATTTTCAAATGGGCACAAATGTTAATAGATACTTCTCCAAAAAATAAAAATGAAAATGGCCAATAAGCACTGAAAAAACACTGTTTAGCATTAGTTATTAGGGAAATGCAAATAAAATTACAATAAGACATGGCTCATACCTACTAGGACAGCTGTAATCAAAAGGAGAGACAATAACAAGAGTTGATAAGGATGCAGAGAAATTAGAACCCTTAGAACCCTCATATATCAGTAGTGGAAAACAGTTATGGAAGTTTCTCAAGAAGTTACAACATAGAGTTACAGTATAGCCCTGCAATTTCAATGCTAGGTATATATCCAAGAAAAGTGAAAACACATGTTCACACAAAAACTCGTACACAAATTTTCATATTAGCATTATTCATAATAGCCAAAAAGTAAAAACAAGCCTGGACAACATAGTGAGACTCTGTCTCCTCAAAAAAGTTTAAAAATTAGCCAGGCCACGGTGGCTCACACCTGTAATCCCAGCACTTTGGGAGGCTAAGGCAGGCAGATCACGAGGTCAGGAGATCGACACCATCCTGGCTAACACAGTGAAACCCCGTCTCTACTAAAAACATAAAAATTAGCCAGGCGTGGTGGCGGGCACCTGTAGTCCCAGCTACTCGGGAGGCTAAGGCAGGAGAATGGCATGAACCCAGGAGGCAGAGCTTGCAGTGAGCCGAGATCACGCCACTGCACTCCAGCCTGGGTGACAGAGCAAGACTCTGCCTCAAAAAAAAAAATTAGGCAGGCATAGTGGCAGGCACTTGTAGTCCCAGCTACTCAGGAGGCTGAGGCAGGAGGGTTGCTTGAGCCCAGGAGGTCAATGCTGCAGTGAGCTATGATCATGCCATTGTGCTCCAGCCTAGGCAACAGAGCAAGACCCTGTTAAAAAAAAAAAAAAAAGAAAGAAAGAAAGAAAAAAGAAAGAAACAATCCAAATTTTCATTAAATAATGAATAAACAAAATGTGATATATCCATACAATGGTATATTATTCAACCATAAAAAGGAATAAAGTACATATACATACTATGACATGGATGAACGTATATGATTCCACTCCCATGAAAAGCATACAGACAGAAGCTTATTAGTGGCTGCTAGATGCCAGGGAAAAAGTGGAATGGGTATGTGGTTTCTTTTTGGGGTGAAGAAAATGTCCTGCAATTAGATAGAGGTGTTAGTTGCACATCCTGTGAAAACCTCAAAACCACTGAATTATACACTTTAGAAGTGTGAATTTTATATGTGAATACCTGAATTTTTAAAAATGGAAACATAGACACAATAATTCAAACCATAAAAAGGCATAAAATCATAGTCTCTCTCCCATTGAGCTTGAGGTTTTCTTCCTTCAATAACCATTGTTAAACCATTTCCTATGTATCTTTCAAAGAAAAATTATGTATGTACTTTTTCTAACATAAATTATATTCTGCGGGAAGCTGAAGCAGGAGAATCGCTTGAACCCGGCAGGCGGAGGTTTTGGTGAGCCAAGATTGCACCATTGCACTCCAGCCTGGGCAACAAGAGTGAGACTCCGTCTCAAAAAAAAAAAAAAAAAAAAAAAAAAAAATTATATTCTGTTCTGTTCTCACTGCTTTACACACTGCTTTTTTCCTTAAGATCTTGAAGATCATAGTATTTCAGTACATGATCTATTCATTAATTCTAAAGATGCTTTGAACTTTCCTGCTTCTTCCCTTGCTCATGCTTAAGAACTGATTCACCATTTATGCGCCTATCAAATTCCATCCAGCAGGGGAAATAAGTGATTTCTATTGCCTCTTTTTGTAATTTTTCCTCAATAAATATTGTGTATAATTTCTTAATTATATAAGCTGAAATTTTAAATTATGCAACCCTTAAGGTTCAAATCAATTTTCACCTTCCACCAGAAATTTTCACTTAGTCTCTGGACCACTGACTATATGGTTTTTTTTGTTTTGTTTTGTTTTTGAGATGGAGTCTGGCTTTGTCACCCAGGCTGGAGAGCAGTGGCATGATCTCAGCTCACTGCAACCTCCAACTCCCAAGTTCAAGCGATTCTGCTGCCTCAGCCACTCAAGTAACTGGGATTACAGGTGTGCAACATCCCGCCCGGCTAATTTTTTTGTATTTTCAGTAGAGACGGAGTTTCGCCATGTTGGCCAGGCTGGTCTCGGACTCCTGACCTCAAGTGATCCACCCACCTCAGCCTCCCAAAGTGCTGGGACTACAGGCATGAGCCAGCACACCTGGCCGACTATATGCTCTTACTTGTCTCTTCAGTTAAATTCTGGAGAGCAGGGATTCTCATGTCTTCATCTACTGATTAACATAATAGAATCCTTTGTGCATGTTAGGTACTTATTATGGCCTATGCAAATGGTCCCAGTGCTCCTATTATAATAGGTACCAACAAAAATTTAATGATGCTACCCTCATACTGATCCTGTATTACTTACAAAGGACGCTTAAGGTTAGGTAGGAATTCACTAAATGAGTAATACAGATAGAATTCAAATAAACTAGACCAAAAGAGTAATTATTTCATTATTTCAGAAAAACTCAATAAATAATTACAATTGCTAACTTTATCAAGTGTTTTCCTTGTGCCAGGCACTGTATTGTATCAATTAATCCTCACAATACACTAGAAATGAGAACTATTATCATCTCACTTCATCTGCCCATGGCTATAAACTATTATCAGTTAGAAACCCTACCTTCAGGAAATCCAACTTTATGTCATTGACATAGGTCACGCTGGTCTTTTGTCCAAACAGAAGCAAGTATCTACTGTGCATTCCACAGGACGGTAAAGCATTTTGCCAACTAAAGGATCACAAAAATGCTAAAAGCAGTTCATACAACTCAGAAAATAGCCCTGGGTACTATTATTACACTGAGTATTAGCATGTAAACAGGAACACTTTGAGAAATGAGGTAAACTATTACTACCAAGAATTTAAGAATTTTAGTTCAAGCTACCGCTAGCATTTCACATCTTCTTTGCTTCAGTTTCCCTAAATAGTAAACAACACAGTATAGTGGGGGGAAATTAGGCTTCAGAATCAAAAGGACCAGGGTTCAAATCCTGGCTTATTAAGCAAGTGATATGGGGCAAGTTACCTCTTTAAGTTCCAGTTCCCTTATTTAAAAAGTGTTTAGCTCATGCCTGTAATTTCAGCACTTTGGGAGGCCGCAGCGGGTGGATCACAAGGTCAGGAGTTCAAGACCAGTCTAGCCAAGATGGTGAAACCCCATCTCTACTAAAAATACAAAAATTAGCCCGGTGTGGTGGTGGGCACCTGTAATCCCAGCTACTCAGGAGGCTGAGGCAGAGAATTGCTTGAACCCAGAAGGTGGAGGTTGCAGCGAGCCAAGATTGTGCCACTGCACTCCAGCCTGGGTGACAGAGTGAGACTCCGTCTCAAAAAAAAAAAAAAAAAAAGAGTTTATGGGCCAGGCACGGTGGCCCATGCCTGTAATCCCAGCACCTTGGGAGGCCAAGGTGGGCAGATCACGAGGTCAGGAGTTTGAGACCGGCCTGACCAACATGGTGAAACCCCGTCGTCTCTACTAAAAATACAAAAATTAGCTGGGTGCGGTGGCACGTGCCTGTAATCCCAGCTACTTAGGAGGCTGAGGCAGGAGAATCGCTGGAACTTGGGAATCAGAGGTTGCGGTGAGCTGAGATCGTGCCACTGCACTCTAGCCTGGGTGACAAAGCGAGACTCTGTTTCAAGAAAAGAGTCTAAAGCCAGGCATGGTGGCTCATGCCTATAATCCCAGCACTTTGGAAGGCTAAGGCAGGTGGACTGTGGGAGGCTGAGGCAGGCAGATCACTTGAGGCCAGGAGTTCAAGACCAGTCTGGGCAACACAGCAAAACCCTGTTTCTACAAAAAAACAAAAAAGTAGCCAGGCATGTTGGTACACACCTGTAGTCCAGCTACTTGACAGGCTGAGGTGAGAGAATTGCTTGAGCCTGGGAGGTCCAGGCTGCAGTGCACTGTAGCCTGGTGACACAGCATGACCCTGTCTCAAATAAATAAATAAAGTCCAAATATTACTTAATAATTAGTGACGGAAAGGAATAAATGAGGCTGGGTACAATGGCTCATGCCTGGGATCTCAACACTTTGGGAGGTGGAGGCAGGAGGTTCCCTTGAGTCCAGGAGTTCAAGATCACACTGGGCAACACAAAAATAAAACAATTTAATCAGGCATGGTGGCACACACCTGGAGTGCAATGGCACAGTCTCGGCTCACTGCAACCTCCGCCTCCCTGGTTCAAGTGATCCTCCTGCCTCAGCCTCCAGAGTAGCTGGGATTACAGGTATGCGCCACCATGCCTGGCTAATTTTTTTTTTTTTTTGTATTTTTAGTAGAGATGGGTTTCACCACGTTGGCCAAGCTAGTCTCGAACTCCTGACCTCAGCAGATCTGCCTGCCTCTGCCTCCCAAAGTGCTGGGATTACAGGCGTGAGCCACCACGTCCAGCCTAGAATTCTTGTTTATATGAGTTATATCTATCAACATTCACCACTGTAGAAACTAAAAGTATCATTAAAAAAAATTGTTTATTTATTTTAAAATAATAACCTATTACTCATTAACATATTCAATTTTTATGAAAAGTAACTATATTCAGGTTGAGTATTCCTTATCCAAAATGCTTGGTGGGATCAGAAGTGTTTTGGATCTCAGATCTTTTCAGATTCTAGAATATTTGAATTATACTTACTCAGTTGGACATCCCAAATCCAAAAACCTGAAATCCAAAATGCTCCAATGAGCATTTCCTTTAAAAAGCATCATGTCAGTACTCAGAAAGTTTCAGGTTTTGGAGCGTCTCAGATTTTGAATGTTTAGATTAGGAACACACAACCTGTATTCCTAAACAAAACAAAAACCTTACTAAGATGGCATTGTTTACATGTTTGCAAATATCTTTAATGTCTGATTTAACAGAAATAACTAGATTCTCATATCTGCTTCAGCATTCATTCTTTTTTTTTAAAAAAAAATTTGTTTTTCTTTAATGTTTGCTCTTGGCAGAATCATTCTATGTTCATTCTATTGCAATATGTTGTTCTGGTTGAAGAACATGAAGAAAAGCCATACATAGTTTGAAAACATCCTATAAATCCCCTGAAACGGTCTCAGAGATGCCCAGAAGTCCTCAGACCACATTTTGACAACAGCTGGTTTACAAGAAAAACAGAAAAGTTTATATAAAGAGAAAATTAAAAAACATACTCCAAACATGCCTACACATAATGATCCTCTGGAACTGATTCTGATTAAGCAGATGGGTGAGCCCCAGAATCCTCATATGTAACAAATGCCCCAGATGATTCTTATGATAAGAAGAACAAAATAAATAGAATCCCAATAATACAAAAATAGCCTAAATTTACCAAGATATAAATGTTTAGCCTCATTTTCAATAAGCATTAACAGATATTTCCATATCCCAGGTAAAACAGAACATAATCCTTTATTTCAAAGTTACATAATGGTGTAGAATTTTCAGGCACATATACCCTTGGCTCTCAAACAGCTCAAAGTTACTAAAGTTTATATCATAAAACCCAAGCTTAGAAATCTTTCAAAATAAATCTTTGATTACATAAGATTATAACTGCTCTCAGGTAAGGCAGTAAATGCTTGTTGCCTTCCAATACCATTCTTCCTTCTCCTTTTATTAATATAGGCATACCTTGTTTTATTGTGCATCATTTTATTGTGCTTTGCAGTTACCAGTTTCTACAAATTACAGGTTTGTGGCAAGCCTACATTAAGCAAGTCTATCAGCATCATTTTTCCAACAATGTGTTCACTTTGTGTCTCTGTGTTACACTTTGGTAATTCTCACAATATTTCAAACTTTTTTGTTACTATTGTATCTGTTACAGTGGTCTGTGATAAGTTATCTTTGATGTTACTATTGTAATTGTTTGGGGGCACCACAAACCATGCCCATATAAGATGGCAAATTTAATCAATAAATACATGTGTTCTGACAGCTCCACTGACGAGCCATTACCCCATCTCTCTCCCTCTCCTCAGGCCTCCCTATTCCGTAAGACACAACAATATTTGCAACTGGGGCAATGAATAACTCTATAATGGCCTCTAAGTGTTCAAGTAAAAGGAAGAGTCACACATCTCTCACTTTAAATCAAAAGCTAGAAATGATTTAAGTTTAATGAGGAAAGCATGTCAAAAGCTGAGACAGGCCAAAAGCTAGGCCTCTTGGACCAAACAGCCAACTTGTGAATGCAAAGGAAAAGTTCTTTTTTTCTTTCTTTTTTTCTATGCAACAGGGTCTCACCACGTTGCCCAGTCTGGTCTTGAACTCCTGGGCTCAAGGAATCCTCCTGCCTCAGCCTCCCAAAGCGCTGAGAATACAGGCCTGAGACACCACACCCAGCCAAAGGAAAAGTTCTTGAAGGAAATTAAAAATGCTACTCCAGTGAACACATCAATGATAAGAAAGTGAAACAGCCTTACTGCTAATGTGGAGAAAGTCTGAGTGGTCTGGATAGAAGAGCAAACCAGCTAGAACATTCCCTAAGCCAAAGCCTAATTCAGAGCAAGAGCGCAACTCTTTTCAATTCTGTTACGGCTGAGAGAGGTGATGAATCCGCAGAAGAAAAGTTGGAAGCTAGCAGGAGTTGGTTCATGAGGTTTAAGGAAAGAAGCTGTCTCCATAACATAAAAGTGCAAGGTGAAGCAGCAAGGACTGATAGAGAGCTGCAGCAAGTTATCCAGAAAATCTAAGAGAAAAGATGAAGGTGGCTACACTAAATAACGGATTTTCATTGTAGATGAAATAGCCTTCTGTTGGAAGACTATGCCCTCTAAGACTTTCATAGCTAGAGAAAAGTCAATACCTGGCTTCAAAGTTTCAAAGGATAGGATGACAGCCAGGTGTGGTCGCTCATGTCTGTAATCCTAGCACTTTAGGAGGTGGAGGCACGAGGATCCCTTGAAGCCAGGAATTTGAGACCAGCCTGGACAACAAAGCAAGACCCCATCTCTACAAAAAATTTAAAAATTAGCCTGGTGCATAAGCATATGCCTGCAGTATCAGCTACCAGGGAAGCTGAGACAGAAGGATCACCTGAGCCGAGAGTTCAAGGCTTCAGTAAGCCATGATTGCATCACTGCACTCCAGCCTGGGTGACAGAGTAAGACCACCTCAAAAAAAAAAAAAAGAAAAGAACATCTGCTTTGTAAAATTATATTTATGAAGAGTTTTTTGTTTTTTGGGTTTGTTTTTTTTTTGAGACAAAGTCTTACTCTGTTGCCCAGGCAGGACTACAGTGGTATGATCTCAGTTCACTGCAACCTCTGCCTCCCGGGTTCAAGCGATTCTCCTGCCTCAGCCTCCCGAGTAGCTGGGATTACAGGAATGTGCCACCAAGCTGCCTATTTTTGTATTTTTTTATTAGAGATGGGGTTTTACCATGTTGGCTACGGCGGTCTCGAACTCCTGACCTCAAGTGATCCACGCGCCTCAGCCTCCCAAAGTGCTTGGATTACAGGCATGAGCCACCACACTCGGCTTATTAAGAGTCTAATCATCTTACAAACTGTTTATGAGAATATTTATGAATAAAAGCAGACTCACAGTAGACATGTTTAGGAGACTGCTGCCCAGACTATGCTTTGGAAGTGTCCCTCCTATTGCAGGGGTGAGCCTAAGTGACTGCTACTGCTAGCGAAACCTTGTCTCCTAACCACAAGTGAACAAAATGGGACACCTGTCCCATGCTGAGCCAATCAGATACTCCAATATTAAGCTTCAGCCTCATTCCAGAAAAAGAGTTTGGCTAAAATTAGTACCATGGAAACCCAAAGTCAAGCAGAGTAACGGGGGAGCAGAAACTGAGGCCACTGCAGCACAAACCAGCTTCAGCATGGAGAAAAGAACAGACATGCAAAGACCAAAGACAAAAAAAAACACACAGCTCCAGAGACAAAGGCCTGGGGCTTTCCAAATCCCACAGGTTCATCCTTGCTTCCCACACACTTGGATTCCAAAAGACTGCCTGGAATCCTTACAATCACTGTCCCTTTACTTAAGTTTATTTGAGGTTTCTGTTCCTAACAATCAAGTTAATCCTTGACAGATACAAAATTATATAAAGAAAAAAAGTATTAACAAAAATGCCGAATATTAATAGCAGTTGCCTCTTAGTAGAATTAAGAGTGATATTTTCTAGTGTTTATAATTTTTCTTTTTTTTTGAGACAAAGTCTTGCTGTGTCGCCAGGCTGGAGTGCAGTGGCCCGATCTTACTGCAACCTCCACCTCCCAGGTTCAAGCGATTCTCCTGCCTCACCCTCCCGAGTAGCTGGGACTACAGGTGTATGCCACTGCGCCCAGCTGATTTTTGTATTTTTAGTAGAGACGGGGTTTCACCGTGTTGGCCAGGGTGGTCTCGATCTCTTGACCTCGTGATCTGCCCGCCTCGGCCTCCCAAAGTGCTGGAATTACAGGCATGAGCCGCCATGCCCGGCCTAGTGTTTATGATTTCTTTACTTGCCAAGTTTTCAGCAATGAGTATGTTATTATTCACTCAGAAAAAAAAAAAAAACTTGAATAAATAAGGTAATTCTGTATTCGGATAATTAAGGCTTTACTAAATAATTGGTAATTTCAAAGCTAAAAGTGAGGTACAGTATATCAAACCCAGGAGGTTTCAAACCTTGTTCCAGAGGACACTTTGATTCTGTGGTAATGCCTCCAGAGCCACTTCAGGGGAAAAGAAGCTCAGCACACCCCCTGCAGTCAACACCTTGTTCAGTTTCTTCCTAGCTCAAAGACCTCCTTAACCCCCTTCACTTAGGACAGGGCCTTAAAAGACATTTTATGCAAGGTGAACCACTCCCCCTTCTACTCAGGGCTTTAGCCAATTGTATCAGAGTAGGAACCTGCCCCAAACCAGGCCAGATTATCTTCCTCTGGCTTTGGAAGTGAGTTAAAGATTCACTCTTTTTCACTGAAGTGGCTAAAAACGTTAGCTTCTCACCTTAAAGATCAGAGAAGGGCTGGGCATGGTGGCTCAACACCTATAATCCCAGCACTTTGGAAGACAGAGGCAGCAGGACAGTTTGAGGCTACAAGTTTGAGACCAGCCTGGGCAACATAGCAAGACCCTGTCCCCACAAAAAAAATTAAAAATAGCCGGGTGTAGTGGTGCATGTCTGTATTCATAGATACTCAGGAGGATCCCTCGAGTTTAGGAGTTCGAGGTTGTAGTGAGTTATGATCATGCCACTGCACTCCAATCTGAGGCAGACCATGTCTCTAAGGAAAAAAAAAAAAAAAAGTCAGGTGCGGTGGCTCACGCCTGTAATCCCAGCACTTTGGGAGGCTGAGGCAGGTGTATCACTTGAGGTCAGGAGTTCAAGACCAGCCTGGCCAACATGGTGAAACCCTGTCTCTACTAAAAAAAACAAAAAAACAAAAAAAACAAAATTAGCTGGGCAGGCCAGGCGCGGTGGCTCATGCCTGTAATCCCAGCACTTTGGGAGGCTGAGGTGGGCAGATCACACTGTCAGGAGATCGAGACCATCCTGGCTAACACGGTGAAACCCCGTCTCTATTAAAAATACAAAAAATTAGCCGGGCGTGGTGCGGGTGCCTGTAGTCCCAGCAACTTGGGAGGCTGAGGCAGGAGAATGGCGTGAACCTGGGAGGCGGAGCTTGCAGGGAGGCGGAGCTTGCAGGGAGACGAGATTGCCCCACTGCACTCCAGCCTGGGCAACAGAGCAAGACTCTCTCTCTCAAAAAACAAAAATTAGCTGGGCATGGTGACATGCACCTGTAGTCCCAGCTACTTGGCAGGCTGAGGCAGGAGAATCACTTGAACCTGGGAGGTGGAGGTTGCAGTGAGCCGAAATTACACCACTGCACTCCAGCCTGGCTGACAAAGTTAGACTCTGTCTTTAAAAAAAAAAAAAAAAATCAGAGAAGGGGAAGAAGGCAGTTTGCAGGGAACATGAAATATAAACAAGATCTGCACACAAAAAAAGAGCAAAACCAAGAGGTTTCCCTGGTTCTGAACTCTAGCCATTTTCTGAAGCCCTACTAGGTTTATGTCTTAAATAGCTGGAAACCACATATATGGAACCACATACATGATTTCATCTTACTCAGCCTTTTCCTAGTGGAAAATTCACAATGTTCATATTTTTAAAAGATCCAGGAAGCAAAAGGTTAAGAACTCCTGACCTAGAAAAAACTCTATACAGTGGCATACACTATGGAAAATGAAATTCAAAATAAGTCCTTTAATAATTCACATTTTTGCAGCATCTCAAATATATTTTCTGTTTATTTGGTCAAAAAACATATTCACGTTATAAAGAATGTCCCAAATAATGAGAATCCAAAAGAATCTCCTTTAGCTATTTAAAAACACAATCAACTACAACAACCCATTCTTATGCTTTCTGGTTAAATTGTATCTTGCTGTACATATAACTTCAGGTTAACATGGCAAGGTGAATAATAAATGGCTTATAAATCTCTTACTCAAAATCTTTGGGAACTGTTTTTCTTACTTTAATAAGATAAAGAATTGCTCACATATTCACCTATTCTATCAAAAGTATTTATAGAATGCCACTAGGTGCCAGGCACTGCATTTGGCCTTATCAGCTACTATGATTAATTCTTGGTTCTCCTCTAAATTATTGCCTCAATCTACAAATACAGATTAGAGCACATCCTATTTGTATGCTCCACAACTAACATAATGCCTGGTTCTTAGTGGAAACTTAATGTCGCTGAACTGTGTTATAATAAAACATCCAGAAGGCAGGCCGAATACGAAAGCAGTAGCTTCGCATTAAGAAAACTACCCCTAGCCAATTTTCTTAGTCAACCAGGCCACTACAGTATTAATGAAATCGAAATCTGTCACCAATACCAAAAAAAAAAAAAAAAAAAAAAAACCAAAACCAAAACGTCTAAACAAACGCCCTTCTGATAACAATTTCCTTGGACACATGAAAGCAAGCAATTCCTTATGCTAAAAAGACCTTCAACAACGTCAAGAATAGATGTTTCTAAAGCCTTTCGGTAAGGGGCCATACATAAGAATGGAAAAGTTGACTGATTGACAAGCAAATGATGTTCCCTATATTCATCTTGACAGTAGTTTCACACCAACTGTTCCAGAGGCAACATAAAAAAAAATAACAGAAATGAGGCCGGGCACGGTGGCTCACGCATGTAATCCCACCACTTTGGAAGGCCTAGGCGGGCAGACCACCTGAGTCGGGAGTTCGAGACCAGCCTTACCAAAATGGAGAAACCCCGTCTCTATTAAAAATACAAAATTAGCCGGGCATGGTCGCATGCCTGTAACCCCAGCTACTCGGGAGGCTGAGGCAGGAGAATTGCCTGAATCCGGGAGGCAGAGGTTGCGGTGAGCCAAGATCGCGCCATTGCACTCCAGCCTGAGCAACAAGAGCAAAAACTCCGTCTCAAAAAAAAAAAAAAAAAAAAACAGAAATGAGGCACAAAAGGAGGAAAGGGAGAAAATGCGTGCTGAGATAAGCATTTCGACTCAGGCTGAGGGAAACGCTCAAACAGTTACTGCAAATGACTAAAACAATCTGAGCCTTAAAACTTGGTTGTGCAAGTTCGGCTACTAGAGTTCATCATCTGTTATGGGCATTGTTCTTGAAAAAGTACCAAACAAACATCCTGCCTGCGGGCTTCTCCGGGTGGGTGCTACTAACCCTTTTAGTTAATTCTGTGACTCTGCGTTTAAAAGAAATAAAGAAAGAACAGGATGAACATCAACAAGTATTTAGGAGGGGCCTAGAGAGAACTTTTCACCCCTAGCCGCAGCCCAAGATCCTCCCACGGGAAGTGCCGTAGGACCGCAGCCCGAAAGAGCGCGGGAGGGGAGACTGGCCACGCCCGGATGCGCCGCGGACAGGGTCCTGGCCGGTCAGCCCGCGGGCCGCTGGCTTTGCTGCAGCCGCCCCGGCGCAGGGGAGGAGCGCCGAGAAAGGGCGGGGCCGGGCCTCACCTCCACGGCCTGGCCCAGCTCCAGGTCGAAGCCCACCACACACACGCAGTGCAGCCAGGCGGAGAAGCTGTCCCAGCGCAGCAGGCCCCGGCCACGGCCATCGTCCTCTTCATCGTCCTCTGGCGCGCCTCCCGCCGCCACAAGGGCCGGCGCCTCGCGGCCCTCGGCCCCTGCCACCGCTTCGTCCAACGGCCTTCGAGAGCCGGGCCCCAAGCCCGCAGGGCCCCTCAAAGCCATCGGCCGCCCCCTGACCGTTCGCGCCGCCTCCACAGCGGACCGCGCCGCAGAGCGCGCTTGCCTCCGCGCAGGCGCAGACGCTGCTGTCGCAGCCGCTGGGGACCCACTCAGTCCGGGCGGGGCTGCGGGTCACGTGACCCTGGGAGCGGACGTGGGGACGTCACGCTGCCGCTTGTCTCGGATTGTGAAGCCGGTCCTGGCTTCCTTGTCTAAAAGCTCTTTGGGACTGAAATGGCTGTTTATGAATCCTTGTCAACCTCGTTCGCAGTCAACGACCAGGGAATAAATTATTCGTGGAATGACACAGTTCATAATTATTATAAGGTATTATTAAATTATGAAAGCGTAGGCCGGGCGCGGTGGTTCACACCTGTAATCACAGCATTTTGGGAGGCCGATGCGGGCGGATCATCAGGTCAGGAGTTCGAGACCAGCCTGACCAACATGGTGAAACCCCGTCTCTACTAAAAATACGAAAAAATTAGCCAGGCGTGGTGGAGCGCGCCTGTGATCCCAGCTACTCAGGAGGCTGAGGCAGGAGAATCGCTTGAACCCAGGAGGTTACAGTTAGCTGAGATTGCGCCACTGTATTCTGTCTACCCTGGGCGACAGAGCGAGATTCCGTCTCAAAAAAATAAAAATAAAATATATGAACGCATAATGGTGACGGTGGCTAACATTGAACGCTTACTTTGTGCCAGTTGATATGCCAAGTACAAGTGCGAATACTTACAAATATTACCTTATTGAATCTTCACATAATCGCAAATAAGTAGACTATTTATTTCTTTTTACAGATAAGGAAATGGAGGTCCTGGAGGTTACATGACTAGCCCAACAAGTATGACAACTCCGATATCGGCTTGCGGTTCACTCATTCAGTTTGCTGATTCAGAGATCTGTGCATTCACTCACCTGTTCCTTCTCCAGCAAGGCCTCCCCACCCTACCACCTCCTCCTTTCTTAGTTTGGCTGTCTGTGACTCACTCAACACACATCCCCAGACCTTTCTGGAACTCCAGGTTGGGCAGATTGGCCTCCACAGCAACCTGTGGATCTCTGAACACTGGGGCAAGGGCCTGGTCTCAAGCAGCTTCGTATTCTGAGATCAGTTTTTACTGAGTATTGGACCAGCCAGGATACTAACTAGTATTTATTCAGCACCTACTATGTTGAGTATAAATAGCATAGTAAAAGTAGGAAACACACAATAATACCTCAACAGAAAAATGAGTAAACCAGCGAGGTGTCACGCCTGTAGTCCCAGGTTCTTGGGAAGCTGAGGCCGGCTAAGTTCAAGGAGGATCGCTTGAGCAGGAGTTCCAGGCTGCAGCGCGCTATGATCGCGCCTGCGAACAGCCATTGCACTCCAGCCTGGGCAACAGAGCGCGACTGTGTCTCTAAAAAACAACGCAAAACAAAAAACACGGCAGAACTTAAGCATTTTGCTGCACTGCCCAGTGAAATCCATTCCATTTGACAAATACTGCCCTCTTAACATTCTTAGAATTTTTTTTTGGAGCAAGTGTTAGCGTCCCTGTTTTCAAGGAGGTGGTCAAGTATGCACAGACATCAGTAGTGACGTTTGCTGGAGACTTCCTTTAGACAAAAATGAACTTAGGGACAGCACTTAAGTTAGAGGCCAAGTCTTTGGCCAAAGTAGCCTGCCATCCTACTCCAGAGAACTGCTGTGGTTAAAAGAGGAAAAACTGTATTCTGCGATCAAGTAAGGCTCTAAACCCAGTATTAGGAAAGAACAGTAGCCTTTTGTATTAGAAAGAACACTGGCGTGGAAGTCAAAAGTTCTGGATTCTAGTGCCAGCTAGAATCTACCACGATCGTGGTAGGCAAGCTGCTCCAAAACCCAGTTTCTGGTAAATGAGAGTGATGATTACTAACTCACCTCACTGACTGTTGGGAAAAGCTAAGCTATCCTAATGTACACATTTTACCAGATGCTACTTCATTATTAATTATTAATGATCTCAAAACACCAGTTGTGGCCAAGCACAGTGGGTCACACCTGTAATCCCAGCACGTTGGGAGGCTGAGGCGGTAGAATCACGTGAGTCCAGGAGTTTGAGACCAGCCTGGGCAACATAGGGAGGCCCCGTCTCTTAAAAAAAAATTAAAAATTAGCTGGGCATGGTGGCACACACCTATAATTCCAGCTACTTGAGAGGCTGAGATAGGAGAATCACTGGAACCCAGAAGGTCAAGGCTGCAATGAGCCATCACTGTGCTACTCTACTCCAGCCTGGGCAACACAGCAAGACCCTGTGTCAAAAACCAGCACCAAAAAAGAACATAAGTTGTTCCACAGGGCTGGTTCTTCGACACATAGACACAAACTGCGATTCTGTGAAGTGTTGCTTTATAATATTGGGTTAAGGAGAAGGTCAAGGCTGCAGTGAGCCATCACTGTGCCACTCTACTCCAGCCTGGGCAACACAGCAAGACCCTGTGTCAAAAACCAGCACCAAAAAAGAACATAAGTTGTTCCACAGGGCTGGTTCTTCGACGCATAGACACAAACTGCGATTCTGTGAAGTGTTGCTTTATAATATTGGGTTAAGGATGATCTTGTCAAAATACAGTACCCTGAAAACAACATATTAGGAGAGCCAGAAGTTTCCAAAGAAAGAAAGCACACCAAAGCTCTAGAGAATTTTGAAAGTAAAAAACTTGTTTGGGGAGAAAAAAAACAAAAACAGAAAAAAGCATTACTTAAATCTTTATACACAGAAACAGAATAACCACTAGGGTAAACAAAGCAGCTATGGCTTTATTTCCCTCTACCTTCGTAACTTTGACATTCTGCCTTACAGTCTATTTTCACACAGTTTCTGTTGTTAATGGGAGCTGAGGAACAAGGTACTGACACCTTCTTATGGTTCATCAAAAGAACCTTTGACTCTGAAAGGATCTTGGATAGGATCATCTCTCCAAACTTCCTATTCATGGATCTTCTGACATTCAGTTAGCCAGCCTCTTTTCTAACACTCTCTATTAAAGTTAAGTCACTAGCCTGTGATCCCAGCACTTTGGGAGGCCAAGGCCGGTGGATCACCTGAGGTCAGGAGTTCCAGACCAGCCTGGCCATCATGGTGAAATCCTGTCTCTAGTGAAAATACAAAAATTAGCCAGGTGTGGTGGTGCACACCTGTAATCCCAGCTACTTGGGAGGCTGAGGTGGGAGGATCCTCTGATCTGGGGAGGCAGAGGTGACAGTGAGCTGAGATCACACCACTGCACTCCAGCCTGTGCGACAGAGGGAGACTCCGTCTCAATGAATAAATAAATAAATAGCCGGGCGTGGTGGCTCACGCCTGTAATCTCAGCACTTTGGGAGGCTGAGGCAGGTGGATCACTTGAGGTCAGGAGCTTGAAACCAGCCTGGCCAACGTGGTGAGACCCTGTCTCTACTAAAAATACAAAAAATTAGCCAGGTGTGTTGGTGTGCTCCCGTAATGCCAGCTACTTGGGAGGCTAAAGTGGGAGAATCACTTAAACCCGGGAGGTGAAGGATGCAGTGAGCCAAGATAGCACCACTGCACTTTAGCCTGGGCGACAAGAGCAAGACTCCATCTCAAAAATAATAAATAAATAAATAAATAAATAAATAAAGTTAAGTAACTACCTTTCAGAGCTACTATTTTCTGGGTGTTCATAAGGGCTAGAAAGTTCTTCCCTTTACAGAGACAAAATCAGCTACTTTGTAATACACACCCATTGGTCTAAGTTGTGCTTGCTGAGATTACACAGAAGAGTCCAACTCTTCTACATGATAACCCTGCGAACGTTTGAAAATAGTTATCCCACACCCACATGCCTTCTAGTTTTCAGGGTAACTACCCCACATCCTCCAACCGTTCCTCAAAAGATGTAGTTTCTAGGCCATTCATCATCCTGTTGCCCAACTTGGGCATACTCCAACTTGTCAACATCACTCTTACAGCCTGGGAGGAAATACCATCCTCCAGGTGTGATCTTAACATTGCAGAATGTACTCTGGGACTATTCCTTTCCTTGTCCCAGCCACCAGGCTTCTTTTAATGCCAGTTCATATCACATTTACTTGTTTTGGCAGCCAGGTCACATCACTGGCTCAGGTTGTATTTACTGTCAACTAAAGCCCTGGATCTCTTTTCATGTGAGGAGCACTTAAGTCAGGGTAGACTGTGTTAGCCAAGAGCATGACTAGATTCATGGCTCTGCTGCTCTTCTAATATTACCAAGAACATGGAACACAGGATTAAAAACATTCCAAACTTCTCTACTCACCCCTAACCAAAATCCTGGCAATTCAATAGTTTTAACAGAAGAAAGAAAAAATAAAAGGTTGAGCATCAGACAATGGTGTGAATTGTGAAATGCATTATCAGGTCTCTGGGCTTAGTTTTACCAAAAGGACCCACAGGGAGTCCAAATGTCCTAGATATTTACCTAGATGGGCAGCCAGGGGACTTCCCTCTTGCACTTAAGGTAAATGCTGCCAGGGCTGCTGGGACATAACTATACTTGCGGTGGTGAAAAAAATACATGGAAATATACACAGAGGCCCAATACCAATGTGTTATCAATAGAAAACTAAGTTTACTGCTGTACTTCTCTGGAAGACAAAAATGCTCAAATACAGATTTTGAAGGGAGGATCCAGCCAAAGAAAACTATAAAATGCACGATCAGGGCCAGACGCCATGGCTCATGCCTTTAATCCCAGCACTTTGGGAGGCCAAGGCAGGCGGATCACTTGAGGTCAGGAGTTCGAGACCAGCCTGGCCAACATGGTGAAACCCCATCTCTACTAAAAATATAAAAATTAGCTGGGCATAGTGGCATCCGCCTGAAATCCCAGCTGCTCAGGAGGCTGAGGCAGGAGAATCACTTGAACCTGGAAGGCAGAGGTTGCAGTAAGCCAAGATTTCACCACTATACTCCAGCCGGGGAAACAGAGCAAGATTTCATCTAAAAAAAATAAATAAATAAAATAAAAAATAAAATGCACTATGAAGTTTTCCCAGGTTGTGACAGCTTTAAAAAATGGTGGTTGGGTGTGGTGGTGGCTCAGACCTCTAATCCCAGCACTTTGGGAGGCCAAGGCAAGAGGATTCTTTAAAGCCAGAATTATGACAGCACACACCTGTAGTCCTAGCTACTCAGGAGGCTGAGGCTGGAGGATCACATGAGCCCAGGAGGTCAAAGCAGCAGTGAGCTGTGATTGCACCACTGCACAGCCTGGGCAACAGAGTGAGATGCTGTCCCCTCGACCGTTCCAAAAAAAAAAGAAAGAAAGAAAAAATAATGAAGAGCTGTTTTTTTGTTTTCGTTTTTACATTCTTATTATTGATACAATGCCTGGCATGTGGCAGGCACTCAGTAAATATTTAATGAATGAATGAATGCACTTTATTTTATTTTATTATTATTTTTTGAGACGGAGTCTCCCTCCGTCACCCAGGTTGGAGTGCAGTGGCACGATCTCGGCTCACTGCAAGCTCTGCCTCCCAGGTTCACGCCATTCTCCTGCCTCAGCCTCCTGAGTAGCTGGGACTACAGGCGCCTGCCACCACGCCTGGCTAATTTTTTTTATTTTTAGTAGAGACAGGGTTTCAACGTGTTATCCAGGATGGTCTCAATCTCCTGACCTCGTGATCTGCCCGCCTCGGCCTCCCAAAGTGCTGGGATTACGGGGTGAGCCACCGCGCCCGGCCATGAATGCACTTTAAAAAAGCATCTTGACTTTAGGAGGCCAAGGCAGGCGGGTCACAAGGTCAAGAGATCGAGACCATCATGGACAACATGGTGAAGCCCTGTCTCTACTAAAAATACAAAAATCAGCCAGGCGTGGTGGCACATGTCTGTAGTCCCAGCTACTTGGGAGGCTGAGGCAGCAGAATCACCTGAACCCAAGAGGCAGATGTTGCAGTGAGCCAAGATCACGCCACTGCACTCCGGCCTGGCGACAGAGCGAGACTCTGTCTCAAAAACAAAAAAAAAAAAAAACAAAACAAAAGCATCTTGAACTGCTCTTTCCTTATTTTAAAGAATTTTCCTTTTACTGTCACTTGTATGAATACATGAAAAGTTAACATAAAAATGTTTCTTAAGTGTAATGCACTCTTAGCTTAAGAAAGTAAAGATAACACTCCACTTATTTAAAGGTTACTTTTTGGCTAGGTGCAGTGGCTCACACCTGTAATCCCAATACTTTGGGAGGCCAAACTGTGGGAGGAGTTAGAGACCAGCCTGGGCAACATAGGGAGACTCCATCTCTACAAAAAAATTTAAAACATTAGCTGGGCATGGTAGCCAACACCTATAGCCCCAGCTACTTGGGAAGCTGAAGCAGGAGGATCTCTTGAGCCCTGGAGTTCAAGGCTGCAGTGAGCTATGATCACGCTACTGTACTACAGCCTGGGCAACAGAGCAAGATCCTGTCTCTATTAAAAAAAAATAAGTAAAATAAAAATAAAGGTTACTTTTCCAACTGTCTGATGCAGTTAGCACTAGGAAGTGGGTTTAATAGGCTCAATATAAGCCAAAATGCAAAACGGAGACTATAATCAAATGCATACTCTTCAATCAAAGAGATGTGAGGTCTTCACTCATAAGTTATTTTGTCTAGGTTTACACATAGTTCTGGCTGGTCCAAGTGCAGTGGTGTTTACAACTAATTGAAACTAATTGAACACTACCAATTAGAGATTTCTTCTTCTTTTTTTTTTTGAGACCAAGTCTTGCTCCGTCACCCAGGCTGGAGTGCAGTGGCGCAACCAATTAGAGATTTCTTTGTTCCTTTTCTACTCCCACTGCTTTGACTAGCCTTAAAAGTAATAATAAATTTACACATAATTTTAATAGATTTACTTGTCTGGTTTCCCAGACTAAGAAGCAAATAAGAAGAACAAAGAGGTTGCTTGAGGCAGAGCATGACAAGAGCAGAAAACAAAACACCATAGGTTAATAGAATAGAAGGAAAAGATAAAAAGGAGTCAGAAAACAAAACTTTAGATTATGCACAGTAAATTAGTAGTCTTTCCTTATAAGGCATAGAAGTGCCAGGAAATAGGCCAGGCGCAGTGGTTCACACCTGTAATCCCAGCACTTTGGGACGCTGAGGCAGGTGGATCACCTGAGGTTGGCAGTTCGAGACCAGCCTAACCAACATGGAGGAACCCCGTCTCTACTAAAAATACAAAATTAGCCAGCCGTGGTGGCACATGCCTGTAATTCCAGATACTCAAGAGGCTGAAGCAGGAGAATTGCTTGAACCCAGGGAGCTGAGGTTGCAGTGAGCCGAGATCATGCCATTGCACTCCAGCCTGGGCAACAAGAGCGAAACTCTGTCTTAATAATAATAATAATAATAACAATAATACATTAATTCCTTTGAACTGGAGCTGCAAGGTAAAAGAAAGAATAAAAATATAAAAATATTTTTAAAATTCTTAAGTTTCAAATTATGTACCATTCTGAGTAGCATAATGAAATCCCAGGGTGGTCCATCTTGCCCAGGAAGTGAATCATCCCTTTGTCCACGGTATCCATGTTGTATATGTCCCCAACATTTTTCCACAGACCAGAATGGGGGGATGGTTTTCATATGATTCAAGTGCATTACATTTATTGTGCACTTTCTTTCTATTATTATTGCATTGTAACATATAATGAAATAATTATACAACTCACCATAATGTAGAATCAGCAAGAGCCCTGAGCTTGTTTTCCTGCAACTAGACGGTCCCATCTGGGGGTGATGGAAGACAGGGACAGATATCAGGCATTAGATTCTCCTAAGGAGCAGGTAGCCTAGATCCCTTGCATGCGCAGTTCACGATAGGGCTCGCATTCCTATGAGAATCTATCTAATGCCACTGCTGATCTGACAGGAGGCAGAACCCATGCGGTAATGCCAGCAATGGGGAGCGGCTGTAAATACAGATGAAGTTCACTCACTGGCCCGCCGCTCACCTCCTGCTGTGTGGCCCGGTTCCTAAGAGGCCATGGAGTTCAGTACCAGTCCCTTGCCTGGGGGACTGGGGACCCCTGTTATATGCAACTCTACTGTCAGTCACTTAGTAGTTGTCTGCATTATCAGATCAACTGTTAACAGTATCGCAGTGCTTGTATTCAAGTGACCCTTATTTTACTTAAAAATGAATGGCCTCAAAGTGCAAGAGCAGTGATGCTGGCAATTAGGATATACCAAAGAGAAACCATAAAGTGTTTCTTTTAAGTGAAAAGGTAGACGTTCTTTTTTTTTTTTTTTGAGACAGGGTCTTGCCAGGCTGGAGTGCAGTGGCGCTATCATGGCTCACTGCAGCCTCCCAGGTTCAAGCGATCCTCCCAGCTCAGCCTACCAAGTATCTGAGACTACAAGCATAGGCCACCACACCCACTTAATGCTTGTATTTTTTTTGTAGAGATGAGGTCTCCCCATGTTGCCCCGACTGGTCTCAAACTCCTAGCCTCAAGTAATCTTCCTGCCTTGGCCTCCCAAACTGGTGGGTTTACAGGTGTGAGCCACGGTGCCTGGCCAAAAGTTCTTGACTTAATAAGCAAAGAAAAAACTCATATGCTGAGGTTGTTAAGATCTACAGTAAGAACAAATCTATCTGTGAAATTGTGAACAGTATTGTTATACTTGTTACATTTGTTATCAATTATTAATCTATTACTGTGCCTAATTTATAAGCTAAACTTTATCATTATGATGTTTTATATATAGGGAAAAACTTAGTGTATATATGGTTTGGTACTATCTGCAGCTTTAAGCATCTACTGTGGGGCCTTGGAACATATTCCCTATGGAAAAGGGGAAACTACTGTATCTATTCTATGCCTGTGTGACCATTGTATTTTGGAAGCACATAGTTATCTGATTCAGAAGATCGTAGCTGGAGAGGAATTTTGTCTTAGGTTGACTCTGCCTCAAGTGTCACTCATATCTGATTTAGACGGTATTTAAATAAGTGTTTCAACTTCAGGTAGAGTTGATGGTGGAACAAGATAAGACTTTTCGAGTTATTGGGATGGAATGGTTTTTTTTTTTTTTTTTTTTTTGAGACGGAGTCTCCCTCTGTCACCCAGGCTGGAGTGCAGTGGTGTGATCTCTGCTCAAGGCAACCTCCGCCTCCTGGGTTCAAGCGATTCTCCTGCCTCAGCCTCCTGAGTAGCTGGGATTACAGGTGTGCACCACCACGCTCGGCTATTTTTTGTATTTTTAGTAGAGACGGGGTTTCACCATGTTGGTCAGGCTGGTCTCGAACTCCTGACCTCGTGATCCACCCGCCTCGGCCTCCCAAAGTGCTGGGATTACAGGCCTGAGCCACTGCGCCTGGGGGAATGGATGTATTTTTGCATGAGAGGACATGAATTTTGGGGGGCAGGAGTAAAATGTTATGAACTGAATGTTTGTGTTCCCCGAAAATTCATACATTGAAGCCCTAACCCGCAATGTGATGGTATTTGGAAGTGAGGTCTCTTGGAGGTCATTAGGTTTAGATAAGTTCATGAGGGTGGGGGTCCCCCCATGATGAGATTAGTGTACTTACTAGAAGAGGAATAGAGACTAGAGCTTGCTGTCTCTCCACCATGTGAGGATGTGAGGACACAGTGAAGACGCTACCATTTTCAAGCCAGGAAAACAGGCCTCACCAAGAATCGAATTGCTTGGCACTTTATCTTGAACTTCCCAGCCTCCAGAGCTGTGAGAAATAAATACATGCTGTTTAAGCAACCTAGTCTGTGGAATTTTGTTAGGGCAGCAGAGCTGACCAAGACAGCCATTATCCATTATTCCCTTTCTCCTTAGTAATGCAGGCTGGCCAGGCACGGTGGCTCATGCCTGTAATCCCAGTACTTTGGGAGACTGAAGTGGGAAGATCACTGAAGCCCAGGAGTTCGAGACCAGCCTTGGCAACATACTGAGACCCTGTCTCTAAAAAAATAAATAAATAAATAAATATATATATATATATATATATATATATATATGTATATATACACACACATATACATACACATACATACACATATATATACACACACAGATACACATCACACACACACACACAAATATGTATGTAATACAGGCTGGTTAAATCTGGGGTGGTACTGATCCCAAGTAAAATACTGTATTTCTCAGACTCCATTGAAGATATATGTAACCATATGAAAAATAAGTGCTGATCAGAATACCTGGTTATATCCTTCAAGAAGCAAGCAGAAAAAAATAAATAAAGTAAGTACTTGTTGCCCTTTTGGAGTTTTCTGTTTTTGGGGTTTTTGTTTGTTTGTTTGTTTTTTTGAGACAAGGTCTCACTTGTTGCTCAGGCTGGAGTGCAACGGTGCTATCTCAGCTCACTGCAGTTTCTGCCCTGTGGGTTCAATTGATCTACCTCAGCCTCCTAAGTAGCTGGGACTATGAGTATGCACCACGACACCCAGCTAATTTTTGTATTTTTGCAGAGATGCGGTTTTTCCATGTTCCCCATGTTGGTCTTGAACCCCTGGACTCAAGAGGTCTGTCCGCCTTGGCCTGCCAAAGTGCTGGAAATAGAAGCATGAGCCACCTCGCCCATGCTTGTTGCCCTTTTACCCCTTTGCTTCCTCCTACTGCCATCCTGGACATGAAGGCCAAAATTTCAGCAGCCATTTTGGGACTATAAAGAAAATATCAAGAGAGTCACATCCATAAGGTGCCAAACCAATGCCAGCAACAGTCTGCCTCTGAACCTCTCGTCACACAAGAAAAACTAACTTATCTGTTTAAGGCACTGTTACTTAGATCTGTCACTGGCAGCCAAATGCAATTTGTAACTGACGTAAGTCAGCTTTTTCATTAGAACTTTTACCATGTGCAAAACTACATCAGAAAGTTCAAATAGTATGTAGAAGTTAGAAACAAATTTGTGTTTAGAGTTGACTTCTTAATTACTTTTATATAAAAACAGACTTGAAAATAGGTTTGTTCTTTTGAAGAAAGACTAGTAGTACTCAGCATTCACTTTGTTCAAATTCTCTCAGTATTCCAAATAACTTTGATGTGGGAAGAGAAGAGGAACCTTACTTGACTTTTGGTGATTGACACTTAATATGTAATGTTGGATTTTTTATTTAGCAGGGAGAGTTGGTGAAGTTAATGATGTACTATTTTTGGAAGATAATTATGAAAAGGGCTTGAAAATCTTATGCTTGGGCACTTTGGACTTCTTTTTAAACTTGCTCTTTGGAGTAAATCAGAGAGAAACAGAAAAGTCTGCTGTTCCTGAATTAAAGGCTTTTGAATTATCTGGGAAATGGTTAAAATGCAAATTCTCATGTGTCATCCCAGAACCACAACTTAAGAAACAGTAAAAAAATTAAAAAAAAAAAATAGACTGCTCGGTTGACCAGATGCCCATTGAATTTTTTTTTTTTTTTGAGAGACAGAGTCTTGCTCTGTCACCCAGACTGTAGCACAGTGGTGTGATCATAGTTTACTTACTGCAGCCTCAATATCCTGGCTCAAGCAATCCTCCCACCTCAGCCTCCCAAGTAGCTAGGACTATAGGTACATGCCACCACACCCAGCTAATTTTAAAAAAAATTTTTTAGAGGTGGGGGTCTCACTATATTGCTCAGGCTGGTCTTGAACTCCTGACCTCAACTGATTCTTCTGCCTTGGCTTCCCAAAGTAGTGAGATTACAGGCGTGAGCCATGGTGCTTGGCCCCTGTTGAAATTTATAAGAAATTACAGAAGACACTGAATAAGAGCAGGTCTATGAAGACAGTGTGATCCTTTGACCTGGGAGGCAGAGACCCTTTCAGAGTGCCCATGAGGTCAAAATTTGTCATAATGGCCAGGCACAGTAGCTCATACCTCATGCTGTAATCCTAGCACTTTGGGAGTCTGAGGCAGGAGAACTGCTTGAGGACAGGAGTTTGAGACCAGCCTGGGCAACATAGTGAGACCACATCTTTAAAGGAAAAAGAAGAAAAAAATTGTCGTAACAACGTTAAGATACTATTTGGTACAAAAAGTAGCCAGGTGTGGTGGCGTGCATCTGTAATCCCAGCTACTTGGGAGGCTGAGGCAGGAGAATCGTTTGAACCTGGGTGGCAAAGGTTGCATGAGATAAGATCACATCACTGCACTCCAGCCTGGGCAACAGAGCAATATTCTATCTCAAAAAAAGACATTATTTGGCCTTTTTCACAATTCTCAAGTAAATAGTGGAGTTTCCAAGTGACTACATGACAGGTACACAATGGAATTAATGGAACGCAGAAGTACATAAGAACCTAGATCTCTTTTATTAAAGAGATCATGACACTTTTAATTAATACAAGTATTGATAATCCATATAACAAAACTTTTTTCATGTCCAGTTTTTCTGACAACCAAAAAATTGCCTAATTAGCAAATTAAACTGGTGTATTTATGAATTAAAGTAAAGATTACTATTTTTTCTTAAATATTTTTGTTTTGGCCAGGAGCAGTGGCTCACACCTATAATCTCAGCACTGTGGGAGGCTGAGGCGGACTGATTGCTTGAGGCCAGGTATGTTCAAGACCAGCCTGGGCAATGTGGTGAAACCCTGTCTCCACTAAAAATACAAAAAAGTAACCAGGTATGGTGGCATGCACCTGTAGTCTCAGCTACTCAGGAAGCTGAGGTGGGAGGATTGCTTGAGCCTGGGAGGTCGAGGCTGCAGTGAGCCAAGATCGTCCCACTGCACTCCAGCCTGGGCAATGGGAGTGAGACCCTGTCTCAAACAACAACACAAAGTTCTGTTTTGCAAAACTAGGATTTTGTTGTTGTTGTTGTTGTTAGTTTAGTTATGGAGTCCCACTGCCTTTACTTGCCCATCATCCATTGTACCCTCTTCTGCTTAAGAGTCCCCAGTTTTCGACGAGGCACAGTGGCTCACACCTGTAATCCCAGCACTTTGGGAGGCCAAGGTGGGAGGATCCTCTGAGGTCAGGAGCTTGAGACCAGCCTAGCCAACATGTTGAAACTCCATCTCTATTAAAAATACAAAAATTAGGCGGGAGTGGTGGTGTGCGCCTGTAATCCCAGATACTCGGGAGACTGAGGCAGGAGAATCACTTGAACCCAGGAGGCGAGACTGCAATGAACCGAGATCGTGCCACTGCAAGCCAGCCTGGGAGACAGAGGGAAACTCCGTCTCAATAAATAAATAAATAAATAAAAAAGTCCCCAATTTTCTAATGGGGAGCCACCTCCCCAGTGATCTCAGTCCATGAGGTTCAAGAGGAGGTAAGCACTACTCCTGGATTCCAGCATGCGCATGTAACCCAGGCCTAGACAATCAGTGTATTCTATATACCTAGAACAATGATGGGTGCAGGCATATCCCCATGCATGACCCGATCAAACAATGCAACTCAACTCTGGGGGTCATTAGAACTGTTCTGAAGGAGGCACTGTCCTGACACTGGGATTGCTGAAAGGATAGAATATAAGCTTGGAGCCTTATCACTCTAAAGGAAGAGCATACCCAACAAAGAAAACGCCAAGAAATAGAAAGAGGAAGACAAAGTCCAAATGACATCATTCAACCCTGGATTCAGCCAAGGCTGAACTTTTCACATACATGAGTCAATAAATTTTCCTTTTAGATTGAAGCCAGCTTGAGCTAGATCTTCTGACATGTGCAACTGTAAGAGTCCTGACTAATATGATTACACATGGTTAATAGTCCTGATTCATTACATTAGTCTTTTAAGTCCTGATTCATTACATTAGTCTTTTACCATGCCAAGTGCTTATATAAAATCTTCCCGGCAGGGCACAGTGGCTCACACCTGTAATCCCAGCACTTTGAGAGGCCGAAGTGGGCGAATTGTCTGAGGTTGGGAGTTTGAGACCAGCCTGGCCAATATGGTGAAACCGGGTCTCTATTAAAAATACAAAAAATTTGAGGCTGGGTGCGGTGGCTCATGTCTGTAATCCCAGGACTTTGGGAGGCTGAGGTGGGCAGATCACGAGGTCAGGAGATTAAGACCATCCTGGCTAACACAGTGAAACCCCATCTCTACTAAAAATACAAAAAATTAGCCGGGCATGGTGGCGGGCGCCTGTAGTCCCAGCTAGTTGAGAGGCTGAGGCAGGAGAATGGCCTGAACCTGGGAGGCGGAGCTTGCAGTGAGTGGAGATCACGCCACTGCACTCCAGCCTACGCGACAGAGTGAGACTCTGTCTCAAAAAATAAAATAAAATAAATTTAAAAATAAATAAATAAAATAAAATTAGCCCAGCTTGGTGGTGCACGCTTGTAATCCCAACTATTCAGGAAACTGAGACGGGAGAATCGCTTGAGCCCGGGAGGCGGAGGTTGCAGTGAGCCAAGATCGCGCCACTGCATGCCAGCCTGGGCAACAGAGTAAGACTCTCTATCAAAAAAAGATAAAAATAAAAAAGGAATCTTCCCTTAGAGTTTATTTGCCCCCAAAAAAGCCATATGATACAATAGTTACCTAATGAATTGTTTCTGGATTTTTATATCCTAAAATAATCTACAAAAACAACCTAAGGGTCCATCAGCAGATGAATGGATAAATAAAATATGGTACAGATACAATGGGGTACAATTCAGCCATAAAAAGGAATGAGATCCTGTCATTTGCAACAATATGGATGGAACTGGAGGTCATTATGTTAAGTGAAATAAGCCAGACACCGAAAGACAAACCACATGCTCTCACTTACTTGTGGGAGCTAAAAATTAAAACAATTGAACTCATGGAGACAGAGTAGAAGGATGGTTACCAGAGGCTGGGGAAGGTAGTGGAGGCATAGGGGGAAGTGGGGATGGTTAATGGGTATGGAAAGTAGATGGGGATGGATACCCCCATTTACCATGATGTGATTATTATGCATTGCACGCCTATATCAAAATATCTCATGTACCCTATAAGTATATATACCTACGGTGTACCTACAAAAATTTTAAAATAAAATAATCTACAATTTTTTTTTTTAAGACAGAGTCTCACTCTGTTGCCCAGGCTGGAGTGCAGTGGCGCCATCTCAGCTCACTACAATCTCTGCCTCCTGGGTTCAAGCGATCATTCTGCCTCAGGCGAGTGGCTGGGACTACAGGCAGTTACCACCATCCTTGGCTAATTTTTTTCTTTTTTTTTTTTTTTTGAGACGGAGTTTCGCTCTTGTTGCCAAGGCTGGAGTGCAATGGCGCAATCTCAGCTCACCGCAACCTCTGCCTCCCGGATTCAAGCCATTCTCCTGCCTCAGCCTCCTGAGTAGCTGGGATAACACGCATGTGCCACCATGCCCGGCTAATTTTGTGTTTTTAGTAGAGACGGGGTTTCTCCATGTTGGTTAGGCTGGTCTCAAACTCCCGACCTTAGGCGATGCGCCCACCTCGGCCTCCCAAAGTGCTGGGATTACAGGTGTGAGACACCATGCCCGGCCAACAAATTATTTTTAATAGGATAAAATAGGGGAAATATCATTACTATAATATAATCATTATCACCTAGTAAAGGATATTTATCTCACCAAAAAATAAACAATTCTCATGAAAAATAATCTTCAAAACAAAAAGAGACAGCGGTTGGGCGTGATGGCTCATGCCTGTAATCCCAGGCTGGTGGATCACCTGAGGTCTGGAAGGAGGCCGAGGCTGGTGGATCACCTGAGGCTGGAGTTTGAGACCAGCATGGCCAACATGGTGTAACCTAGTCTCTACTAAAAATACAAAAATTAGCTGGCTGTGGTGGTGCATGCCAGTAATCCCAGCTACTCAGGAGGCTGAGGAAGGAGAATCACTTGAACTGGGGAGGCAGAGGTTGCAGTGAGCTGAGCTCACACCACTGCACTCCAGCCTGGGCGACAGAGGGAACTCCGTCTCAAACAAAAACAAACAAACAAAAAACAACAAAAACCAAAAAGAGATAGCTCAATTCATTCTCCCCTCCTTCAAATATTTGTTTCATTTGTGAAAAATGCAATGCTAAACTCTGAGGGAGAGCAAACTGAGTAAGATTTTTTTAGGACTTTATAATTTAGCAGGACAGATAAAACATGTATGCAAATAAGTTATTCAGTGTTCCCTGAGAATTACAGAATAAAAATAAATAATATCTAGAAGAGGTTTAAAAAATCTGTAATATTATTAAAGCTGTAAGAGTTTTTGGAGATGTGACAATTCTGTCAACACGTGTGGAGGAAATTACAGTTCAGCGAGCCAGTGACTTAGTTCCCATAGCAAGTCAGTGGCAAAATCCCACTAGAAAACAGACCTCTTAGACACAGTCCAACATTCTTTCTTATTACCCCACCCTACCTCTGTTAGAAGAGAAGCAAAATACCAAGAAGTTTCTTGAACTATAATTTTTCTTCAGCACAACCTGAAATGGAGAGAGAATCTCCAAGACCACACTAAAATAAGTGTGATTCTCTCTCTCTCTTTTAAAAAATCATTTATAGAGGTACAACAGCCAAGACTCTGCCTCAGTTCTCAGAGTTTGGCTTCAACTTTCTGTCATGGTTTTTCTCTCATTGACTTTTGTTTTTTCTTGAATGTGCAACGACTTTGCCTGAGCAAAATCCCAAACAGCTTGTTTTGAACATGTTTGTTCTCTTCTCTCTTCTGGGCAAACTAATGGAGTCTGGGAGTGCAAACGTTAGTTACCTAAGTTAAACTTAATCCAGGAAGTCTTCTTTGGCTGATTTCCCACTTTGGCAGTGCCAGCCTGAACAAAAGACTTAAACACTGCAAATTCTAATTATCTTGTGAGTAAGAGCTTTGTCTACAGGAAGTAAAGAAAATACAAATATTCAAAACTAGCAGTGTTATTCCTAGACATCTTCTTGTCAAGAACTTACAAAGAGGACTTGTTCTCATTAGAAATAATTGCTGTGAAGTACAATTTTTACAGTGTTACTGAGATGGCAACTCCCTACAAATAATTTGAGAGAGTGGATTAAAAATTTGGTTTTAAAGAACAAAGTAGAGGTCTCATACTCCCTGTTTTCGAAACTTACTACAAAGCTACAGCAATCAAAACAGTGTGGTACTGGCATAAAGACAGACCAATAGAGTACCATACAGAGCCCGGAAACAAACCATTGCATAGTCAAATGATTTTTGACTACAGTGCTGAGACCATTCAATGGGGAAAGGACAGTCTTCAAGAGCAAAGGTACTGGAAAACTGTATACCCACATGCAAAAGGATGAAGTTGCACCCTTACCTTTTAACATATATGAAAAACAATTCAAAGCCAGGCATGGTGGCCCATGGCTGTAGTCTCAGCTACTGGGAAAGCCGAGGCAGGAGGATCACTTGAGTTCAGGAGTTCAAGGCTGCAGTGAGTTATGATCATGCCACTGCATGCCAGTCTTGGTGACAGAGTAAGACCATTACCCCCTACTGCCCTGAATCCTCAAAATGGATCAAAGACATAAACATAAGAGCTAAAATTGTAAAGCTCTTAGAAGAAAACATAGGAGAAAAGCTTCACGATACTGGATTTGGCAATGATTTATTGATATGATGCCAAAAGAACAGGCAACAAAAGAAAAAAGAGATAAATTGGATTTCATCAAAATTAAACACTTTTATATATCAAAGGATACCACCAACAGAGTAAAAAGGCAACCCACAGAATGGGAGAAAATATTTGCAAATCCTTTATCTGATAAGGAATTAATATCCAGAATATATAAAGAAC
This sequence comes from Homo sapiens, assembly GCF_000001405.40. Lineage (NCBI taxonomy): Eukaryota > Metazoa > Chordata > Mammalia > Primates > Hominidae > Homo > Homo sapiens. The sequence continues at coordinate 57,710,726 of NC_000003.12, forward strand.
TCCTATAACTCAACAACATAAAAACCAACAACCCAATTCAAAAATGGGCAAAGGACTTGAACAGACATTTCTCCAAAAAAGACATACAGATGGCCAATAAACACTTGAAAAGACGTTCAGCATCACTAATCATTAGGAAAATGCAAGACAAAGCCACAATGAGATACCACTTCGCATCCATTAGGATAGCAAAAGAAAGAGAGAGAGAAAGGAAGGAAGGGAGGGAGGGAGGGAGGAAGGGAAGAAGGGAGGAAGAGAGGGAGGGAGGGAATATTAAATTCTGGCAAGGATGTGGAGAAATTGGAACACTTGTTTGTTGTCAGGGGAATGTAAAATGGTGCAGCCTCTGTGGAAAATACTATGGAGTTTCCTCAAAAAAAAAAATTTTTTTTTTTGAGATGGAGTCTAACTTTGTCACCCAGGCTGGAGTGTAGTGGCGTGATCTCGGCTCACTGCAACCTCCACCTCTCAGGCTCAAGTGATTCTCCTGCCTCAGCCTCCCGAGTAGCTGGGATTACTCAGCCTCCCAAGTGGCGGGGACTACCGCCACGCCCAGCTAATTTTTGTATTTTTAGTAGAGACGGGGCTTCACCATGTTTGTCGGGCTGGCTTCGAACTCCTGACCTCAAGTGATCCACCTGCCTTGGCCTCCCAAAGTGCTGGGATTACAGGCATGAGCCACCGCGCCTGGCAAAAAATTAAACATATTCATAAATTTAGCTATGATGCAGCTTGCATGCTTTCTCCTTTTCCTTAATTATGTGAAACTGAAGAGTTGCTTGTCTTGTTTTCCTTTATAGAACTTTGTTTTTTCTTTTTCTTTTTTTTTTTTTTCTGAGACAGGATCTGGCTCTGTTGCCCAGGCTGGAGTGCAGTGGCACAATCTTAGCTCACTGCAACCCCCACTTCCTGGGCTCAAGCCATCCTCCCACCTCAGCCTCCCGAGTAGCTGGGACTACAGGGGCACAGCATCACACCTGGCTAATTTTTGTATTTTTTGTAGAGATGAGGTTTTGCCATGTTGCCCAGACTGATCGTGAACTCCTGAGCTCAAGTGATCTGCCCATCTTGGCTTCCCAAAGTGCTGGGATTACAGGTGTGAGCCACCATGCCCATTCAGAAGTTTTTTTCTTAATGTGAAAGTAATTTGACCAAGTTTTTTTTTCTTTTTTTTGTTCATTTTGAGATGGAGTCTCACTCTGTCACCCAGGCTGGAGTGCAGTGGCGCAACTGCAACCATCGCTTCCTGGGTTCAAGCTATTCTCCTGCCTCAGTCTCCCGAGTAGCTGGGACTACAGGCACTTGCCACTACACCCAACTAATTTTTGTATTTTAGTAGAGATGGGGTTTCACCATGTTGGCCAGGCTGGTCTTGAACTCCTGACCTCAAGTGATCCACCCGCTTCGGCCTCCCTAAGTGCTGCAATTACAGGCGTGAGCCACCGTGCCCGGCCTTGACCGAGTTATGATGCATTATTCTCTTTTTTAAAAAATCCCCTCCTTAAACAGAGCTATAAAGTGGCCAAATCTGAGAACAATCACATTCATTTTAGTTATAATAAATTTAATATTTGTAAATATAAAAAAGTTTAAACACAAAATTACAATATGATCCAGCAATTCCACTTCTAGGTATATACTTGAAGTGAAAGCAGGGACTCAGACAGATATTTGCATACCAGTGTTCATAGCAGCTTTATTTACAATTGCCAAAAAGTGGAAACAACCCAAATGTCCATCTGAAAATGAATAGACTTTTTGCTGTTGTAGAGACAGGAGTCTACCTATGTCACCAAGCTGGTCTCAAACTCCTGGCCTCAAGTTTTAAAGCAGAGTTTATTAAAAAGCTTTAGAGCAGGAACAAAAGGAAGTACACTTGCAAGAGGTTTCAAGTGGGCAACCTGAGAGATCAAGCACACAGTTTGACTTTTGACTTGGAGTTTTGTTTTTTTTTTTTTTGAGATGGGATATGGGATCTTGCTCTGTTGCTCAGGCTGGTCTTGAACTCCTGGGCTCAAGCAATGCTCCCACCTCAGTCTCCCCAAGTGCTAGGATCGCAGGTGTGAGCCACCACACCAGGTCTGACTTGGAGTTTTATGCATTGGCATGCTTCTGGAGGGTTGTGTCCCTTCTGCCCTGACTCTTCCCTTTTGGGGTAGGCTGTCGGCATGCAAAGCGGCCTGCCAGCACTTGAGAAGGGCCACATGCGCAGTGTGTTTACTGAAGTTGTATGCATGCTCAGTTGAGGCATTTTTCCCTTACCAGTTGTGTGTTTATACTCCGCCATTTTGCCTCTTAGTGACTTGAGGCATTTTTCCCTTACCAGTCAAGTGTTCCTAAGGAAGGTCACATACCAGTTAAACTCTGCCATTTTGCCTCTTAGTGCACATGCTTGAGGCTACTCACTCAACTCCTGAGATGTTTTATTTTATTTTATTTTACTTTATTTTATTTTATTTTTTGAGATGGAGTTTCACTCTTGTTGTCCAGCTGGAGTGCAGTGGCATGATCTCAGCTCACTGCAACCTCCGCCTCCCTGCAACCTCCGCCTCCCAGGTTCAAGCGATTCTCCTGCCTCAGCCTCCTGAGTAGCCCCCACCACCACATCTGGCTAATTTTTGTATTTTTAGTAGAGACGGTGTTTCACCATGTTGGCCCAGCTGGTCTCAAACTCCTGACCTCAGGTGATCTGCCCACCTCGGCAGATGCTGAGATTACAGGCCTGAGCCACCACACCCGGCCAACTAATTATTATTTCAGAGAGGCAGTTTAACAAGCGCCTGACCATTAGGCGCGGTTTAACAAGTGCCTGATGGTTGCGACGTTCCTGGATGTTGGGGGCTCTCTCCTTCCCTGCTCATGTCTAACTAACTACCAACTGTAACAACTGGAAAAGACAAATATTGTATTCCACTTATATGGGGTACCTAGAGCAAACAAACTCATAGAGACAAAGTAGAATGGTGTCTGCCCGGGGCTAGAGGGAGGAGGGAATGGGACGTTGTTATCTAATTAATGGACGTACGTTTCAGTTAGGGATGATGAAAAAGTTTTGGAGATGAGTAGTGGTGATAGCTACACAATAACAGGAATGTACCTAATGCCACCGAACTGTACATTTTAAAATGGTAAATGTGATGTTATATATATATTTCAAAAAAAAAAGAAAAATGTTGACCAGGCACAGTAGCTCATACCTGTAATCCCAGCACTTTCGGAAGACAAGGCAGGAAGATCATTTGAGCCCAGAATTCGAAACCAGCCTGGGCAAACAGTAGGACCTTGTCACTACAAAATAAAAAAATAGCCGGTGTGGTGGAGTGCACCTGTAGTCCCAGCTACTCTGGATGCTGAGGTGGGAGGATTGCTTGAGCCCAGGGAGTCGAGGCTACAGCAAGCCATGATCCCACCACTGCACTCCAGCCTGAGCAACAGAGTGCAACCCTGCCTCGAAAAATTTTTTTTTTTGTTTTAGGCACATATTTATTGAGAATAATTTTCAAGAATAAAGGTTGTTTATCTGTAGGGCTTTTTCCCCCACAGGTTAATATGCACTTTGAAGTTTCATTCATTCATTGCTGAATGTGTGCTTTGAAGTTCTATTCACAAATGTTCATTGACAACTTGCTGAAGTTGCAACAGTGAGCAAAACAGACATAGCTGCAGCCACAACAGAGCTTACTATTTATTGGGGGAAATAGGTAAAAAGAAGTTAAATAAATAGGTTGGGTGTGGTGGCTAATGCCTGTAATCCCAGCACTTTGAGAGGCCAACGTAGGCGGATCACTTGAGGCCAGGTGTTCCAGACCAGCCTGGCCAACATGATGAAAACCCATCTCTACTAAAAATACAAAAAATTAACCAGGCATGGTGGCACATGCCTGTAGTCCCAGCTACTCGGGAGGCTGAGGCAAGAGAATTGCTTGAACTTGGGAGACAGAGGTTGCAGTGAGCCGAGATCACACCACTGCACTCCAGCCTGGGCGACAGGATGAAACTCTGTCTCAAAAAAAAAAAAAAAAAAAGAACTTAAACAAACATATAAAATAATGAATTATAAATGTGAAGAAGTAAACGTTGTGCTAAGATAGATTAGTGGGGGTGAGGAAGACCTACTTTAGATGGATCTGATAGTTGCTTTATTGTATGCTAGAGCTGAGTGATATAATAAAAATAAATATTTGGTCTATGACCTCGGTTCCCAGCACACAGCTCTTAAAACCCTTGGAATCTCTGGAGACATAAGAATATTTTGTGTATGCTAAAAGACGACTGGTGGGTGGGTGTCCCTAGATAGCTTCAGGATTGGGGCTAGTTTCCAGAAAGACCAAGACATGATTAGAGGCTTGGAACTTTTAGCCCCACTGCCTGATCTGTGGGGAGGGAAGAAGAACCAGAGATCCAATTAATCACCAATGCCAGTGATTTAATCATTCATGCCTACACAATGAAGCATCCATAAAAACCCTAAAGAACAAGGTTCAGAGAGATTCCTGGGTTGGTGAACACATCAAGATGCTTGGAGGGTGGCACTCCCAGGGAAGGCATGGAAGCCCTCCCCACAACCCGTACCTTGCCTTATTCATCTCTTCCATTTGACTGTTTCTGAGTTATATCTTTTATATCTAAAAAAAATATTAATAGGGCTGGGTGCAGTGGCCTACGCCTATAATCCCAGCACTTTGGGAGGCTGAGGTGAGTGGATCATCTGAGGTCAGGAGTTCAAGACCAGCCTGGCCAACATGGCAAAACCCCGTGTCTACTAAAAATACAAAAATTAGCCAGGCGTGATGGTGGGTGCCTGTAATCCCAGCTACTCGGGAGGCTGAGGCAGGAGAATCATCTGAACCCGGGAGGCGGAGGTTGCAGTGAGCTGAGATCGTGCCACTGCACTCCAGCCTAGGCAACAGAGCAAGACTCCGTCTCAAAAAATAAAATAAAATAAAACAAACCATTAATAGTAAATAAAGCATTTTCCTGAGTTATGTGAGCCATTCTAGCAAATCATGAAACATAACGAGGGAGTAATGGGAGCCTCCAGTTTATAGCTGGTTGGTCAAAAGTACAGGTGGCAAGCTGGGACTTACAACTGACATCTGAAGGGGGAGCAGTCTTGTGGGACTGAGCCTATAACTTGTGTGATCTCATGCTCACTCCAGGGAGAGTGTCAGAATTGAACTGAATTGTTGGACACTCAGTTGGTATCTGGAGAGCTGGAGAATTCGTTGGCATGAGAAAAAAACCCACACATGTGGCATCAGAGATATTGTGAGTGAAAATAGTTCAGAGGCTGCCATAACAACATACTACGAACTGGGTGGCTTAAACAACCGAAATTTATTTTCTCACAGTTCTAGAGGTTAGAAGTCCAAGATCAAGGTGCTATCAGAGTTAGATTTCTGGTGAGGCCTTTTTTCCTGGCTTATAGACAGCTGCCTTCTTGCTGTGTCCTTATGTGGCTTTTCTTCTGTATACACACACACACACACACACACACAACACACACACACACACACACACACACAGATTCTCTGTTGTCTCTCTTTTTTTTCATTCAATTTTATTTATTTTTAATTTTTAAAATTTGAGACAGGGTCTTGATCTGTCCCCCAGGCTGGACTGCAGTGGCGCGATCTCAGCTTGCTGCAGCCTTGACCTCCAGGACTCAAGTGATCCCCCACTTCAGCCTCCCGAGCAGCAGGGACTACCGACACACTCTACACACTCAGCTATTTTTTTTTTTTTTTTTTTTTGTAGAGACAGAGTATTACTATGTTGCCCAGGTCTCAAACTTCCAGGCTCAAGCAATCCTCCCACCTTGGCCTCCCAAAGTGTTGGAATTATAGGCATGAGCCACTTTACTTGGCCTCTGTTGTCTCTTCCTCTTCTTCTTTTTTTTTTTTTTCTTTTGAGATGGAGTTTTGCTCTTGTTGCCCAGGCTGGAGTGCAGTGGAGCAATCTCGGCTCACTGCAACCTCCACCTCCCAGGTTCAAGCAATTCTCCTGCCTCAGCCTCCCGACTAGCTGAGATAACAGGTGCCTGCCACCATGCCTGGCTAATTTTTTTTGTATTTTTTAGTAGAGACAGAGTTTCACCATGTTGGCCAGGCTGGTCTCAAACTCCTGACTTCAGATGATCCACCCGCCTCAGCCTCGCAAAGTGCTGGGATTACAGGCGTGAGTCAACGTGCCCTGCCTGTCTCTTCCTCTTCTTATAAGGACAAAAATCCTATTGGATTAAGGCTCAACCCTTATGACCTCATTTAACCTTAATTACCTCACTGAAGGCCCTATCTCCAAATACAGTCACATTGGGGGTTAGAATTTCAACATGAGAATTTGGGATGAGGGACCTAATTCAATCCATAACAGATAGTTAATGGGGGAAGGCCTCTCAGAGGAGGTGACATTTCCACTGAGACCGAAAACACCTACAGGAACTTGTTATGATAGGAGCCAGAGGAAGGTCACTACAGAGCAGAAATGTGTGCAGAGGTGAAATGTACATTTGTCATACTGTTTGAGAATACTGAGTTATGCTGCAGGAAAAAATAAAAAACAAATGGGATAGAGGAAACTCCTAAGATGAGTTAAATATAGATAAGTAATTAGTGGATAGAGCATGTGTGTTTTAAATGTAGATAAAAAGAAATGAAAGAACCAAAAATAATATTCATGAGGCATAAATATGCATGAGGGACCTAGACGCTAAATATTCATGAGAAGTTAAATATATACGAGACATTTAACATTCAGGATACACTAAATATACATGAACACTTAATATTTATGAAGTCTTAATTCAACTACTCATTGGTAATAACTATTCTGGTGCATGTGTCCTCTGCCCAAAAAACACAAACTCATAACCTGAGTAAAACCCATAGTTGTTCGGCAAGTTAATTGGCAAGCGACTGCTGTAGGCCAGGTGTACGTGTTCCTCCTGAGTCCTTCTGGTAGAACAAGTGTATGCCACTGACTCAGGGCACCTTCTGTCTGTGGGCACCTTTGCTTAAACGTCAACTTTGGTCCATCAACAGAGGAGGTTGATGCCAACAGAGAAGGGTCATACCAACATTGCATAACCCAGGATTTATGTAGTGTGAACCTTCTATGTTGTTTGCACCCTTCCCTAATTGTGTGTTAACTTACCCCATTTCTTTCCTTTTGCTTTTTGCTGTATGTTTTAAGTTGTTTTTTTGTTTTTGTTTTTGTTTTTTTTGAGATGGAGTCTCGCTCTGTCACCTAGGCTGGAATACAGTGGCACCATCTCGGGTCACTGCCATCTCTGCATCCCAGGTTCAAGTGATTCTCCTGCCTCAGCCTCCCTAGTAGTTGGGATTACAGGCATGTGCCACCATGCCTGGCTAATTTTTTTTCTGTATTTTTAGTAGAAATGGGGTTTCACCATGTTGGCCAGGCTAGTCTTGAACTCCTGACTTCAAGTGATTCACCCACCTTGGCCCTCCAAAGTGTTGGGATTACAGGCGTGAGCCATCATGCCTGGACTAAGTTGATTTAATAAACTGTATGTGATTCAAGCATTTTAATTTGGTCTGTAAGACCTTGTGTCCTTTGATCTTTGGGATAGCCTGCCTGATAGTGTAATTGAAGTTTACCATTGCATCAGGGTAATTTCCCACACAACAAAAGGCCTTAAAATAGGAAAAGCTCAATAATATGTTCCAGAACTGCAGTAGAATAGCCATTAGCCACATTTGGCTATTTAAATTTATGTTGATTAAAATTAAGAAAAAAATTAAAAATTCATTTGCTCAGGTGCACTAGCCACATTTCAAGTGGTCAATAATTATGTATGGTTGGTGAACACCAACAGACAACTGAACAGTGCAGAAGAACATTCCTATCATCACATAAAGTTCTATATTTTTAGTAGAGATGGGGTTTCACTGTATTAGCCAGGATGGTCTCGATCTCCTGACCTCGTGATCCGCCCGCCTCGGCCTTCCAAAGTTCTGGGATTATAGGTGCATCACATAAAGTTCTATTGGACAATAATGTTCTAGAAACTTAGAGGCCAGTGTGGCTAGAAGGTGATACTGAGGACAGTTGGCAAGAGATGGGTTTGGAGAGGAATGCAATGTCAATGTCATGCAGGGAATTGTGCCCCATGGTAAGAGTTTGAATTTTAGTCTAACATATATAATCTGGTTTATATCTTAAGAAGATTCGCTCTAGTTATTGGCTGAATAATAGGTTGGAAGGTGTGCAGAATATGGTTAATAGTAGGTCCAATAGCAATCCTTTGAAAATCTAGCTTAGGCTGGGCGTGGTGGCTCGTGTCTGTAATCCCAGCACTTTGGGAGGCCGAGGCGGGCAGATCACCTGAGGTCAGGAGTTCAAGACCAGCCTGGCCAACATGGTGAAATTCCGTTTCTACTAAAAATACAAAAATTGGCCAGGCGCGGTGCCTCATGCCTATAATCCCAGCACTTTGGGAGGCCGAAGTGGGCGAATCAGGAGGTCAAGGGTTCGAGAACAGCCTGGCCAACATGGTGAAACCACGTTTCTGCCAAAAATACAAAAAATTAGCTAGGCATAGTGGTGGGGGCCAAAACAAACAAAAATTATTAGCTGGGTGTGGTGGCATGCGCCTATAATCCCAGCTGCTTGGGAGGCTGAGTCAGGAGAATTGCTTGAACTCAGGAGAGGCAAAGCCTGCAGTGAGCTGAGATTGTGCCACTGCACTCCAGCCTGGGCAACAGAGCAAGACTCCATCTCAAAAAAAAAAAAAAAAAAAGAAAGAAAGAAAGAAAAAGAAAATCCAGCTTAGCTGGGGGCAGTGGCTCACACCTGTAATCCCAGCACTTTGGGAGGCTGAGGTGGGAGGATTGCTTGAGTCCAGAAGTTCGAGACCAGCCTAGACAACATGATGAAACCACATCTCTACAAAAAATTTGCCAGGGCTGTGTGTGGTGGCTCATACCTGTAATCCCAGCACTTTTGGAGGCTGAGGCGGGTGGATCACTTGAAGTCAGGAGTTCAAGACAAGCCTGGCCAACATGGTGAAACCCCATCTCTACTAAAAATACAAAAAATAGTTGGGTGTGGTGGCACACACTTGTAATCCCAGTTGCTCAGGAAGCTGAGGTAGGAGAATTGCTTGAACCCAGGAGATGGAGGTTGCAGTGAGCCGAGATTGTGCCACTGCACTCCAGCCTGGGCAACAGAGCAAGACTCTGTTTCAAAAAAAAAAAAAAATTACCCAGGAGTGATAGTGCATGCCTGTAGTCCCAGCTACTCAGGAGGCTGAGGTGGGAGGATTGCTTGAGCCCAGTAGCTCAAGGCAGCTGTGAGCTATGATCATGTCACTGCATTTCAGCCTAGGCAACAGAGTGAGACCCTATCTCAAAACAAAAAAAAAAAACAAAAAGAAAGTCCAACTTACAAGGGTGGTCCTTGGCTGGAACTTGGATCTTGGGAGGGTTTACACCACCCAACTGACAAGAATGGCTCATTGTGTCTAAACTGTATGAATGCTGTGCTTTATGCTTATCTTAGTCTATATGCAGGCTGATAAAACAAAATAGCATAAACCGTTTCTGTTCTTATAAACAACAGAAATTTATTTCTCACAGCTGTGGAGGCTGGGATGTCCAAGATCAAGGCACTGGTAGATTCAGTGACTGGTGAGGGTCTAGTTCATAGAAGGTACCTTCTTACTGAGTCCTCACATGGTAGAAAGATGAGGAGTCTCTCTCAGACCTCTTTTATTAGGGGACTAATCCCACTCTGCTCCCATGACCTAATCACATCCCACAGATCCCACCTCCTAATAACATCACCTTGTGTGTGAAGTTTTCAACATATGAATTTTGGAAGGATGTAAGTATTCAGACCACAGTAATGCTGAACACCTGCTTTCCTTTGCGGAATCAGGGATTTTGGTACATGTGAGGAATCAGGAATTTTGGTACATTTTGCATAGGCAGCGGGTGCCTATGCAACTAGCTCCCATAAAATCCTGGGGTGTGGCCAGGCGCAGTGGCTCACGCCTGTAATCCCAGCACTTTGGGAGGCTGAGACAGGTGGATCACGAGGTCAGAAGATCGAGACCATCCTGGCTAATATGGGGAAACCCCGTCTCTACTAAAAATACAAAAATTAGCCAGGCGTGGTGGCAGGCACCTGTAATCCCAGCTACTCAGGAGGCTGAGGCAGGGGAATCGCTTGAACCCGGGAGGTGGAGGTTGCAGTGAGCTGAGATCGTACCACTGTGCCACTGCACTCCAGCCTGGGTGACAGAGTGAGACTCTGTCTCAAGAAAAAAAAAAAATCCTGGGGTTCTGGGTCTTTAACAAACTTATCTGGTTGGCAACATTTCACTTGTATTGTCACAACCCATTGCTGGGAGAATTTTTTTTTTTTTTTTGAGACAGCCATTTCCCAGGCTGGAGTGCAATGGCGTGATCTTGGCTCACTGCCACCTCTGCCTCCCGGGTTCCAGTGATTCTCCTGTCTCAGCCTCCCAAGTAGCTAGGACTATAGGTGCCTGCCACCACACCCGGCTAATTTATGTATTTTTAGTAGAGACGGGGTTTCGCCATGTCGGCCAGGCTGATTTTGAACTCCTGACCTCAGGTGATCCCCCTGCCTCAGCCTCCCAAAGTGCTGGGATTACAGGTGTGAGCCACTGCTCCTGGCCGCTGGGAGAATTAAGCATGTCCCGTGTGATACCAGTGGAAGAGAACCTTTGGAAGCTTGGGCCTCGTTTCCTCTGAACTTTGCCCCATATGAGTTTTTCTTTTGCTGATTTTGCTTTGAATCTTTTTGCTGTAATAAATCACAGGTGTGAGTATGACTATATTCTGAGTCCTGTGAATCTCCTTAGTAAATAATTGAAACTGGGGGTGGTCTTGGGGACCCTGATACAGAGGAGGAGAAAATAACAATGAAGTGGGAAGACTTTGAGAGGCAATTTCAATAATTCAGATGAGAGACAACGATGGCTTGGACTAGAATGGTGACAAGATGAAGAGAAGCATAAAGATTTTCAAATATTATCATTGTTGTAGAAATACAGGCATAGAAAGGAAATCCTCAGCTGATATAGTGATGGGAAATTTGGTTCTTTGTCTCCAATTCCCCACTCCTTTTTGGGTTTTAACTTTGATTCAATTTACTAAGTATTTACATGCCTGCCTGTAATGTTCAAAGGATGAAACCACCCACATGTAGCTCATCTTCTTCACTTTCCATATCCACAAAATGTGTAAGTTTTTCCCTTGAACAGCTCTCATTTCTATTCCTTCTGTCTCTTCTCCATTGCTGGTCCCACCGTTGTATCTCTTGAGGTTCAAATTAATGCATCAATTCAGAAAGTCAGTCTTCCTAATATCAGGTTCTCACATCCTTAGCCACATCAAACATGTTCTAATTTTCCTTAATTACCAATCCATTCCCATTGCCATCACATTAAATTCCTTTTCCCCAGTTTCAAGGCTCTCCATAATCTAGTTCCATCCTATCTGGCTTAACTTCCCATCCTAGCCTTCCCTGATACTTTTCCTCCTCTCCCCGGGGCTCCACTGACCCAGTGTGATCCTTCTTACCCCAGGGCTTTAGTCATTCACTTTTATTCTTATTTTTTAGTAGAGATGAGATCTCGCTTTGTTGCCCAGGCTGGTCTCAAACTTCTGGGCTCAAGTGATCCTCTTGCCTCGGCCTCCCAAAGTGCGGGATTATGGGTTTGATCCACCCTACCTGGCCTCATTTACTTCTTATACTTTTCTCTCTCCTTATCTCTCTGATTCATGCAAGCCCCATTTTATTCATAAAGACTTTCTTTTCTTTCTTTTTTACTTTTTTGTGTTAGGGTCTCACTCCATCACCCAGGCTGGAGTGCAGTCATGACTCATGCAGCCTCGACCTCCTGGGCTTAAGTGATCCTCCTGCCTCAGCCTCCCAAGTAGCTGGAACCATAGCCATGTGCCATCACACCCATCTAAATTAATTTTTTTTTTGTAGAGATGGGGGTCTCCCTATGTTGCCCAGGGTGGTCTCAAATTCCTGGGCTCAAGCAATCCTCCTGCCTCGGCCTCCCAAAGTGCTGGGATTACAGGCACAAGCCCCCATGCCCAGCTTCCATCTTTACTTTGAGTTTCCTAAATCAAATTAAATTTGGCATTGGCTTCATCTGCCTGTCTCAGGTAATGACCAATATTCTCGTGTCCCTCCCTCCTTGAAGTATACATAAATCCTGGAAATTATGGACTCCATGAAAATTGAATGAAGAAGCATGGCCTCTGGTTTATCATTTTATGGCTTGGAGATATTCACTGGCCTCATTTTCTGTTTGAATATAAGCAGCTCTTTTGAGGGCATCTACTTCCTTTAGATCACTGGGACTTTAACTGCAGGTTCTATGGCCACTTTTCTTAGAGTTGAGGGCCCAGGCACCCATACACAACTTCAGTGGTTTTGTACCCACCAGGACAGAACTGTATTGGATCAAGACTAGTATCTCTGGACTGGCGCAGTGGCTCACACCTGTAATCCCAGCACTTTGGGAGGCAGAGGCGGGCAGATCACCTGAGGTCAGGAGTTTGAGACCAGCCTCAACATGGAGAAACCTCGTCTCTACTAAAAACACAAAATTAGCCGGGCATAGTGGCACATGCCTGTAATCCCAGCTACTCAGGAGGCTGAGGCAGGAGAATTGCTTGCACCTGGGAGGTGGAGGTTGCGGTGAGCCGAGATCGCGCCATTGCACTCCAGCCTGGGCAACAAAAGCAAAACTCTGTCTCAAAAAAAAAAAAAAAAAAAGACTAATATCTCCATTAGTCATAGACGTATATGCAATCTCATATTAGCTTCTTTTATATGGGTAAGATTTTTCTTTCAAGTTAAATTGTTTTGTAATTTATGCTTTTGTATGCCTTACTGTGCTGAACATGGTAAATCCAATAAATACTTGTCGATAGGCACAAAGAAGAGAATGCACAGTTTCTGCTTAAGGGAATTTACAACTGGCCAAGGAAATACAACCAAGAAGGGGAGGCTCAGATATGACCACAAATTAAGGAATTGTAAGATAACTAAAATGAGAATTTAAAAGGAAAGAAGTATTATAGAGGATCTAAAAAGACAAGATTGGCCGGGCGCAGTGGCTCAAACCTGTAATCCCAGAACTTTGGGAGGCCAAGGCGGGCGGATCACGAGGTCAAGAGATTGAGACCATCCTGGCCAACATGGTGAAACCCTGCCTCTAACTAAAAAAACACAAAAAAATTAGCTTGGCATGGTGGCACGCGCCTGTAGTCCCAGCTACTTGGGAGACTGAGGCAGGAGAACTGCTTGAACCTGGGAGGTGGAGGTTGCAGTGAGTCGAGACGGCGCCACTGCACTCCAGCCTGGAGACAGAGCAAGACTTCGTCTCAAAAAAAAAAAAAAGACAAGTTTATATCTTGCTGGGGTTTCAGAAAGGATACATGGAGAGGGACACATTATAGAATGCTTTTGAAGCCTTGAGCCTCTTTGAGAGAGAAAAGAAGATGTGTTTTTTACTTTCTAATTTTTTGAGATAAGTTTTTTTAAGACAAAGTCTCACTCTGTCGCCCAGGCTGGAGTGCAGTGGCGCCATCTCAGCTCACTGAAACCTCTGCCTCCCAGGTTCAAGCAATTCTCTTGCCTTAGCCTCCAGAGTAGCTGGGATTACAGGCGCCCCCCCAAGTCATGCCTGGCTAACGTTTTGTATTTTTAGTAGAGATGGTATTTGCCATGTTGGCTGGTCTCGAACTCCTGACCTCAGGTGATCTGTCCACCTCAGCCTCCCAAAGTGCTGGGATCACAGGCGTGAGCCACTGAACCCAGCTGTACTTTTTAATTTAAAACAACACTCTTGGGGGTGGATGCAGAAATCTGGACGCATTCTATTCTGTCTCCCTTTTGATCCCTCTTCATTAAGATTAGAACTTCATTCAAATTTAATTTGCAAGATATGTCATTTTATTACTTTAACATTTAATATCTATTAATGTGGCTTCAAACAGTGTAATTTAATTTCTTAACTAATAGCTACATGAGAAGCTTTCAGCCATTCTCCTCGACTTTTGTGTCAGCAGTGGAAGTCCTTGATGTAGTCACTAGTAATAAAAAGGCTGGGCTGGGAGCGGTAGCTCACGGCTGTAATCCCAGCACTTTGGGAGGCTGAGGGGGTGCGAATCACCTGAGGACAAGAGTTCAAGATCAGCCTGACCAACATGGTGAAACCCCGTCTCTACTAAATATACAAAAAAGTTAGCTGTGCGTGGTGGCACACGCCCGTAATCCCAGATACTCAGGAGGCTGAGGCAGGAGAATAGACTGAACTTGGGAGGCGGAGGTTGCAGTGAGCTGAGATTGTGCCATTGCACTCCAAACTGGGCAACAAGAGCAAAACTCTGTCTCAAAAAAAAAAAAAAAAAGGCTGACTTTTAGCCAGGCATGGTGGCAGGCACCTGTAGTCCCAGCTACTTGGGAGGCTGAGGCAGGAGAATCACTTGAACCTGGGAGGCTGAGGTTGCAGTGAGCCAAGATCGTGCCATTGCAACTGCAGCTTGAGCAACAAGAGGGAAACTCCATCTCAAAAAAAAAAAAAAATGCTGACCAGTAAACTGCAGGCACCAACCACCTGTTTCAGCACTTGTCACTGCCCCATCCTCACCTCCCAGGCCCAGAAGAATGGTATAATAAGGTCAAATTTAGCTATATAATATCACAAACTAACAAATAATACATCTGCCATTCCCCCTCCCCCTTCCCAGGTACCTTTCCAATAGGATTGACGACAAAACTGGCTGGCCTGATACAAGATACAGATGAAGGAGAACATGATGATGTAAAAAAAAGCATTAAACACAAGAAAAACATTATCTTTCATTTCATAATAAAATACTAAAAAGCAGAGAGATAAATGTTTTATTGTTAGATAGGAATTTGTATGAATATTAGTGACTGATAACTAACAAAAAATGAAATTCTAGAATCCTGTTTGCATATATTTGAAAAAGAGATGCGAGAACCACATTTGTGTGGGATCTTTCACAAGAAGCACTAACAATACGGTCATAGTTAAATTACTGTATTTCAAACAGCAGAATGCAGGTCAGGATGAGGGAGCAGGGTTAGAGCTGGAAAGAAAATTCAGTACTGAGGACAGGTAGGTAATAAGGTCAGGGACTGCATTTGTTTCTGCAGCCAGAATTTTTCTGATGATTCTTTGATGGCTGATATATATCAGATGTTAGTTTAAAAAGTGGTTTGCAGGGCCCTTCAAAAGAGTCATATTCAGCAGATGTAAGGTGGGTCTAGGAATCCGCACTCTTTTAATACACCCTCTAAGTTATTCGAATGCAAGTGATCTAGAGATTGTACCTTGAGAAACATCTAGAGCAATTGCTGCTTCAATTTTTCTATACATTTATTTATTTGATTTGAGATGGAGTTTCTCTCTTGTTGCCCAAAGTGGAGTGCAATGGCACGATCTTGGCTCACTGCAACCTCCTCCTCCCGGGTTCAAGAGATTCTCCTGCCTCAGCCTCCCTAGGAGCTGGGATTACAGGCGAGCACCACCCCATCCAGCTAATTTTGTGTTGTTAGTAGAGATGGGGTTTCACTATGTTAGTCAGGCTGGTCTCAAACTCCTGACCTCAGGTGATCCACCCACCTTGGCCTCCTAAAGTGCTGGGATTACAGGTATGAGCCACCATGCTCAGCCCAAATTTTCTATCCAAAAAGTAGAGTGTAGAAAACTTTCTAGTTGGAGAGAGTGGCTAAGGAACTTGTTCAGAAAGTTTATTTAGAATATTAGAGGTGCTAAGGGGCTCTTGAGGGAGACTGGAGGAGCCATGGGTTAAGAGATGCTTAAGAGGAGTGCTTCTTAAACCTCAAGTGCACACACATCACCAGGGATCTTGTTAAATGCATTTGCTAATTCAGTGGGACTGAGTGGGTCCTGAGAATTATGTATTTTTAACAAGCTCCCAAGTGATGATAATGCAGCTGGTCCTGGCCAGGCATGATGGCTCACACCTGTAATCCCAGCACTTTGGGAGGCTGAGGCAGGTGGATCACCTGAGGTTAGGAGTTCATGACCAGCCTGACCAATATGGTGAAACCCCATACCTACTAAAAATACAAAAATTAGCTGGGTGTGGTGGTGTGTGCCTGTAATCTCAGCTACTTGGGAGGCTGAGACAGGAGAATTGCTTGAATCTGGGAGGCGGAGGTTGCAGTGAGCCAAGATCATGCCACTGCACAGCCAAAATGACTAAATGACAGAGTGAGACTCCAACTCAAAAAAAAAAAAAGGTAATGCAGCTGATCCCAGGACCACACTTTAAATAGCAAGACTTTATACTGAAAATGGGGTATATAATGGAGAGAGATATGTTTAGACATTGTATATGAAATGGAAAACCAAAGCATAAAACACCATCAAGTTTTGAAATAAACTTAATCCAAAAGTTAAGCAAACGTGAATCTTGAAAGAGGAAATAACTGAATTAGAACCCCAGGCAGTGCAGATTGTCTAAAAGTGAATCACAAGGCTCTGACTCTCAGGTTTTCCCAGGCTCCACCCGCCCCCACGGAGCATGTTTGTTGCTTACATGAAAAGAAGGGTTATAGATAAGGTCATAGGCAAGGTCCCATCAGCTTCTATTCAAAATAGTCCATCAAAGTTTCTTAAAGAAGCTGGGTGTGGTGACGCATGTCTTTAGTCCCAGCTACTCGGGAGGCTGAGGTGGGAGAATCACTTGAGGCCAGGAAGTCAACACTGCAGTGTGCCATGATGGCGCCACTGTACTCCAGCCTGGGTGACGAGAGTGAGGCCTTGTCTCAAAAAACAAACAAACAAACAAACAAAAACAAACAAACCCAAAACAAAAACAAACATTTCTTAAACTAATTGTTTTCTCTGATTAACAAATCCACTCCCTACAAGCTAGAAAAAGCAACTTTGCAACACAGGATAATCAATTATCAAACCAAGATCTGGCTGGCGCAGTGGCTCACGCCTGTAATCCCAACACTTTGGGAGGCCGAGGCCGGCGGATCACTTGAGGTCAGGAGTTCGGGACCAGCCTGGCCAACATGGTGAAACCCTGTCTCTACTAAAAATACAAAAATTAGTTGGGTGTGGTGGCGGGCACCTGTAATCCCACCTACTCGGGAGGCTGAGGCAGGAGAATTGCTTAAGCCTGAGAGGTGGAGGCTGCAGTATGCCAAGATTGCGCCACTGCATTCCAGCCTGGGTGACAGAATAAGACTCCATCTTAAACAAACAAAAAACCCAATATCTTTTGTTTTGAGATGGAGTCTCGCTCTGTCGCCCAGGCTAGAGTGCAGTGGCACAAAACCCAATATCTTATCATAGCTTTCTCTGCTGAAAATCCCAGATGGTCCCCCTACTGTTAGGGACAAAAACCTAAATTTCTGAGCTTTTAATTCAATTTCCTCCACATTCTTCTCTGTCACTCTATTTCCAGCCCTATCTCTTGCCAATAACCAGTTTTCTCACACATTCTTAATGCAGTTCACACCCACCTACAGGGTACTTCCTACTTCTAGGCTTCTGCTCCAGTCAGTCTCTTTGCTGGAATGCCCTTTTAAAAAATATATTCTTCAAAGCCTAGCTTAAACATAATAATAATCATATGCAATAGTAATCTGTATTTACATAGTCCTTACTATTTGCTAGGCACTACATTATCTCAATGAATCCTCACCCCAACTCTGAAAGACAGGGATTATCATTTTCCATTCATTCATTCAGGAAATATTTATTGAGCCCCTAATGCGTGCCAGGCACTGCTTATGGCACAAGTCTCTTCCTTCAACAGGCTTACATTCCAGCTTTAAGAGACAAATAATAAGGCCGGGTACGGTGGCTCACACCTGTAATCCCAGCACTTTGGGAGGCTGGAGCAGGTGGATCACTTGAGGTCAGGAGTTCGAGACCAGCCTGGCCAACATGGTGAAGGCCAACATGGTGAAACCCCGTCTCTACTAAAAATACAAAAATTAACCGGGTCTGGTGGTGCATGCCTGTAATCCCAGCTACTCGGGAGGCTGAGACATGAGAATAGCTTGAACCTGAGAGGCGGAGGTTGCAGTAAACGGAGATAGCACCACTGCACTCCTGCCTGGGTGACAGAGCAAGACTCTGTCTCAAAAAAAAAAAAAAAAAAAAAAGGAAATAATAAAAAAAATAAATAAACATACAGTGTGCCAATGAAAAGTGCTGTGGAGAAAAATGAAGCAGGGTATGGGGATACTGATAAAGGGAATGGTTTGAGCTAATGGTTGGAGACAACTGACAACCATTAGCCTTGAAAATAGCTAGTGGCCAAGAAAACAGCAAGGGCAAGGAGCATGCTTGACAGGTTTGGCAAGGGTAGACGACTGAAGAGGAGGATGGTTGGGGCTGAGGTGAGAGAAGTGGGGCTAATTCACATAGAAGGGCTTTCTAGGCTAGTCTAAGAATTTTGCTTTTTTCTCCAAGTTAGATGTAAAGCCATCATGCATTTTAAAAAGTCACGGGCTAGTGCCTTGAAAAGTGATCACAAGGAGACCTGTTAGGAGGCTACTGCAAAAGCCCAGGTAAGACATGATGGACCAAGCTGCAAACAGTGGATGTGGGGAGAAAAGGTCAGATTCTGGATCTCTTTGAAGTTTCAACAGGCAGAATGTGATGACTTGCAGCTGAGAGAATGAGAGACATTCTTTACTTAGGCCAAGCAACTAAGTTTTTTGGCCTCTACAGCTGGCAGGATAGAGTTGCTATTTGTTGCTATCTTATAAAGAATTTGAGGTTTAAGGAGGTTACATAACACCCCCAAAGTCAACTGTCTAGTTCTCTGTTACAGGTTTATCTGGAAAGATTGAGCAGCAGTTCCCCTTCTCCCCATCTCCTAAGAAACTAGCCTGGGCTAGAGTTTTACCTTTCCCTTGACCTAAAGAATTAATAGGCCTTTGTTTTCCAAGAACTTTTTGCTAACGTAAAGAAAGGATGAATCGCACTGAGTCTGGGGAAGGGTTGTGGGATTTTTTTTTTTTTTTTTTTTGAGATGGAGTCTTACTCTGTCACCCAGGCTGGGGTGCAGTGGCGCAATCACGACTAACTGCAACTTCCGCCTCCCAGGTTCAAGCAATTCTCCTGCTCCAGGTTCCCGAGTCGCTGGGATTAGAGGCGCACACCACCATGCCCAGCTAATTTTTTGTATCTTTAGTAGAGATGGGGTTTCACCATATTGGCCAGGCTGGTCTCAAACTCCTGACCTCGTGATCCGAATGCCTCGGCCTCCCAAAGTGCTGGGATTACAGGCGTGAGCCACTGCACCCGGCCGGGATTTTGTTTGTTTGTTTGTTTGTTTTGAGACAGGGTCTCACTCTGTCACTCAAGCTGGCATGCAGCAGCGCAAACTCGGCTCACTACAACCTCCGCCCTACCAGGTTCAAGCCATTCTCGTGCCTCAGCCTCCAAAGTAGTTGGGATTACAGGTGTGCACCACCACGCCTGGCTAATTTTTTGTATTTTTAGTAGAGACCGGGTTTTGCCATGTTGGCCAGGCTGGTCTCAAACTCCTGACCTCAGGTGATCCACCCGCCTTGACTTCCCAAAATGCTGGGATTACAGGCATGAGCCACCACTCCCAGCCTGGGATTTTTAGGATTTCCAAATGCCTTCTTCTCCTGAAGTTTGCAACAGAAGACAGGACTCAAGCAGGGATGGCTGCAGGATGCCTGGGAGACAGGTCACTAAGCACTGAGACCCTGGAAGGAGCAGTAAGAGTGCTGGTGACAGCTTTCTGGTCAGATGAAGGTAAATCAACAGCATCACCCCGTTTCAGTGACCCAGGACCACTCGACCACCCAAACTCTAGAGGTCTTGTATACTTCACTGCAGTACAGAAAGAAATCCCAGAAATAATTCTTATCCATCTTCAGAGTGTGGGCTCTAAGCCGTATTTTATTTGAATAAATAAATTAAAAGAAGAAAAGAAATGGGACAGGGATGTTCACCATGTCTATTTATATAGAGTGTGATACTATGCATCCGTTTAGAAAGCTAGAATAGATTTATATTTATAGATGTGGAAAGATGTCCACAATGTGTTGCAAAATTAAAAGATCAGTTTACAGAACAGTATGTAGAATATGAATCTGTGTAAGTCAAATCCTGTGCATACATATGCCTACACAAATATATGGATGAAGAGACAGCTGGGAGCAAGTTCACAAAGTGCTAACAACACTTATCTGTGGCTAGTGAGGTTTATGTAATTTATTTCCTGCTTTTATGTATTAACTGAATTTTTAAAAAATAAGTATGCCTCAATTATGTAATCGAAAAAAAGTTTTCTTCTTAGAAAAAAACTACTACCTTGGATTTTGCACTTTTACCTTTAATTATGCCATAAAACTGTTTTATCTAAAGATACATTTAAAATATTCATTAGACATTTTGCACCCTAGAAACTTTTTGTTAAGCCTCCATTTTTGTCAATTAAATGCTGAAAAAGTTAAGTACATTAATCAGTGTCGTTTATGCTTGAATTCTTCCCACTAAGCACTCTGGTAAAAATACTCAGCTCCATTTTACTCATTTTTAACATTACTTTTCTTGGGCTTTTGTGATGACAAAAATTAAGTGGTTACTTTTTAAAAACCACAGTTACTTCCACAAATAAAATGACATGAATTTCACTGATACTAATTTTTTACTGAGGCACAAATAGTTTTAAAACAACCACAGGAAAAAAAACATGCTGTTCAAAGTCTGGCATTTTAGTACATTTACTGCAATGATTCTTCTTCCCCACTTGATTGCAAAATTATATGACTTGCATGTTGTTACTTTTTCTTTAATTCTTGAAATACTAATGCTATGGACACTGCACTCATCTAAGTGGTATTTCTAAATACATAGTTCCTGGATAAGAAAATCAGCTCAAATCAGGTGAATTGCCTGAATTCGAACTCTTAGAGTGTTGGGTACTAGGTCATAATTAGGTGTTAGGGATGAAAATCACTCTATTAGTTGAAAAACAATTTCAAAGAAGTAGATGGCTATTGACAATTAAATCAAGAACTGTGCCATGCCTGTGCAATACTCAATAGAGGAAATTAAGAACTCTGCCACACTTGTTAAATATTTAATAAAAGGAAAGGTTTTGTTCACAAACAGCAGGAAGAGGAAAAAGGAAAATGAAGGTGGAAGTTCTCAGATAATGAAATGGATACAAATTTACTGGAAAATAGGTGAAGTAAAGAGGAGCAAAATTTAATTAAAAAAAAATTTAATTGGTGAATAGAAATGGTAGTTACATCTTAAGAAATTCGAGAAATGCCGGGCAAGGTGGCTCACACCTGTAATCCTACCACTTGGGGAGGCCAAGGTGGGCGGATCACCTGAGGTCAGGAGACCAGCCTGGCCAACATGGTGAAACCCCATCTCTACTAAGGATACAAAAAGTTAGCCGGGCATGGTGGCACACGCCTGTAATCCCAGTTACTCGGGAGGCTGAGGCAGGAGAATTGCTTGAACCCAGGAGGCGGAGGTTGCAGTGACCTGAGATTGCGCCATTGCACTCTAGCCTGGGCGACAGAGCAAGACTCCGTTTCAAAAAAAAAAAAACTTTTGGGGAAGAGGGAAGTCGTTTTTTAGACTTGTCTCTTTCCTTCAATCTCTACATTTAATTAGTCACCAGCTTCTGGGGCAGGTTGAATCCTCAGCAGAAGTGGAAAATCTTAAAAGGTAGTCTTCAAGGCCAGGCACAGTGGCTCACGCCTGTAATACCAGCACTTTGGGAGGCCAAGGCGGGCAGATTACCTGAGGTTGGGAGTTTGAGACCAGCCAGACCAACATGGAGAAACCCCATCTCTACTAAAAATACAAAATTGGCTGGGTGTGGTGGCACATGGCTGTAATCCCAGCTACTTGGGAGGCTGAGGCAGGAGAATTGCTTGAACCCGGGAGGCGGAGGTTGCGACGAGCCGAGATCGCACCATTACACTCCAGCCTGGGCAAGAAGAGCGAAACTCCGTTTCAAAAAAAAAGGTTGTCTTCAAATTACTCTCACTGCTTCTACCTGGTTGTAACCTCATTCCTCCAATCCACCTTTCATTTGGCCATCATTCTAAAATGTACAATTGATTATGTCAGCTGTTTGCTTTAAAATTCTTCAATGGGCCTGGTGCGGTGGTACACGCCTGTAATCCCAGCGCTTTGGGAGGTCAAGGTGTGTGGATCACTTGAGGTCAGGAGTTCAAGTCCAGCCTGGCCAACACAGTGAAACCCCTGTCTCTCCTAAAAATACAAAAATTAGCTGGGCATGGTGGCGGGCGCCTGTAATTCCAGCTACTGGGGAGCCTGAGGCAGGAGAATCGCTTGAACTCAGGAGGTGGGGGTTGCAGTGAGCTGAGATCAAGCTACTGCACTCCAGCCTGTGCAACAGAGCAAGACTCTGTCTCAAAAAAATATAACATAAAATAAAAATAAAATAAAATAAAATAAAATAAAATAAAATAAAATAAAATAAAATTCTTCAGTGGCTCCTCATGGCCTTCAGGATAAAACAACAAACATGGCCGGGCGCGGTGGCTCATGCCTGTACCCCTGGAACTTTGTGTGGCCAAGGTGGGTGGATCACAAGGTCAGGAGTTGGAGACTGGCCTGGCCAACTTGGTGAAACCCCCTCTCTACTAAAAATACAAAAATTGGCCGGGTGCAGTGGCTCACGCCTGTAATCCCAGCACTTAGGGAGGTCGAAACTAGTGGATCACGAGGTCAGGAGTTCAAGACCAGCCTGGCCAAGATGCTGAAACCCTGTCTCTACTAAAAATACAAAAAAATTAGCCGGGCGAGGTGGTGTGTGCCTGTAATCCCAGCTACTCAGCTACTTGGGAGGCTGAAGCAGGAGAATTGCTTGAACCCAGGCGGCAGAGGTTGTAGTGAGCCGAGATCGCGCCACTGCACTCCAGCCTGGGCGACAGAGCAAGACTCCATCCCAAAATAATAATAATACAAAAATTAGCTGGGTATGGTGGTGTGCGCCTGTAACCCCAGCTACTTGAGAGGCTGAGGCAGAATTGCTTGAACCTGGGAGGCAGAAGTTGCTTTGTACTCCGGCCTGGGCAACAGAGCAAGACTGTCTCAAAAAAACAAACAAACAAAAACACATGGGCATGGCATATAAGGTCCTTTGTTAGCTGACTCCTGTCTGATCTTCTAATCTCTACTTCATTCTTTAAACACACTGCATCCGAGTCATGCTGAACTAATTGCTGTTTTTCAAATAGGCCATGCCCTCTTACTGTGGTCAAGCTGTTCCTTCAGCCTGAAATGACTTCCTTTTCTCCACCCTAATTCCATACCTGCAAGCCTCTAGTCATCCCTGAAGACTCAACTCATGTCCTCTTTTTTTACTGAAGACCTTCCTGGCCTCTTTAGGCAGTATTTTGTTTTTGTTTTTGTTTTTTTTTTGATGTTGCCCAGGTTGGAGTGCAATGGCACGATCTCGGCTCACTGACACCTCCGCCTCCTAGGTTCAAGCGATTCTCCTGCCTCAGCCTTCCGAGTAGCCGGGATTACAAGCGTGCGCCACCATGCCCAGCTAATTTTTGTATTTTTAGTAGAGACGGGGTTTCACCACGTTGGCCAGGCTGGTCTCAAACTCCTGACCTCAGGTGATCCGCCCACCTCGGCCTCCCAAAGGCAGTTTTATATAGACATTTATTCTGTAGAATCTATAGTATAGTGTTTTAATTATCTATTGCTGCATAACACATTAACCCCAAACTTAGTGGCTTAACTTAAATATAAACATTTATTATCTGTCACAGTTTCTACAGGTCAGGAATTTGGGAGCCACTTGACTGGGCAGTTCTAGTTAGGGGTTTTTCGTGGGGTTCAGTCAGACGTTAACCAAGTCTGCAGTCATTTGAAGACTTGAATGGGGCTGGAAGATCCACTTCCAATGGCTTACTCACACAGCTGGTAAGTCTGTGCACAATACTGGTGGAAGCCGCAGTTCGTCCCCTAGTGGGCCCCTCTACAAAGTTGTTGGAGAGTCCTCATGAGATGATTGCTGGCCTCCCCCAGAGTAAGCTATCCAAGAGACTAAAGTGGGAGTAGCAAGTCCTTTACAGTCTACCCTTGGAAGTCACCCCCTGTAACCTCAGCCATGCTCTTGTTCACATAGACTAGCCCTAATTCATTGTGGAAGAAGACAACATAAGGACATTAATACTAGAAAGTGAGAATCATTGAGAGTCATCTTAGAGACTGGCTCTCATATACAGTGACTCAATTATACATCATATCTCACTAGCCAGTGACTACAAAATAAGATTAGACCTATTTTTTTTTTTTTTTTTTTTTGAGACAGAGTCTCACTCTGTCACCCAGGCTGGAGTACAGTGGCACGAACATGGCTCACTGCAGGCTCAGCTTTCTGGGCACAAGTGATCCTCCCACCTCATCCTCCTGAGTAGCTGGGACTACAGGCATGCACCACCAGGCCTGGCTAATTTTTTTATTTTTCATAGACATGAGGTGGTCTCAAACTCCTGGGCTCAAGTGATCCACCTGCCTCTGCCTCCCAAAGTGCTGGGGTAACAGGTGTGAGCCACTGCTCCCAGCCTTAATTTTTTAAAAATTTTAGTTGACAAATAATAATTATAAATATTTGTGAGGTACGATGTGATGTATGCATTATCAAATGATTAAATCAAGCTAATTAACACATCTATCACCTCACATTTTCATCATTTTTTGTGGTGTGAACATTTAAAATTTACTCTCAGCAATTTTGAAATATACATTACATTACTATTAATTATAGTCACCATGTTGTGCAATAGATCCTAAAAACTTATTCCTCCTGTCTAGCCAAAACGTTCTACCCTTTGACCAACATCTCCCTTTTCCCTCTCCCTGCAACCAACCCTCAGTTAACCACCATGCTATTGTCTGTCTCCTACTGTGAGTTAACCACCATCCTACTGTCTGTCTGCTACTGTGAGTTAACCACCATTCTACTGTCTACTGCTATGTGATTCCACATAAAAGTCAGATCGTGCAGTACTTGCCTTTCTGTGCCTGGCTTATTTCACTTAAAATAATGTCCTCTAGGTTCATCCATGTTGTGGCAAATGGCAGTATTTCTTTTTAAAGGCCATTGTGTATACATAGCACATTTTCTTTATCCATTCATCCATTGATGGACAAGATTGATTCTCTATCTTTGTTATTGTGAATAATGCTGAATAATTCAGTACAATTATTGTGAATAATGTGAGTAATGAGGATGGGAGTGCAGATATCTCTTTCACAAACTGGTTTCAATTCCTTTGGATATATCTCCAGAAGTAGGATTGCTTGATCATATGGTAGTTATATTTTTAGTTCTTCAAGGAAACTTCTTACTCTTTTCCATAATGGCTACACTAATTTGCATTCCCACTAACAGTATACAAGGGTACCCTTTTCTCCACATCATCTCTAACACTTGTAACCTTTCATCTTTTTGTTGACAGCCATTCTAACAGGTGGGAGACGATATCTCCTTGTGGTTTTAATTGGCATTCTTCTGATGATTAGTGATGCTGAACATTTTTTCATGTACCTATTGACCATTTGTATGTCTTCTTCTGAGAAATATCTATTTAGGTCCTTTGACATTTTTTAATTAGGTTGTTTTCTTGCTATTAAGTTGTTTGAGTTCCTTATATATTTTGGATATTAAAATCCTACTTTTTTTTTTTTTTTTTTTTGAGACGGAGTTTCGCCCTTGTTGCCCAGGCTGGAGTGCAATGGCGTGATCTCGGCTCACTGCAACCTCCGCCTCCCGGGTTCAAGCAATTCTCCTGTCTCAGCCTCCTGAGTAGCTGGGATTACAGGCATGTGCCATCACGCCTGGCTAATTTTGTATTTTTAGTAGAGACGAGGTTTCTCCATGTTAGTCTGGCTGGTCTCGAACTCCCGACCTTAGGTGATCCAGCCACCTTGGCCTCCCAAAGTGCTGGGATTACAGGTGTGAGCCACCACTCCCAGTCTAAACTCATACTTTTAATGTTCAAATTATGATGACTTAAGCCCTCATGGCACATTTCCTAGAGAAAACAATCTCTTCCTCCTCCCGTATTTCTGATACACCTCTCCTGTTTTCAGGAACAGTTCTTGTTCTATCACAACCTTCTGGATCTGCCGGAGTGCTGCTCTCTCATCCTAATCAGAATGTAGCTCCAGTGAGCACCGTTCTCCTGCACTGATGACTGTCACCATTGCTTCCACCACTGAATTTGGGAAGTATTTGATATTCTTCCAAGAAAGTGAAATAAGCCCAAGAACACAACCGAGGCCAAGCTGTGATTGTTAACAGGTTTTGACTTTTGTTTACAGAAAGTGTAATAGACAGGGTAACCTATACTGCTGTTAGCAGTGGCTGCTATGAAAGGTCCACAGTCTAAACTCACTATCAGAATGGCAGAAACGCAGGACTTCTGGAAACTCTACCATCATCAGAGGCTGTCCTCTTGTCCTATGCCCTACAAAAGACATAATACAACACAGTCTGTCATCAGTCCAATTCCTGAGGTCTGGGATTTTCAGTCTTTAACACCACAGGTGGAACTCAACAATCCATGTCATAAAGTGCTGGGCCAAGTGCCCTCCATTTCTTGTTTACAGTTTCTCCTCCAGCATTGGCTGAAGAAAACAAGCCTGCACACTCTCTCAGCATTCCTCTCCATCCCACTTCCATGACCCTCATAAATAAGTGTCTAAAGAACAGGCCTCTCAGCTCTGTAAAGATATCCAGTAATGAGCCAGGCACAGTGGCTCATGCCTGTAATCCCAGCACTTTGGGAGGCCGAGGCAGGAGGATCACCTGAGGTCAGGAGTTCAAGACCACCCTGGCCAACATGGTGAAACTCCATCTCTAATAAAA
Source organism: Homo sapiens (assembly GCF_000001405.40). Classification (NCBI taxonomy): domain Eukaryota; kingdom Metazoa; phylum Chordata; class Mammalia; order Primates; family Hominidae; genus Homo; species Homo sapiens. The sequence continues at coordinate 57,737,680 of NC_000003.12, forward strand.
ACAAAAATTATCCGGATGTGGTGGTGTGTGCATGTAATCCCAGCTACTTGGGAGCCTGAGGCAGGAGAATTGCTTGAACCCAGGAGGTTGCAGTGAGCCGAGATTGCATCACTGCACTCCAGCCTGGGTGACAGAGTGAGACTCTGTTTCAAAAAAAAAAAAAAAAGATATCCAGTAGTGCACAAGCATAGGACAATCTAGATCCATACTTACGGAGAAACATTTCTTTATAGAAATCAATATATAGAGGCAGACAACTACTAAAAGATACCTTATTAGCAGCCTGAAGCATCTTCATTTGTTTGTTTTGAGATGGAGTCTTGCTCTGTCGTCCAGGCTGGAATGCAGTGGCGCAATCTTGGCTCATTGCAACCTCCACCTCCCAGGTTCAAGTGATCCTCTTGCCTCAGTCTCCCAGAGATCTGGGACTACAGGCATGCACAACTATGCCCGGCCAATTTTGCGGAGGCCGGGGGGCGGGTATTTTTATTAGAGATGGGGTTTTGCCATGTTGGCCAGGCAGGTCTCAAGCTCCTGGCCTCAGCTGATCCACCTGCCTCAGCCTTCCAAAGTGCTGGGATTACAGGCCTGAGCCACCATGTCCGGCCTTCATTTGTTTTACCTCAGTTATTTCAGGCCTTCACCTACAACTGGACGTTGGTGATGGCTTTGCAATGACAAAACCCAAGAGGCAGCTTCAGGGTATCTCCCAGGACAAGGGAGGAATCGGTACTAAAAGGAAATTATAGCCTTTGCTTTTAAATGTAGTGTTTCCAGCTGGTTCACTCATCAAGGTTAAAAAATAAAATCCTGGCTTCAGCCAGCTTGTTTATAATATCACTTGCCGTGATTGCTTGTTGGAAAGCATGTCTCAGTTTCATTAGAGAGCCTGGAGGTCAGATAGCAAAAATAGAAGCTGGAAGAGATATTAAAGGAATAAGTTGTGCCTAGGGATAGAAAATAACATCAAGCAGATTGTTTGTCACGCGGTAACAGTGGGCTGTAGTGAAATGATGAGAGGTTTTGGAGCCAAACAGATGTAGGTCCACACGATGATGGGACTCTTCCTGCAAAGTGGGATGACTGGGACTTCACTTCTCTGAGCCTTAGTTTCTTCACATGTAAAATGATGGTAACAATTTTACTTCACAGAGTTGAGGATTAAATGAGAAAATACATAATCAAGCACTGGCAGAAGGCAGGCTATGCTTCAGGTATAGCACTTGGTGCTGGGAATAAAGGAGTGAAGGGATGAAAATGAGTCACTGTCTTCACTGAGATTTCAATCTAGAAGGGAAGGCAGGAATTAAAGAACTACCTAACTTCAATTGTGATGAATGCTATCACGAAGCCTAGGGTACCATAAAAAGAGACCTGACCTCATTTAGGGTGTCAAGGAATGTGGCTTTGAGGAAGTGATGCAAAAGCTGGGGAGTCTGGGTTAGGGGAGAGCATGTCATCTTTCAGTTGAGGCATTCTAGGCTCATGGAAGGTGCTCAATAAATGGGAGCTGCTATTATTACTATTTATTCAGTAAACATTTATTGAGTGCCTACTAAGTATACTGTGCTACCATGCATACTGAGGGTATAATAAATGTGTGAAGTTGAAAAGTAGCTTAACTTCTTTGAGCCTCAATATGTTCAGCTGGAAAATGGGAATATTAATATTACCTACCCCTTTAGTCTTTCTTTGAAGATTCAATGAGATTATGAATGCAAAATGTTTAACATAGTGCCTGGCATAGGGAGAACATAATATATATTAGTAATATTTTTATTCACTAATCAAGACTGGCTACATAATTTACAGGGCCCAGAGCAAAATAAAAATGCAGGGCTTCTTGTTAAAAGATTATTAAGAATTTCAAGCCAGGCATGGTGGCTCATGCCTGTAATCCCAGCACCTTGGGAGGCTGAGGCAGACGAATCACAGGGTCAGGAGTTTGAGACCCTGGCCAACATGGCAAAACCCCGTGTTTACTAAAAATACAAAAATTAGCCAGGCGTGGTGGTGGGCCCCCATAGTCCCAGCTACTCAGGAGGCTGAGAAAGGAGAATCGCTTGAACCTGGGAGGTGGAGGTTGCAGTGAGCCGAGATCGGGCCACTGCACTATATCCTGGGCGACAGAGTGAGACTCTGTCTCCAAAAAAAAAAAAAAACTTTGGCTGGGCACGGTGGCTCACACCCGTAATCCCAGCACTTTGGGAGGCTGAGGCGGGTGGATCACCTGAGGTTGGGAGTTCAAGACCAGCCTGACCAACGTGGAGAAACCCCATCTCTACTAAAAATACAAAATCAGTCGGGCGTGGTGGCGCATGCCTGTAATCCCAGCTGCTCAGGAGGCTGAGGCAGGAGAATCGCTTGAATCCGGGAGGTGGAGGTTGCAGTGAGCCGAGATCGTGCCATTGCACTCTAGCCTGGGCAACAGGAGCAAAACTCCATCTCAAAAAAAAAAAAAAAAAAATCAAAACAGTAAAGTATTAAACCAAGGGAGGGCCCTGTGTAACTGCACAGTTCGCATGCTTACAAAGACAGCCCTTTCACTAGTTATGTTATATGTACATATGTGCTTTTGCATAGCTTACCTATGTAAACAGGCTGAATCTTTCTTGGGAGCAACTTTCAAAATTCAGTATGTGGAATTTAGTGTATAAGGATAAAATATGTATACATGCAGTATATCAATAGATGATTGAGACATATTTTTCTCAACATGTTGTTATGAAAATTTTAAAACAAAAATTATAAGAATTTCTTAGCGAGCACATGTATACAAACCACCTAGATTCTATTATTAACATTTTATTATATTTGCTTTATTTTATATGTATATACATATGTATTTTTCAAGAGATGGGGTCTCGCTCTGTTGCCCAGGCTGGTCTTGAACTCCTGGGCTCAAGCAGTCCACCTGCCTCAGCCTCCCAAAGCGCTGGGGTTATAGGCATGAGCCTCCACACCTGCCTCCCTTATTATATATCTATCCATTTATTAATCAATCTGTCTTATTTTTGGTGCATTTCAAAGTAAATTCCAGATATCAATATCACTAACTAAAGCCAAATTTGTTTGATTCTTTCTCCTTTTGATGTAAATTGATATACAGAAGAATGCACAAATCTTAACAGTAACTATTTGCTGGCTGGGCAAGGTGTCTCACGCCTGTTATCCCAGCATTCTGGGAGGCCAAGGTGGGTGGATCACTTGAGGCCAGGAACCTGAGACCAGCCTGGCTAACATAGTGAAACTAGTGAAACCCTGTCTCTACTGAAAATATAAAAATTAGCCGGTCATGGTGGCACATGCCTGTACTCCCTGCTACTCAGGAGGCGGGAGAATTGTTTGAACCCAGGAGGCGAAGTTTGCAGTGAGCTGAGATCACGCCACTGCACTCCAGCCTGGGCAACAGAGTGAGTACCCTGTCTCAAAAACAAAACAAAACGAAACAAAACAAAACAAAAAAATACAAGAGTAAATTTGGTAAATTTGCTGAGTTTTGACAAATGCATTGTCCTCTATAACCCAAACCTCTATAAAGATACAGAACATTACCATCATCCTAAAAAGTTCCTTCATACTCCTTCCCTGTTAGTCACCACTCCTACCCTTTCCAGAGACAACTACTGTTCTGATTTTTTTTTTTTCTGGTGCTTAAATTTTTCAAAAGGAGCCTTGATAAGTATAAGTACTTAGCTTCAGTGCTTTCTCCTATTATGCACAGAAAATCTTGCAGTCTTTAAAACAGGAGAGGTAATTCTAGGATAGTTGGTGCAATCAACAACAAATATTTGTTGAGACAAAGAGTAACTAAATAAATCACTTGAATGCTTTTTTCAATAGTTTTTGGGTAAAAGTGATACAATGAACACTCCAGAAAAAGTGTAAATAATTGAAAAAATATAGAGAGAGGAAATTAAAAATCACCTCACATGAAGAGATGAACACTTAAAATATTTTGGGCTGGGCATGGTGGCTGATGCCTGTAATCCCAACACTTTGGGAGGCTGAAGTGGGAGGAGGATAGCTTGAGGCCAGGAGTTTGAAATCAGCCTGGGTAACATAGACCCTATTTCTACAAAAGAAAAATTTAAAAATTAGCCAGACTTAGTGGCATGCTCCTATAGTCCCAGCTACTGGGGAGGCTGAGGCAGGAGGCTCACTTGAGCCCAGGAGTTCGAGGCTGCTGGTAGCCGTGATTGCTCTATTGTGCTCCAGCCTGGGCAACAGAGTGAGACCCTGTCTCAAAAATACATATATAAATAAAATAGTGGGTGCGGTGGCTCACGCCTGTCATCCCAACACTTTTGGAGGCCTAGTCGGGTGGATCACTTGAGGTCAGGAGTTCAAGATCAGCCAGGCCAACATGGTGAAACCCTGTCTCTACTAAAAATACAAAAATAAAATAAATAAATGAATAAAAATATTTTGATGAAATTTCTCCCTGATGCCTATGTGTACATATATATAGTGATCTCTGTATAAAACCTGATATAAATGGGATCATACACATGCTACTATGTAACCTGTTTTTGTCACTTAACAATATCCCATAGATATTTTTCCTCATCATAAATATAAGGTAGAAATATAAATCATCATTTCTAATGGGCACACTCGATGGACATATAATTCTTTAATTAACAAGTTACCAGCTGGGCATGGTGGCTCATGCCTGTAATCCCAGCATTTTGGGAGGCCAAGGTGGGCGGATCACCTGAGGTCAGGAGTTCAAGAACAGCCTGGCCAACATGGTGAAACCCTGTCTCTACTAAAAATAAAAAATTAGCTACGCATGGTGGCACGTGCCTGTAACCCCAGGTACTCAGGAAGCTGAGACAGGAGAATCTCTTGAACCTGGGAGGTGGAGGTTGCAGTGAGTAGAAATCGCGCAACTGCACTCCAGCCAGGGCTATAAGAGTGAAACTTCGTCTTAAAAAAAAAAAAATTAACCAGTTACCTATCAATGATCATTTTGATTATTTCTAAAATTTCAGTATTATCAACAATACTGTAATTAATAAATATCCTTATACAGCAGCATTTTCTGAGCTGTATAATTATTTCCTTATGGTAAATTGCCAAAGGTGGGATTATTCAGTTACAACATGACCATGTTGTACCTGGTGGCTTATTATACTAAAATGCCTTCCAAAAAAAAAAGAGACAACAACTTACATCCACTGATTGGCTAAGTTCTAAACTCTTTAGATAAGAAAGTAAATATTTGTTTTATCTTCTTCCTTCAAGATAGAAAAAATGGAGACACATGAGGGGCTAAAAAGCCTATATTTAAACTAGCAAGCAAAAATGTACGTAAAGGTACCTCATAAACACTTCAAATAAATCCAGTTGAACTCGATTCAATAAACAATTATTAAACACCTACTATATTCAAAGATGGGACTAGCTCCTGGTAGTAGAAAGGTGAGAAGCCATGGGCCCAATCAAGTTCAAAATACTCACAGTCTAATAGGACAATTTTCCTGGCTACAGAGCTTTATTCTCACTAAAGCCTACATGACAAGAATGGACCCCAAGGGACTGCTCCTAAAGGAGCACTGACTTCTACCTTATTTTTGATATAAAACTCAAAAGATAGGCAGGGTGCAGTAGCACACGCCTGTAATCCCAGCACTTCAGGAGGCCGAGGCGGGCAGATTGCTTGAGTCCAGGAGTTCGAGACTAGCCTGAGCAACATAGTGAGACCACATCTCTACAAATACAAAAAAATTAGCCAGGTGCCATGGCTCATGCTTGTAGTCCCTGCTACTTGGGTGACATAATGAGACCCTGTCTAAAAAAAAAAAAAAAAAAAAAAAAAAAAACAAAAAAAAACTCAGAAGATATACGTGAAAAGAAAGTCTCCCTTCTATTCTTGTGCCCCAGACCACTATTTCCACCCATAGTTCCCCTATTACCAATTTCCTGCATATCTTCCCAGAAGCTACCAATATTAACAATTTCCTGCATATCTTCCCAGAAAATGCTGTGTATCTATGTATCCAGGCATATGCTGAGCAGACATATGCTAATTGTCCACTCATCACTTACTCATTCAAGCAATTTTTTACACAGTAGTATTATACACAGTTTTGCACATGAATAATAAAAATATACATTGGAGATTGTTCTATATCCATTCATACAGAGCTGCTTCATTTATCTTTTACTTGGAGATCATTCTATATCCAGTCTTAATAATCTATCTCATTCTTTTGTGTCATCTACACAATATTCCATTGCATGAATGTATTTAACCAATAATCTATTGATGGTTGGTCGCAATATTTTTTTAATAGAATGCTGCAATGACTATCTTTCTAGATACTAAAATCTTTTTGTAATAAGAAATGACTATGTGATGTTAGTAATGTTTGGCTTCAAATCAAGTTAGTAAGCTACTTGAGAGACAAAATTGTTGGGTTATAGATGAATATTAAAAAGTAGAGTCTGGGGCCAGGCGCGGTGGCTCATGCCTGTAATCCTGGCACTTTGGGAGGCTGAGGTGGGCAGATAACGAGGTCAGGAGTTCGAGACCAGCCTGACCAACATGGTGAAACCTCATCTGTACTAAAAATACAAAAATTAGCCAGGTGTGGTGGCGTGCACCTGTAATCCCAGTTACTCAGGAGGCAGAGGCAGGAGAATCACTTGAACTGGGGAGGCAGAGGTTGCAGTGAGCGGAGATCGCACCACTGCACTCCAGCCTGGGCAACAGAGCAAGACTCCGTCTCAAAAAAAAAAAAAAAAAAAGAAATAGAGGCTGGGTATGGTAGCTATGCTTGTTATCCCGACACTTTGGGAGGCTGAGGCAGGAGGGTAACTTGAGCCCAGGAGTTTGAGACCAGCTTGGGCAACATAGTGAGATCCTGTCTCTACAAAAAAATAAAAAATTACCTGGGCATAATGGCACGCACTTATAGTCCCAGCTACTCAGGAGGCTGAAGCAGGAAGATTGCTTGAGCCCAGGAGGTTGAGGCTGCAGTGAGCCATGATCATGCCACTGCACTCCAGCCTGGGTGACAGAGTGAGACCCTGTCTCAAAAAAAAAAAAAAAAAAAAAAAGTATAAAGCATTAGGGACAAGGGAAATTGGGGAAAGGAGAGATGTTTGATCAAAGGGTATAAAATTTCAGTTAGAGGGGAGGAATGAGCTTTAGTGATGTATTGCACAGAATAGTGATTATAATAAATAACAATGCACTGTATATTTCAAAATTACTTAAAGAGTGGATTTTAGATGTTTTCACCACAAAAAATGATAAGTATGTGAGGTGACAGATATGTTAACTGGCTTGATTTAATCATCCCACAATGTATACATGTATGAAAACATCATTTTACCCCATGAATATATAAAATTATTATTGGCCAATTAAAAATAAAATAGAGTACAAAGCATTAAATATATACACTATGTTTGAAATCTGTTTTCCCAAATAACTGTTAAAACAAAAGAAAAGCATAAAAGCCAAGAGGAAATCTCCACACACTTAGACTCCTCAGGGTGCGTAAATATATAGGCCTTACCCAGGGTCTTAGCGGTCCACAGTAGAGCTTTGTCACACTAACAGCGAGAGCTCCTTGTAGAGTCCATGCCTTGGCACTAAGAACTTCCCCTAGAGAGTTTGGATCTAGCAATGTGGACATACAAATATTCATTTGTCACACATAATTCATCAAAAGGCTTTTGTACATGCAAGCAGAGGAGCACATTTCCTTTTGCCTTTCCCATTGACTTTTGTTTCTGAACTTCATTTTGAAATAATTACAAATTTAAAAGTTCCATGAATAACACAAAGAACTCCCACACATTCTTTATCCAAACTCACTATTTTTAAACATTTTGCCACATTCTTCCCCCCATATATTTTTTCTGTATTATTTGAGAATAAATTGCATACATTATGCCTCTGTATCCCTTAATACTTCAGTGTGGGCTGGGTACGGTGGCTCATGCCTGTAATCCCAGCACTTTGGGAGGCTGAGGTGGGTGGATCACCTGAGGTCAGGAGTTTGAGACCAGCCTGGCCAATATGGTGAAAAGCCGTCTCTACCAAAAATACAAAAATTAGCCAGGCATGGTGGTGTGTGACTGTAGTCCCAGCTACTAGGGAGGCTGAGGCAGGAGAATTGCTTGAATCCAGGAGGCGGAGGTTGCAGTGAGCTGAGATGGCACCACTGCACTCCAGCCTGGGTGACTCTTTCTCAAAAAAAAAAAAAAAAAAAGCTGATGCATAGACATCTACTATTTTTGCCTGCCCAGCTATCTTTCCTCTTCCTTTTGGCAACAGCTTTAGGAAACCATCCATTTTCCATTGGATACAGAGTTAGTGGAACTGTCCTTTGAAGTCCTCATCCCCCACCCCAACCCCCTTTCTGTCCATGGAATAGGCATGTAAGGCAACCTAGGTCAATCAGTTGGGGTGTTTGAATCTTGAAAGGGGCTTAAAGATTGACAAAGGATGACTTGATTCCTAAAGGTGGTGCCCTGAAGAGGCTGCTTAATGGCTCTTGCTACTTATTAGCTCTGCTTCTCTGTGACTTGCTTTTTTAGCATTTCTTTTCATTCTCAGTGCCACCCCATGTCTTTCCAATAATTCCCATAGGCTTAGGTTGGCCGGTTTCTGTTGCTTGCAAACACAGGACCCTAATCAATAACAGCTGACTTGAAAAAATTTTGCTTTCAGCAACACTTGCCCAGATGGAACTGTGACTTGAATTGCATAGAAAAAAGTTCGCCCTGGGTACACCCTTCCCTAATGCTTAGTGTGGCAATGCCTTATAGACTTATGGCTCTGCTGTTCAGTCTAACTAATGACACCCTGTTTTCACACTCCCAGAAGTGACCATTCCTGGAAAAGCAGAGCAGCTCTTCTGTTAGTTGCAGCTTTTACAAATGTCTCCAGCAAAGGGGCACTGCTTTAGTCAGTGGTTATTTTAACTCTTGTCACCCCCAAACTGATCCATCTGGTTGGCAGAGTGATGAAATACAATCTGCCTTGAACACAAAATCACAGGGGGCTCCCTCCCTGATTGACTCTAGGGCCTGCTGCCAGCAGGAAGTGAAGATACCACTTATTGTCTTTCCTGACAATCTGTTCCTGACTTCTAGGAACTCACACATATGGAACAACACTTTGATGTCTCCAAAAGACATTCAGACAGTGTAGTATGAATCTATCCTCAGGAAAAAAAATCTCCATAAAAGCATAATCAAGCTTTGCCGCCGCGCCGGCGAGCGCCGCCCGGGAGGCAGCGGCTGGAGGAGCGGACGGGCCCCGCGGGGCCCGAGGGCAAGGAGCAGCCGCCTGTCTTGGCCTCCCAAAGTGCCGAGATTGCAGCCTCTGCCCGGCTGCCACCCCGTCTGGGAAGTGAGGAGTGTCTCTGCCTGGCCGCCCATCGTCTGGGATGTGAGGAGCCCCTCTGCCTGGCTGCCCAGTCTGGAAAGTGAGGAGCGTCTCCGCCCGGCCGCCATCCCATCTAGGAGGTGAGGAGCGCCTCTTCCCAGCCGCGATCACATCTAGGAAGTGAGGAGCGTCTCTGCCCGGCCGCCCATCGTCTGAGATGTGGGGAGCGCCTCTGCCCCGCCGCCCCATCTGGGATGTGAGGAGCGCCTCTGCCCGGCCGAGACCCCGTCTGGGAGGTGAGGAGCGTCTCTGCCCGGCCGCCCCGTCTGAGAAGTGAGGAGACCCTCTGCCTGGCAACCACCCCGTCTGAGAAGTGAGGAGCCCCTCCGCCCGGCAGCTGCCCCGTCTGAGAAGTGAGGAGCCTCTCCGCCCGGCAGCCATCCCATCTGGGAAGTGAGGAGCGTCTCCGCCCGGCAGCCACCCCGTCCGGGAGGGAGGTGGGGGGGGGTCAGCCCCCCGCCCGGCCAGCCGCCCCATCCGGGAGGGAGGTGGGGGGTCAGCCACCCCGCCCGGCCAGCCGTGCCATCCGGGAGGGAGGTGGGGGGGTCAGCCCCCCGCCTGGCCAGCCGTGCCGTCCGGGAGGGAGGTGGGGGGGTCAGCCCCCCGCCTGGCCAGCCGCCCCGTCCGGGAGGTGAGGGGCGCCTCTGCCCGGCCGCCCCTACTGGGAAGTGAGGAGCCCCTCAGCCCGGCCAGCCACCCCGTCCGGGAGGGAGATGGGGGGGTCAGCCCCCCCCACCTGGCCAGCCGCCCCGTCCGGGAGGGAGGTAGGGGGTCAGCCCCCCACCTGGCCAGCCGCCCCGTCCGGGAGGGAGGTGGGGGGGTCAGCCCCCCGCCCGGCCAGCCGCCCTGTCCGGGAGGGAGGTGGGGGGGGGTCAGCCCTCCGCCCGGCCAGCCGCCCCGTCTGGGAGGTGAGGGGCGCCTCTGCCCGGCCGCCCCTACTGGGAAGTGAGGAGCCCCTCTGCCCGGCCAGCCGCCCCGTCTGGGAGGGAGGTGGGGGGGTCGGCCCCCCGCCCGGCCAGCCGCCCCGTCCGGGAGGGAGGTGGGGGGGGTCGGCCCCCCTGCCCGGCCAGCCGCCCCGTCCGGGAGGTGAGGGGCGCCTCTGCTCGGCCGCCCCTACTGGGAAGTGAGGAGCCCCTCTGCCCGGCCACCGCCCCGTCTGGGAGGTGTGCCCAACAGCTCATTGAGAACGGGCCAGGATGACAAGGGCGGCTTTGCGGAATAGAAAGGCGGGAAAGGTGGGGAAAAGATTGAGAAATCGGATGGTTGCCGTGTCTGGGTAGAAAGAAATAGACATGGGAGACTTTTCATTTTGTTCTGCACTAAGAAAAATTCCTCTGCCTTGGGATCCTGTTGATCTGTGACCTTACCCCCAACCCTGTGCTCTCTGAAACATGTGCTGTGTCCACTCAGGGTTAAATGGATTAAGGGCGGTGCAAGATGTGCTTTGTTAAACAGATGCTTGAAGGCAGCATGCTCGTTAAGAGTCATCACCAATCCCTAATCTCAAGTAATCAGGGACACAAACACTGCGGAAGGCCGCAGGGTCCTCTGCCTAGGAAAACCAGAGACCTTTGTTCACTTGTTTATCTGCTGACCTTCCCTCCACTATTGTCCCATGACCCTGCCAAATCCCCCTCTGTGAGAAACACCCAAGAATTATCAATAAAAAAATAAATTTAAAAAAAACAAAAACAAAAAACAAAACAAAACAAAACAAAAGCATAATCAAGTGGGGTACGGTGACTCACACCTGTAATCCCAGCACTTTGGGAGGCCAAGGCCAGAGAATCACTTGAGCCCAGGAGTTTGAGACCAGCCTGGGCAATATGGCAAGACCCTGTTTCCACACACACAAAATTTTTTTTTTTAATTAGCCGGGTGTGGTGGTGCATGCCTGTAGTCCCAGCTACTCGGGAGGCTGAGATGGGAGGATCCCTTGAGCCCAGGAGGTCAAGGCTCCAGTGAGCCATGATCTCGCCACTGCACTCCAGCCTGGGTGACAGAGCAAGACCCTGTCTCAAAAAAACTCATCAAAACTCCACATATTTTGGTTACTTAGGAAAATGTTTCTAGTAGTAAAGGCATGTTGATCTATTTCTGCAATTTACTGTCAAAAAGTTCAGAAAACACACAGGTAAGGCAAATATGACAAAATGGTAACGACTTAGAATCAAGGAGCTCTGTGTGTGTTCACTGTAATTTCAATATTTCTGTACATTTGAAATTTTTTATAACAAAAAGTTTAGGAAAATATGAAAAATGAACAATTTTAGTGGATACAGGTTCTACCTTGATTCAATATTATTCTCATTATCGTCTTCAAGACTAACTTCAGAGTCTAAGCTAGAGTGAGAAGTTACAAAATCAAGTTTTCTTCTGCCACCATCTTTGCCACTGATCCTGAGTTATCATATAACCAGAAAATGGGGAGACGGACCTGTCTGGTTGCACTTAAAGCATCTCATTTCTCTAGAGAAGCGTTTTCAGTGTCAATAGCCCACCAATTTCTTCTACAGCATTTCACGTGTCATGCTCGTTAACATGCTAGATTTGCACAGAGGAGACTGGGTTCCTGAGCCATATGTTCAAAGCAGGAACAGCTATATAATTTTTTCGTTTTTATTCAGTTTCGCTTTTGTAGCCTGGGCTGGAGTGCAAGGGCACGATCTTGGCTCACTGCCCCAGCCTCCTGAGTAGCTGGAATTACAGGTGTGATCGACCACACCATACTAATTTTGCATTTTTAGTAGGGACGGGATTTAATCGTGTTGGCCAGGCTGGTCTTGAACTCCTGACTCCAGGTGATCCAAAAGCCTTGGCCTTCCAAAGGGTTGGGATTACAGGCATGAGCCACCACGCTTGGCAACAGCTATATAATTTGAGGGGTCCAGTGCAAATGAAAATGAGAAATCTGTTCAAAAGTTACCGAGAATTTCAAGACAGCAGAGTACAACTAGATATAGTCCTTCCAAGCGGGGCCCTACGTAAAGGTCATACGCTATGAAACCGGCTCTGTACAAAACCCAGTGAAGAATCTACAGATGATTGGCCAGGTGCAGTGGCTCATGCCTGTAATTCCACCATTCGGGAGGCAGAAGCGGGCAGATCACTTGAGGTCAGGAGTATGAGACCAGCCTAGCCAACATGGTGAAACCCCTTCTCTACTTGAAAAAAAAAAAAAAAAAAATTAGCTGGGTGTGGTGGCGAGTGCGTATAATTCCAGCTACTCAGTCAGAAGGCTGAAGTAGGAGAATTGCTTGAACCCCGGAAGCAAAGGTTGCAGTGAGCCGAGACTGACACATTGCACTACTGCCTCGGCAACAGAGCGAGACTCTGTCTCAAAAAAAAAAAAACAAAAAACACAGATGAGACCTCCTCCTCCCAGCCTTGTATGCTTGACACGCTTTGAGGGAGTGGGGGTGCAGGAGGAGCAGGCACTCCAGAGTCACTTCCTTGTATAGGTCTCTTCAATCCATTTCAACCTATCTTCTGAGAAATCCTTAAGACCAAAGATCCCTGAGATATTTATTAGTTTTCTAAAACATAGGCATTTAGTGAGATGCTGATGTATGACATTATACAGTAGCAACAAGGCATTTTTCTGAAACAAAAGCCCAAATAAAGTTTATTAAAAGGAAACACAAATAACTACATTCAAAAACAATTATTCAAAATATCATAGTTTTCTTTCTCTCTCTCTCTCTTTTTTTTTGAGACAGAGTCCTGCTGTTTCACCCAGGCTGGAGTGTGTAATGGCGAGATCTCGGCTCACTGCAGCTACCACCTCCCAGGTTCAAGTGATTCTCCTGCCTCAGCCTCCCAAGTAGCTGGAATTACAGACGTGTGCTACCACACCCGGCTAATTTTTGTATTTTTAGTAGAGACAGGACTTCACCATGTTGGCCAGTCTGGTTTTGAACTCCTGACCTCAGGTGATCCTCCTGCCTTGGCCTTCCAAAGTGCTGGGATTACAGGTGTGAGCCACCATGCCAGGCCAAAATATCATAGTTTTCTTAGAATAAAGTATGTACTTAAAATATATTTTTATGTGCCACACTTGCAGGGAATTATTATATATACATATGTTACAAATCATTTGATGAGCAAAGCCATCGTATATAGAGTCTCTGATATTTTACTTGGTAACTAAGTTATTTGGAAACAAATCCAGATATACCAATAAAAATTCAGAAAGAAAATGCCTCATGGGGTTTTCTGACCCAGCCCTTTTACTCTTAAGCATTTGCTACATTCCAAGTAACATTCTCAAATTAGTTATAAAAAACAAGCAGATACTTCCAGTAATCAAAAGGGGACTTATACAAGAGTGACAAAAAATAGCATAATTTCTTCCCTTCCTCGTCCCCGTGCCCCAATACAGGCCTTTTGCTATTGATATAAATTATTTATCACTTTTAAGAATAAGGCCCTTAGTGTTGACCTTCCCACTTCTAATAAATGTGGTATTTTTAAAAGGGCATGCTTCATGTGGCTTAGAATAGCATCTGGAAGAATACAGCTAACAAATTGTTAACAGTAGCATTAGACTAAGTATTTGTGATGGGGCTAGAGAGGACTTTTACTTTCCTCATTTTTGCTTACCTGAATATATGCAATGAGCATGTGTTTCTTTTATCAATCAAAAAAATCAGTCGGGGCCGGCATGGTGGCTCATGCCTATAATCCCAGCACTATGGGAGGCCGGACAGGAGGATCACTTGAGCCCATGGGTTTGAGACCAGCCTAAGCAACACAGGGGATCCGAGGTATACAGAAAAGAAAAAATTAATAAACAAAAATAAATTAGCTGGGTATGGCGGTGGCACATGCCTGTGGCACATGCCTACTAAGGAGGCTGAGGTGGAAAGATTGGTTGGGCTGGGGAGGTTGAGGCTACAGTGAGCCGTGATTGTGCCATTGCACTCCAGCCTAGGTGACAGAGCAAGATATTGTCAAAAAATAAATAAATAAAAATAAAGATAATTTTTAGAAAGAAAAAACCCCAGCATGTACTTTGGATCTAGCATGGTGACTTATTTTCAGTCACTCAATCGAATATTAAGATTCTTAATGTTTTTCTTAATGTTTGAGCCTGAGCCTTAGTTTCCTTACTTACCTATAAAATAAGGTTAATACTTAATACACAGAGATGTCATGAGGAAAATGCTAACCACATGGTAAATACACAATCATTAAAGTTCCTTCTCTGAGCCTCAATTTCCTTGCCTGTAAAATGTGGAAGCTGGATTTGTTGTCTATGATTCTTTCTGGAGTTATAATATTGTGATTCCCTCCTTTTATATTCACAGAAAAAGGTTGCTAAATGAACTTAATGTCTTCATTTGTCTTCAGGTAGTTACTTTTCTTTTATTTCCTGAATAACCAGGAAGCCACAAACATATGAGCAGTGCCTCTGGAATGTCTGGGCTACTCCACCCTGGGCACCTGGGAAATGACAGGGTATTTCCACTCATTAGAATCTCCCTGATGAAGAGAGCTTTCCTTAGTGGGAAGAGGACCTAACTTCAGTTGTAATAAGCCAGTGTGTGCCACTAAAAATGTTATATACTCTCAATTTTGGGCTTTGAGTACTCCCAGCTTTCTCTTAATTGGTTTGCTTACCTATATTTGCAATCCAGGTACTCTGCTGAAACAGTTATGCAAGTGTTCCATAATTTATTATATACCAAGTGTATGTCATTGGTCAAAGTCCAATTAGATCATTATTAATTAGAAAGGGCTGCTTATTAGTAGAGTTTACAGAGTTGTCTCCTACACATCAGAAATGCTAATAATTGCCCATCTTTGATGGTACTAGGATGATAATTTTACAAGTCTGTCTTTGCTTTTATAAGATTGAAAAGTGGCTTGGATCATAGCAGTGGCAATACTCATCAGACTATAAAAAGGCAGAAACTTAAAAAGGGAGAGAACTACAAAATCAGGAAACATTGCCATTCCCAATTTCTCAAAATATGACATGTTTTTTATTTAATAAAAATTTTGTGTGGATACAGAATCACAGAGAGGAACACCCACATGACTTAGAATTCAAAGTATCTCATGTATGAGATTTCTTAATTTAAGCCTTTTCTGTGCCTGCTGAATACCAGTGGGTGAAGAATGCCTTCAATGCCATTTTGGCATTTCTAGCACCCTGTGTAGCTTGATAGGATTCTTTATCCTGACATGTTATAGTAGTCCCAGCTTTTCTTGTAGAAGAAAGTCCACTCTGCTTAACATTAATTTTAAGAGATATTATAGTAGAACTGAATATAAACAGACTTTTTTTGTTTCCATATGTATGATTAAGTTTCTCTATATACAAACTAGAGATAAAACAACTTGCTCCTTACTATATGTGGAAGGCTGGGGGAATTCTTTCTATGAGCAATAATGATAAATATTAACATTCTGTGAGTGTCTACTATTTCCCAGCCACCATGGTTGGCATTTTGTATTCCATTGTTTTATTTAATCCTAAGAAGACTCTGTAAGGTATTATCTACCTTTTTCCTTCCCCCTTCCCAACCCCTTTTTTTTTTTTTTAAAAAAAAGACTAGTCAAGTGCAGTAGATATATGCTTTTTTTTTTTTCAGATAAGGAAGCTGAAATTTAGGGAAGCTAAATAATTTACCATTTATGGTGCTGGTAAAAGTATGCCATGTCTGATTCCAGCACCTTGACTTTCATTACTTCTCTTTGATCTTCTAGGAGGAAGATGGAAATGTTCTGAAGTCTGGTGCATTGCCTAGAAGTCCTTCAGCAACTGAAACCTCACTTCTGTCACTCTTTCTCCTCGTTTTCCCTTATCTCTTATGCTCTGGTGATACGAACCTACTTGCAATTCCCTTAAAGTCCTGTTCTCTCAAGTCTCTGGACTTTTGTTGGGATTGCTTCTTAGCTTAAAATTTCTTTATCCCAATAGCATCAGACTAGCTGTTCTAATCCTTTCAAGTTTCAGTTTAAACTACTCTGCCATGTTTCCACTACTCTTGACATACTCCATTACAGCAAGGATCTTTCTGTGTCATCACCTAAATCGAGCAACTTGAGGGAGTCTTTTTGTTTCTTCATTATTGTATTTCCAGGACCTTTCAAAATATCTATTTCACAGTATCAATTAAATGTTTATAGAATGAATGTATGAAAGAATGCATAAATGACTTGCTATTCGTGCAAAAAAAACTCATTAGGGATCTGTGGAGGGTCCTATCTTATTTTATTCCTTAACAGCCTAAAAGTTATCAGAAGTGAAAACTTTTCATCCTCTCATAAGAAAGCTTTCCAACATATCCTCATTTTGAATAGCATACCTGGAACACAGTGGTAGCTTGACACATATTTGTTGAATTGATGAAGAGCTTGAAAAACGAATATAACGTCTTTATTATATAATGCCTATTCTTTCCAGACTCACTTTGTGTCCCGCCTACTTTATCCTCTAATAATGAGTAACAGTATGTAATTTTCATTCATGCATCAAATACTTATTTATCCACTATTATGTGCCGGCACATTGGTGCACTGTTTCAAGTAGGCTCCTTCTTTTCCTTGCTATCCGTGTTTGTGGAAATTCATGAAACCATTCAGCGAATACCATATTTATTGTGGTTTTCCTATCTTCCTTCATTCAGTTCAGTTACTTCTCCCAGACCATCCCTGACCCCTTGGGCAGCTAGTGCCTGCCTCTATCTTAGCCCTGATTACATCAATTTCATGTTTGTCACTCCCTACCCTCATTTCTAACCCACAATACCGTTATGATCTCAGAAGGCAGGAATTGAAGTTTGGTTCAGTTATGTGTCCCCAGGGCCCAGCAAAAACCTAGGACACGGCCAAACTGTCTATATAAGTATTGAGATGAATAACTGCTACTTTTTCTTTCTTTCTTTCTTTTTTTTTTTTTTTTTGGAGAGACAGTTTCACTCTTGTTGCCCAGGCTGGACTGCAATGGCGCGATCTTGGCTCACCGCAACCTCCGCCTCCCGGGTTCAAGTGATTCTCCTGCCTCAGCCTCCCAAGTAGCTGGGATTACAGGCATGCGCCACCACGCCCGGCTAATTATGTATTTTTAGTAGAGACGGGGTTTCTCCATGTTGGTCAGGCTGGTCTCAAACTCCCGACCTCAGGTGATCCGCCTGCCTCGGCCCCCCCAAAGTGCTGGGATTACAGGCGTGAGCCACCGCGCCCGGCCTAATTGCTACTCTTTATTGAACAACATGGATTAACATTTTGAAGTCTCACCACATCAAGTGAATTAACTATTATTAACATGTCATCCATGAGAAAAAAGAGGCTTGAAAAAGTTTAGAAACTTGCTTAAGGTCACACAGTGGTGGAGCCTGTTATTGCAGGAATCTGAAGAATGAAGTCACCTTTGATTCTAAATGAGTAAGTCTCCTTCTCACTATTTTTTCTTAAAGTTTTCATTTAGCCCTTGCAAAGTCTTCCTTCTTTAGACCAATGACTCCTCATCTTGATATTGTAAGTGGGGGAAATACCCTCTTTTTTCACTTTGGAAATTATTCAATCTCTCTTTGGAAGAAACATGATTTTAAACTTTCTGGACGCTCCTTCTGTGGAAGAATCCGCGCAGGAGCCCTGGGGGCACATAATAGGTTCAGTGAGAAAGACTGTCATTCGAAATGGAATGCGGGAACTAAGATTTTTTTTTTCCGGGAAGAAAACATAACGAATTTAGCAGAGGGGAGAATGGTCCTTCTGTTAGGTGCACAAATCCTAAGACTTCAGGGAGTTTGGCGGCTCACACTTAAGGTAGCTGCGGGTGACTGTGTTGCCCACAGCTAAGATGGCTGCTAATGACCATCTCCTTTGGCTGGGTCTGTTCTTTTGCTCGCTAGTATTTTCATCGAGAATTAAACAGAATAAAATTTAGTAAAAGTTGGCACCCCCTTGCTAAGTAGATAAAATAAGAAGGTGGCACTGTTTGTTTGAAAAACCTTCTACGGCGCAAATTGTTCTTGCCCTTAACCAAAATGGTCGTTAAGGTTGTCCCGAGGTTTGAAGCTTCCAGCCCTTAACTAAGATGGCGCCTGGAGGCCCGTTAAAAATTACCTTGCCCTTTTTTCTGCCCTCTACCAACACGGCTTCCGTGGCGTCGTTCACGTGACATTCCTGGACTACGGCGCGGGAGAGGGGGTAGGAGGGCCCTTGAAGGGTGCGCGTTCCCGTGGCGGTGCACCGGGTAGGTTTCAGTCAGAGTCACTATGGCGGCCGGCGCTGGCAAGGTAAGCTGAGGCGGTGGTGGCGGCTAGGGAGGTAGGACCCGTCGTGGCGTCCTGGCTCCAAATCCTCGTAGCCTGCTTGCGGAGAGGTCGGCGGAGGTCGTGCCTAGCGGTGTGGGCTGGCGGGGGTCTGGCTGGAGGGGGCGACGGCTGAGGCGGGCGGGCTGAGGCGCCTGACGGCCGTTTGTTTTGATGTTTTCCCCACCAGGTCGGAAAGTTTCCTGCCTCGTCGGGCGCAGCTTGAGCTTGCCCCATCGGCCGCGATCGGTGGAGGCTGCGGCGGATCCAGCCCGGGGCCTCAAGGCCTCTCCCCAACCTCCGGGCCAGTCTCCCTCCCCCACCTTCTCGTCCGCCGGGAGCTGCGGCTGCCGTCCCTGAGATGCGACCCTCGCGGGGGCGACCCTGAGGGGAGGCGGCCCATGTGCTGAGCGGCGGCCCAGAAGCCTAGGCGTCCGGGGACCAACTTCCTGCCGCCTGGGAACTCGAGCCTCCCGGTGTCGCGCCTCGCTCGGTCCGCACCGGCCTGCGGAGCCGGGTCCCCGCCCTGGTCGCGGGGACGCTCGCCAGGTGCCCAGGAGTCCCGACTTGGCCACTGCCCGCGCCCCGCCGGCCTCCACGCCTCGCGCGGAGAACCTCAGCCACCGCCGTCTCGGATCGTGCCAGGCCGGGGACCGCGTCCCCCTTCCCGGGGCGGCCTCCGCTCAGCAGGGGCGATGCAGACTGTCCCGCCGGCCGTCTAGAGCCCCTCCGTCTCCGTCACCTCTCGCCCCTTCACTCCGGGCGAGGACTGGCGGTGGCTGCCCAGAGGTGCCCAGCCACACCTTCCTTCGGCCCAAAAGGACTTTCCTGGCCGCGCCGAACCGACCCTTCATTCATGCTGCAGTGCTGCAACGTTTCCGCCACCAAGGGGGAAAAGCGGCCGCGATCTCAAACCAAACACAAGAATTGGCGTGTGACTCATCTGCTTGGATACCTCCAGTCCCCAAACTGTGTTCCAGGAGTTTTCTTGGCCGAAGCTGCCCGATGTTTGAGCCTTTTCTTCCCAGAGAAGAAGATGGACTGAAAGCTGCCAGTTGGGGACTTTTTGTGATCACGGCGTTGCAGCGTTTTAAAGGAGGTGATGGGGCTTGCGCTGGCTTGTCTTCCCACCCAAGTGAAGAGTTGATGTTCACTGGTTATGCTTAGACAATGTGCAGTTTGTGTTAATTTAAAATTTTGGGTGGGATAGGGGCATAGGCTTGTGAAGGGCAGTCCGGATCCGGAGGAACTCCTCTTTGTCCCTGGTAGGAGAGACACCCCCAGTCTATCCTCGATGCCGTCAGCCTTGGCCATCTTCACTTGCCGCCCGAACTCGCACCCGTTTCAGGAGCGTCATGTCTACCTGGACGAGCCCATCAAAATCGGCCGCTCAGTGGCCCGCTGTCGACCAGCGCAGAATAATGCCACTTTTGATTGCAAAGTGCTATCAAGGAACCACGCTCTCGTCTGGTTTGATCACAAGACGGGCAAGGTAATGTCACCACATTGTCCAGCGGCATTGTTTAACAAACTTTTTTTCCCCTTTTGCCCTCCCTGAGAGGACTAATGTATGCAGGATCCCAGGGTTTGCATCCAGAGGAGGCTTTGCGCAAAGCCACGAATCAACTGTTTGTGTGCCTGGTTCTAGTGGAAATTTGATTGAGGTGGTTGAATGGAAAACAGAGAAGGTATTGTAATTAAAAGCCTCAGGAGGGCTATGGCATCTTGATAACGTGGTCATTCCCAGTGAAATCCCAAACTAGATAGTGAAACTTGGCGTCTTGCTTTTAGTCTGTTTAGAAAGGTGAATTCACAGTTCAGCGCTTTATTAAGCAAGCAGCAGTTCTCGAAGCAATTCGGGGAATCCGTGGCCATTATTATCCCGGGGCTCAAGTGTCTTAGTGGTGAAATGTAGTTAACACATAGCTTTAGGTGAGTTCAGATCAGGACCTTTCTAGTAAGGATAATTGCTGATATAAACCTAAGATTTTTGAAAGGTTTGATACATACTTGCCCTTGGAGGAGTAATTTGCAATAATCAAAGCTAATTTAATTAAGCATGAACAACTGTAACTTTATATATTTTCAGAGTTTTTTTTACAAGTTGGAGAACATACACATATTGCGTTTGAAAATCACTTTTTGATGTTCCCTGCAGCACTTATTAAGTACTTAATGCATACTTACAGAGGTGCTATTCAAAAGTTAGTGTTAGGAAATAAACTTACTTTCTGAAATTATACCCTATTCTGTCAATTATAGCATTACTTAAATGTGATACGATGAATTCAGTGCTTTTCATTTTAAGCGTAACCAATTTAGTATTTTTATGTTAGTATCGTAAGTTACTATACATGTATGTGCTTTTATTTTAAGAAGTGAAGAAAGAAATTAAGATCCTTTCCATTTTTAAAAACTGTTTATTTATGTTTGTGGAGAGTATACTAAAGAGCTCATCTTTGTGCCTAAACCTCAGGTTTTTAGCTGAGCTACTGAATCAGTTCCAACTTTAAGTTATGTAAGACTAATAGGACTGTCTCAGGTTTCACCTCCTGACTTTTTGCCCCTCTTTCTGAGTTAAATAATTAAATCTTTCTTAAAGGAAGAACTTAAGTCTTCAAGAATATGTTTTGAAATGAAAGAAACCTGAGCCTCAAAAGGAAGAGAAAAAAATGATACTTCGGCAGCTACTGATTTAAGGAATTATTTTGTAAATTATTTTTTAAAGAAAGGAGGAAAAGATTGTCCAAGTGCTGTGTGCTGCATAATATCTATACTTTACGTGTAGGATGAGAACTGAAGAGTATGTTAACTTTTCTGTTTAACACCAGATCCTCATTTACCTGTGGAACAGACCCTTCACTCGCTCCTCGCAAGCTGAAGTTAGGGTGCCTAAAATACTTCATAGATTACTCGTAATCCTTTTTTTTTTTTTTTGAGACAGATTTTTGCTCCTGTCACCCAGGCTGGAGTGCAGTGGCGCTATCTCAGATCACTGCAACCTCTGCCTCCCGGGTTCAAGTGATTCTCCTGCCTCAGCCTCCAAAGTAGCTGGTATTACAGGCACACGCCACCATGCCTGGTTAATTTTGTATTTTTAGTAGAGACAGGGTTTCACCATGTTGGCCAGGCGGTCTTGAACTCCTGACCTCAGTTGATCCACCTGCCTCAACCTCCCAAAGTGCTGGGATTACAGGCGTGAGCCACTGCACCTGGCCCTCATAATTCTTTAAAATGAATATTCATAGAACTCATTTTTCCAGCAGTTGAATTCAAACATCAGTTTACTACTAAGTAGTGCCTTAACTCAACCAGCTTTTACATTTTCACCATTTTATGTTCTTGGGCAACAGGTCTAAACTAATCAGACAACAGGTTGGCTCACAGTACATACTCTGCGAATGCACTTTCTTTGATGAAACACTCGAAGGGGACTCCCATTTTTTGTTTTACTTATTTGAAAAATACTGATTTCATGCCCAGTGCTTTCCATGGCTGTACTAAAACTCTCACAATAGGTTATTTTGAGATAACTAAGAATAGGTCAGTAGTGACTGTTTCATGAATTGAGATGACATGTTAATATTTGTTTTTTTTCTTTGAGATGGAGTCTCGCTCTGTGGCCAGGCTAGAGTGCAGTGGCGCAACCTCAGCTCACTGCAACGTCTGCCTCCTGGGTTCAAGCGATTCTTGTGTCTTAGCCTCCTGAGTAGCTGGGATCACAGGCGCATGCCACCATGCCCAGCTAATTTTTATATTCTTCGTAGATACTGGGTTTCACCATGTTGGCCAGGGTGGTCTTGAACGCCTGACCTCAAGTGATCCACCCTCCTCGGCCTCCCAAAGTGCTGGAATTACAGGCATAAGCCACCACACCCGGCCATGAAATTAGTTCTTCAGAAAAACTTATCTTTGAATGGTAGATATGGCTTATTTCTACCATTTTCACTTTTTTCCTCCTGCTTTATTAGCTAAAATAACACGCAGGCTATGAGACCACTACTTTAGATATAGATGTAATTATTGATTATTATACCACTTAATCTAGTTATAGCGGATGCTCTGTCAGATCTTACCATGTCATTGAATTGTTTTAGGAATTAACTATTTAAAGTTTTGGTTTGGACAGATAGTAGGTTTTAATTGAGCATCTATTATGTGCCAGACACTGTGAGGGATACAGTTCCAAAGAAAACCCACAGTGCGACCAAATAGTTCTCGTATGAAATTTGCAGTGTCTGTAGTCCCACCTACTCGGGATGCTGAGGCACGAGGGTTGCTTGAGCCCAGGAGTTTGAGGTTGCAGTGCTGTGATTATGCCACTGCACTCCAGCCTGGGTATCAAAGCAAGACCCTGTCTCTTAAAAAAAAAAAAAGAATCCCTTCAGAGAAGGAGTTTCGTTCTTGTTGCCCAGGCTGGAGTGCAATGGCGCGATCTTGGCTCACCACATCCTCTCCCTCCTGGGTTCAAGTGATTCTCCTGCCTCAGCTTCCCGAGTAGCTGGGACTACAGGCATGCGCCACCACGCGTGGCTAATTTTGAGTTTTTAGTAGAGACAGGGTTTCTCCATGTTGGTCAGGCTGGTCTTGAACTCCCAACCTCAGGTGATCCACCCACCTCAGCCTCCCAAAGTGCTGGGATTACAGGCATGAGCCACCGCGCCCGGCCAGGTTTTTTTTTTTTTTTAAACATCTGGGGATGATAATGGTACCTATTATTGTTTTGAGAATTGAGGTAATTATATAAATCACTTAGCACCCTGTCCCTGGCTCTTACTAAGCACCCAATACTCAGCAGAGAGGGTGTTTAGTGGGGAAGAGGGAACTATTTAGACAACACTGTGCAATTTGCTATAGTGCTATGGAGTCTTAGGAAGGTGATGAGAAATTATTTTCTTTAATGTGATGGCATATATAGAATAAATTTTGTTTTTGTTTTTGTTTTTTGTTTTTTTGAGACGGAGTCTGGCTCTGTCACCCAGGCTGGAGTGCAGTGGTGCGATCTCAGCTCACTGCAACCTATACCTTCTGGATTCAAGAGATTCTCCTACCTCAGCTTCTCAAGTAGCTGAGATTACAGGCATTCATCACCATGCCTGGCTAATTTTTGTATTTTTAGTGGAGACAGGGTTTCACCATGTTGGCCAGGCTGGTCTCAAACTCCTGACCTCAGGTGATCCACTTGCCTCGGCCTCCCAAAGTGCTAGGATTACAGGCATGAGCCACTGTGCTTGGCCAGAAGAAATTTTTAAAATTGAAACTGATGTAGTTGATAACTTTGTCTAAATTGGCAGTTTACCTGGGCGGTCGACAATTGGGGTAATATGTGCTTTGGGTGACTTTCACTTTGTGGTGACTGTTGCATTCTGCATTGTCCATTATGGGAGGCTCATTAAAAGTTGGAAGAAGGCCGGGCGCGGTGGCTCACGCCTGTAATCCCAGCACTTTGGGAGGCCGAGGCGGGTGGATCATGAGGTCAGGAGATCGAGACCATCCTGGCTAACAAGGTGAAACCCCGTCTCTACTAAAAATACAAAAAATTAGCCGGGCGCGGTGGCGGGCGCCTGTAGTCCCAGCTACTCGGGAGGCTGAGGCAGGAGAATGGCGTGAACCCGGGAAGCGGAGCTTGCAGTGAGCCGAGATTGCGCCACTGCAGTCCGCAGTCCGGCCTGGGCGACAGAGCGAGACTCCGTCTCAAAAAAAAAAAAAAAAAAAAAGTTGGAAGAAATAGGCCAGGCTTGGTGGCTCATGCCTGTAATCCAGCACTTGGGGAGGCTGAGGCAGACGGATCACGAGGTTAGGAGATCGAGATCATCCTGGCTAACACGGTGAAACCCTGTCTCTACGAAAAATACAAAAAATTAGCTGGGCATGGTGGCATGTGCCTGCAATCCCAGCTACTCGGGAAGGCTGAGGCAGGAGAATTGCTTGAACCCGGGAGGCGGAGGTTGCAGTGAGCTGAGATCGCGCCACTGCACTCCAGCCTGGGTGACAATGTGAGACTCTGTCTCAAAAAAAAAAAAAAAGTTGGAAGAAATAATAAACACTTGAAACTTTATGATTATTCAAATGATACATGTTCATTTTAGAATATCTGCAAAATGTAGGCAGGTGGAAATCTAAGTGACACTTTTTAATGCTAAGCTCATGGAATATCTTATTGTATAATACTTAAATCTGCATGTTGAAGGGTGACAGGTTTGGCACAAAGCAGAGTTTCATAATCTTTACCAAATCATCTTCTCAGTAATGTAGCAGTTGGATATTGCCTTGTTGGATGCTGGCCCTGTGTATTATCCTTCATCCTTTTCGGAAGTCAAGCTCTTCAAATTAGATGGCAGATAGTAGAATGGTTTTTTTTTTTTTTTTTTTTTTTGAGCCGGAGTCTTGCCCTGTCTCCCAGGCTGGAGTGCAGTGGCGCAATCTCGGCTCACTGCAACCTCTCCCTCCTGGGTTCAAGTGATTCTTCTGCCTCAGCTTCCCAAGTAGCTGGGATTACAGGCATGAGCCACCATGCCCAGATGCCTGGCTAATTTTTTGTATTTTTAGTAGAGACAGGGTTTCACCATTTGGCCACGCTGGTCATGAACTCCTGACCTCAGGTGATCTGCCTGCCTCGGCCTCCCAAAGTGCTAGGATTACAAGTGTGAGCCACGGTGCCCAGCCTAGAATGGTTATTAATTCCTCTGTTGATTCAAGGCACCACTGAGCAAGCAGATCTACCCATATAGTGGTTACATAGAAAGGATAGTGAGTGAACTCTTGTGATTTGGATGGCCCTATTTGATTTGAGGCTTTGGGGTACCGGTGACATGCTAGTGGTTGACATAGTAGTCTATTTCCAGTTTCACTGAAGTTTACTTACTAGTGGTAGTAGTTGTCTACTTCTAGTCTCACGTTTAATTTAAACTTAGTGCATCTTTTTTTTTTTTTTTGAGATGGAGTCTCGCTCTGTCACTCAGGCTGGAGTGCAATGGTGTGATCTCGGCTCACTGCAACCTCTGCCTCCTGGGTTCAAGCAATTCTCTTGTCTCAGCTTCCTGAGTAGCTGGGATTATAGGCACACACTACCACGCCCAGCTACTGTTTTTTATTTTAGTAGAAACGGGGTTTCACCATGTTGCACAAGCTGGTCTCGAACTCCTGAGCTTAGGCAATCCACCCGCCCCGGCCTCCTAAAGAGTTAGGATTACAGGTGTGAGCCACCGCGCCCGGCCTAGTGCATCTTTTTGAGCACCTGTTCTATCATGATTTGTTTTAGTGAAGGGCATAGTGGTAAAGGGGGAGAAAATGACAAACTGATGAGGATTTGTTATTTCTTCTTTCTAGGAACTTTTACATTGGATAGAGAGGGTGACAGTGCACTTTGAAAATAGTTGAGATAGGTGATATTATGTAAGTTTCAATGGCAAAAGAATAATGACATTTGACTTTAAAATTAGGGGTGGATAGATAAGAAAAGGTGTTTTTTTGGTTATTTTTATTTTTTTTGTGGGGATGAGGATGGAATAAAAAGCAGATAATTTTGAATGAGCTTTGCATTTTCCAAATGCTGAGGAAACTGACTTTGTTGGATTAGAGAGTTCTTTGAAGAGTAGCCAAGGGTGCACATCTATTCTGTGTGATGTTCTTGTTTGTGCCTTGTCTTTGTAATTAATTTTCACACTCTGGAAGACAGGAACGTTTTCCTACTATCTTGTATAAAGTAGTTGTTGAATAAATGAAGCTGACTAGATAGTGTGGTGCCAGGTTGTGAAGTGCCTTGCTTACCAAGCTTAGGATGTGGACCCTTGGGTTATGGAAGGCCTACGAGAGTTCTGAGCAGAGCACTGACATACCAAACCCCTGTTTAAGAAAGAGTGGGCCGGGTGCGGTGGCTCACACCTGTAATCCCAGCACTTTGGGAGGCCGAGATGGGTGGATCACCTGAGGTCAGGAGTTTGAGACCAGCCTGGCCAACATGGTGAAACCCCACCTCTACGAAAAATACAAAAATTAACCAAGTGTGGTGGCATGAACCTGAAATCCCAGCTACTTGTGAGGCTGAGGCAGGATAATCACTTGAACCCAGGAAGCGGAGGTTGCAGTGAGCAGAGATCCCATCTTTGCACTCCAACATGGGCAACAGAGGGAGACTGCATCTCAAAAAAAAAAAGAAAAGAAAAGAAAGAAAGAGTGATACAATAGTGATACAATAGCAGTATGTAGAGTTGCCTGGAGCAAGGAAAAATGGGTAACAGCTTAAATAACACTTTTGTACTAACTATATACTGGGCCCTATTCTAAATGCTTTACTTGTTAACTTATTTAATCTTCAAGTAACTCTTTGAGGTGCTTGTTTTTTCTGCATTGACCTGTGAGGAAATTGAGGCACAGAGAGATCTTGGTCAAGTTCACCTAGCTATTAAATGGTAGAATTGAGATTTAAACTCAAGCTCATAACCACTGTGCTATTCTAAAGGCTTTATAACACTTTAGATATGATGTGATTTTGTGAGGGCATAGACCAGGTTAACAGTAGGAATGAAAATGATTAAATGCCAGAAAATGAAAAAAGATAAGAGTATTAAATTAACTTGCACATTAGGACTTCGGCAAAGCGCAAGGTCCTGTGTGAACTGAAGACTTTAGGGAAAGTTTAATGGATGAAACAGTTTCATGGATGAAATCCAATTTAAACTAGACCTTAGGACTTTTAAAAAGAGGAAGAATGGCCAGGAACAGTGGCAAATGCCTGTAATATCAGCTACTTGGGAGGCTGAGTCTGGAAGATTGCTTGAGGCCAGGAGTTTGAGGCTGTAGTATGCCAAAATTGCACCTGTGAAAATCCACTGCACTGCAGCCTTTGCATCATAGCAATAATTTGTCTCTAAAAAACAAAAAGTTCAAAAACTTGTATTTGCCAGGGGTGCATCAGGTCTGTAGCCCCACCTATTTGGGAGGATGAAACAGGAGGATCACTTAGGCCAGGAGTTCAAGGCTATAGTGCACTATGATTGCTCTAGCCTGGGTGACATAGTGAGACCCATCTTAAAAAAAAATATGGGGTTAAGGGATAGATTGTAGTTAGGGTCAGTCAGGGAAAGGAGTTTTGGGTGGGAGGAAGAAGCAGGGATGATACGGCATGTTCCAAGGACATTGTAAGGAAGACATTGTGAAGAGCCTGCTGAATTTGACAACCAAGATTGTTTCTTCTTTTTTCCTCCACACATCTAAACATGACCACAAAGATCCTAGCCTCAGCTTTTGGGAGAATGGCAGGTCATACATTCTTTTACTTTTTATTTGTTTGTATGTTTGTTTTAACAGATACTTAAGTTTTTTGTTGACAGAAGTATAAAGATCATTAAGGGGTGCTGGTGTTTGTGAGAAAGTCTTTTACTTGACAAGTTGTATTTAAGACACATAATGTGAACATGTATAGGAAGCCAGATTATATCTTTAAAGCACATGTTCATTTCCCTCTATATTATTTTTCATAATAGTGGGAAATTGATAAAATATTTTATCTGTGATTTCAAATTGTTAAAAATATCGACAGTGTATATACTTAAAGCATTTTTTTTCCCACTTAGTTCTTTGACATTACTCCTTAGGTTAAATTCACTCTTTGCCCTTTTAGGCTTCTGTCTGATTTTCTTTCTTTTTTTTTTTTTTTTGAGACGGAGTCTTGCTCTGTTGCCCAGGCTGGAATACAGTGGCGCGATCTCGGCTCATTGTAAGCTCCGCCTCCCGGGTTCACGCCATTCTCCTGTCTCAGCCTCCTGAGTAGCTGGGACTACAGGCGCCTACCACCACACCCGGCTAATTTTTTTTTTTTTTTTTTTTTTTTGTATTTTTAGTAGAGACAGGGTTTCACCGTGTTAGCCAGGATGGTCTCGATTTCCTGACCTCGTGATCCGCCTGCCTCAGCCTCCCAAAGTGCTGGGATTACAGGCGTGAGCCACCACACCCAGTCTACCTGTCTGGTTTTCTTAAGTGATATTTCTGCTAGAGCTTAGTATTTATTCTTTTTGGTAAGTAGGGAAGAGAATGTCATTTAGAGTTTTAAGTGAAAAGATTGTGAAGTTAACTCTTAATATATGTCAGTTACTTCATAGTTACTTGAATCAAGAAAAATGGTGGCATTTATTAGCGGCTGAAACGTTCTAAGTTTACAGTCCAGACTCTTTCCTCTTCTCAGGTACATGCTTCTCTTACTGACACTATATAGGTAGATAAATAGTTACACCTTTGCTTAAAAATCTTTGACGTTGCCTCATTAATTTTTAGCATTAAAATCTATATCTTATTTTCTTTTTTTCTAGCTCTCTCTTTTATTACTGTTTTTTCTTCACCCCAAACTTTGTGTACTAGCTGTATGACAGTGTTCACTGTTTCTAGAACAAGTGCCTTTTTTTGCTGTTTTGTCTTCTAGAATGACCTCTTCTTGTCATCCCTTAAGGCTCAGTTCCAATGTGAAACCTTCCCTGACTCCCTTTAACTGAAGAATTAATTGCTTCTTCCTCTATACTTCCATTTAACTTTGTGTATAATTTCTTTATTTCTTTTTTTTAAATTTATTTTTATTTTTATTTTTGAGACAGGGTCCCTCTCTGTCACCCAGGCTAGAGTGTAGTGGTGTGATCTTGGCTTACTGCAGCCTCCACCTCATGGGTTCAAGCAGTTCTCCTGCCTCAGCCTCTCAAGTAGCTGGGATGACAGGCACCCCCCAGCACACCTGGCTAATTTTTGTATTTTTAGTAGAGATGGGATTTCACCATGTTGCCCAGGCTGATCTCGAACTCCTGGCCTCAAGCAATCCACCTGCCTCAGCCTCCCAAAGTGCTGGGATTACAGGTGTGAGCCACTGCACCCGGCCTGTATATAATTTCATTATGGGACATAAACAACAAAATAACTATGATGCAAATGTACTACTGTCCCATCAGATGTGAACTCTTGAGAGCAAGAGAATAGGCACTACATTCATGTTTGAATGAGGGAAATGTGAACAATGGAGCGGTTTGTATTTCTGCAAACCTGTGCAGTGTTAAAGGGCAGAAAGTCATTCAAGTTAGTTCTCAATTTGAGATCATGGACTCAATTATCAATATGTAGTCTTTGTATAAGTCATTATTTATTGAGAGCTTGCAGTTTGCAAAACATTTTGCTAAGTGTTTTTGGATCGTAGATCCAAATCTTGTGATTGGTGATATGAAATTATATATATGAACTATTACAATTTCACACAAAATAATTTTAAAAGGTTTTAGAATAATCAGAGTGCTTTCTTGTTTCATTTGGTCTATATAACACTCTTAGAAGGTAAGTAAAACAGCTGCAGTCTGGCTCGCTTTTGTCCAAAAAGAGTTTGATGTTTAGAGGTTATTTGTACAAGATCATCTAGTGGTAACTATGGGAGTTTTTTTCCCCCCAAAATGAAAGCCAACTATTAGACATTTATTCTGAACTGTCTTCTTAGGGACTGAGCAATTATTATGAAAATCTGTCTTTTGCTCTCTTGAAAGGTAATCTAAGCTATTGCTTTTTGATGTATAACCGAAACTTGTCATATTACGGACTTTCAAAGACTGAAATAACTCAAGTTAATTATTTCTCTGAGTCAGCTAACATTTTTAAAAACTTACCTCTACTACTCCTAGAAATACAATATTTTTTCTTGGGCTTGCATTCAGGCAAACTGATTTGGCTTTGGGTATATATGAAAATGAATGAAACAGCCTTGGAAAAACTTGTTTGGCCATGTACATTTTTCATGCTTTATAAGAGAGTAGCTGACAAATGTAAAGAAAAGAAGGAAAGCTTATATAGGCACTTGAAAATATGGACGTGTTTGGTGGTTAGTACTGTATCTTTTGTCAAGTATACAATTTGGGTTGGATTTTAAATTTAAGCACATAGAAACTGTGTGTTAAGATTTTCTCAATATTTTCAGGCTTACAGTTTTATTTATATATAAGTACTGACTTATTCTAGCTGAGCCAAGCAGAAAGGATTTTCCAATATAGACTTTCAAGCTTTTCTTATTTTTTACTTATACAAATAACAGGAATACATTCTCATAAAAAGTCAAGCAGGCCAGGTGTGGTGGCTCACACCTGTAATCCTAGCACTTTGGGAGGCTGAGGCAGGAAGATTGCTTGAGGCCAGGATTTCAAGTTCAGCCTGGGCAACTGTTTATATGAAATGTGTAGAATAGGTAAATTCATAGAAACAAAGATTGGTGGTTTCTAGGGGCTGAGGGTAATTAGGAATGTGATGGTTAATTTTATGTCAGTGTGGCTAGGCTGTGGTATCAGTTTTTCACTTGACCAACTTTTGGTCAAACACCAACCTGATATTCCTGTGAAAGTATTTCTTAGATGTGACTAACATTTATACCATTATACTTTGAGTAAAGCATATTACCCTCCATAATGTGGGTGGGCCTCTCTAATCAGTCGAAGGCCTTAAAAAAAAAGACTGAGGTCCCCCTGAAGTTAGGAATTTTGCCCTCACAAAGCTGTTGGACTCAAGACTACACAACAGCTCTTCCCTGAATCCCTAGTCTAATGATATGCCCCGCCAATTTCATACTTGCCAGCACCCCCCACCCCAGTTGCGTGAGCCAATTCCATTAGATAAATCTCTCTATATAAATGTACATGCAATCGGTTCTGTTTTTCTAGAGCCTTGACTAACATAGGATATGACTGCCAAATTGGTACGAGTTTCTTTTTGGGATGATGAAAATGTAAAATTGATTGTGGCGATGGTTGCACAACTCTGAATTGTATACTTAAATTGGCAATTGTATGGTGTTTGAATTATATCTCCAAAAAGGATTTTCATTTTATTTTATTTTTTTTTTGAGATGGAGTCTTGCTCTGTTGCCCAGGCTGGAGTGCAGTGGCGCGATCTTGGCTCACTGCAAGCTCTGCCTCCTGGGTTCACGCCATTCTCCTGCCTCAGCCTCCTGAGTAGCTGGGACTACAGGGCGCCTGTCACCACGCCCAGCCAGTTTCTTGTATTTTTAGTAGAGATGGGGTTTCACCGTGTTAGCCAGGATGGTCTCGATCTCCTGACCTCGTGATCCGCCCGCCTTGGCCTCCCAAAGTGCTGGGATTACAGGCATGAGCCACCGCGCCCGGCTGGATTTTTTTTTTTAAGACACAAGGTCTCACTATGTTGCCCGGCTGGTCTCAAATTCCTGGGCTCAAGCAACCCTCCCACCTCAGGCTCCCAAAGTGTTAGGATTACAGGGTGAGCTACCGCACCTAGGCCCAAAAAGGAATGTTAGATGAAGTAATAGCTTAGTGAAAGCAGCTTGGGATATAGGAAGTAGAAGACAGTGAGTGAGTATTCAAGGTAGGTAGGATTAACAGAGCAACTTTTGAAGTACCATATAGTTTGATTTTTCTCTCTGCTTCCTTATTGTGAATGTCTTACTCTTGGTTGGACCTTTGTTTTAACAAATGTAGTATATAGATAGTACGTTTCCAATCTTGAAATATTTGTTTCTAGGCACAATTTTGGTGTTATTGAGAAGTTGTAGTGCCAGAGTATTAATGTGAGAATTGAGAGAAATGGTTAAGATATAGTTTAAAAGTCTCGATCTGCACCTCAATCAGTTCAGCATAAGATTGATTTTACTTACCAAGGAATCTTTGATGTATGCAGGCACATACATAGAAGCAGTAAAGTATTGTTAGGATGAACTGTACTAGTTTGATTAGAAGACAGTATTCATTTAAATTGTAGCTGAACCCAAACTGGGGCCATTATGCATTCTTAGTCTTTAGTATCTGAGTGTCTCATTCTTGCAGTGCGGTGTGGTGTCCAGCACATAATCCTGGAAAAATATAATTACGATACAAATAAGTCAAACAATAGTAGCATCTGTGAATCATTGTTTCCAGGGAGCTAAGAGAGTGATGTATTCCTTCCCCCAGGATTGGGGGCAGAAAATGTGGGAGCAAAGAAGAGAGCTTCACAGAGAAAGTTGTTTTTAAGCCACTGTTTGAAGAGTGAGTAGGGCTTTGCTAGCTGGATAAAAAAGAGCAATGCATTCTAGCTGGAAGCATATGTTTAAGGCAGAAAAGCCTGAAAGAGAGTGATGTATTCTGGGAATGCAAACCCAGAAGTTGACAAAATTGGGGGGAAGAAAATAGAGCTGCTGTCAGTTCTTTGGGGGTAGTCGAGAACTGAAGGCAGATGCCTTAAGGGAGGCAGTGTAGTCAAAGATTTTGGAGTTGGACTACTGGTATTGGAATCCTGGCTCCATTGCTTGCCAGATATGTGACCTTGGGGAGTCTCTGTGTTTTCAGTTTTCCTCATATGTAAAAGGAGGCTAATAATCGTATTTACTTCATGGGACTTTTGTAAACATTTGATGAGAATTGTAAAGCACTTAGCAGAATACCTGGCACAGGATAGGCAGTCAATAGCTTGTGGCTGTTAGAATTTTTCTTTCTTTTTTGGTTGGTGTGTTTGTATAGTAATACCAGTTGAATATCCCTTATCAAAAATGCCTGAGATCAGAAGTTTTTTGGATTCCAGATTTTTTAGGATTTTGGAATATTTGCATTATACTTACACTTACCAGTTGAACATTCCTAATTCAAAAATCTGTAATCAATTTGCTCCAAAATTCAGAACTTTTTGAGTACTGACATAGTACTCAAAGGAAATGCTCATTGGAACCTTTCAGATTTCAGATTTCAAATTTTCAGATTTGGGTTGCTCAACCTGTATTACTTACGCAAACTCCTCTCCTGTATGCTGCTCCTGCTCCTCCCTCTGCTCTCCCCTCCCCTCCCCTCCCCTCCCCTCCCCTCCCCTCTCCTCTCCTCCCTTCTCTTTCTCCTCCTCCTCCTCCTTTGAGAGAGAGAGAGAGAGAGAGAGGGAGAGAGACTTACTCTGTCACCCAAGCTGGAGTGCAATGGTGGATCACAGCTCACTACGGCCTCAACCCAACCCTGCCTAGGCTCAAGCAATCCCCCGTCCTCAGCCTCCCGAGTATATGGGACCACAGGTGTATGCCACCATGCCTAGCTAACTTTAAAATTTTTTATAGAGATGGAATCTCGCCATGTTGCCCAGGCTGGTCTCAAACTCCTGAGCTCAAGTAATCCCCCTGCCTTGCCTTCCCAAAGTGTTGGGATTACAGGCATGAGCCACTGCACCTGGCCTTTTTCTTCTTTTTTTTTAGACAGGGTCTTGTTCTGTTGCCCAGGCTGGAATACGGTGCAGTCACAGCTAATTGTAACCTTGAACTTTGGGCTCAAATGATCCCCCCACCTTGGCCTCCCAGACTGCTGGGATTATAGGCATGACCCACTGTACTTGGCCTTATTTTTTGTAAATGTGCTTTTTCATTGTTGAAAAAATTTCTTCTTTGAATATATCTTTTGAGTTCCCTAAACTAAGTAAATTCTTTTTTGAATGCGTGAAACTTTTTTGAATATGTTAAAGAAATCATCTGTTGATTAATGCGTGTTATCCACTTCTACTAAGTTTGTACAGTTTCCCTGTTAAAGCAATAAAATCAGTAGCATACTTAAGATCCGCCTTACTTGAAGATTTGAAATTAAAGAAGTTGGGTAAATTACAAGAATCTAGTCAGTCAGTTAGGAAAAATATAAAAGAACCTATAATGCTCTTATCAGGCACCATAGAACATGGTGAAATTACGATATTACTTCAGTCTTCAAGGAGTTTCTCGTTTAATTGGAAAGCTAAAGCTAACTCCCATAAAGAATTAAGGAAGAATTAAGAGCACTATGTGATCAAGATTGAGAAGGCTTGTTTGTCATGTAAGGGGGACTTGAATTGGACCCTGAAGATTTAGGGTAGAGAATAACAGGTGTCCTTGGTGTATATGTCCTTGGTGTATAAAGGTCTGTATTGAAAGGCATTCCCCAGAAGAACAGTCAGGAGGCAGTTGAGTCTGGAAGAACATTTTATCAGTTGAGGTTTTAGTTATATGCCACAGACATTGTTGATAGCTGATTTAAGAAGAATAGCAGTATGTTGAAAGGGGATTGGGTTGTTTTCAGAATCGTTGAAAGGCTGGGATTCAGTTTGGAAACCGATGCTGGAGTCACAGCCAAAATCGTGCCACAGAAGTGGCGTTGTGCAGACATGGCTGCTGCATTTCTTGAGCACTTATACCTCAGCTTATAATGTTGACATTTGATATTGGATGATGCCTTTGGCACTGTTGTTATTGCTGCTTCTGAAAAGTGGGTGATGATGCTTCTGCTCTGCCACCAGATAAATCTACCATCATGTTTCTTTTTTTTAATTTTTTTTTTTTGAGATGGAGTTTCACTCTTGTTGCCCAGGCTGGAGTGCAGTGGCATGATCTCGGCTCACCGCAACCTTTGCCTCCCAGGTTTAATCGATTCTCCTGCTTCAGCCTCCCGAGTAGCTGGGATTACAGGCATGCGCCACCACGCCTGGCTAATTTTGTATTTTTAGTAGAGACAGGGTTTCTCCATGTTGGTCAGGCTGGTCTTGAACTCCGGACCTTAGGTGATCCGCCCGCCTCGGCCTCCCAAAGTGCTGGGATTACAGGTGTGAGCCATCACGCCCAGCCTACCATCATGTTTCTTTGTGACACTAACTCCTGATGTAAAGTGCTAAGCTTGTATGTTTGGTTGAGCCTAGGTACATGACCATGACTTAGCTTCAAAGGAAGCTATAAACGACAGCGTGTGTCATTTCAGCTTTTAGTGGGGGGATAGGCTTTGCCTCCCACCAAGTTGGATAATTATCCAGTAATAGCCAGTGGGTTGAGATGCCAGCATCCAAGAAAATGACCAGTGTTTCCTCCAAGTAGAGTTTGTATTTTAAGGAGCCCTGTTACTGGATTACCACCAGATGGTTTAGATTAAATGACAGAGTTGAACCTCAGTTAGACTGCATTTCAGGTAAGCGGTGGAGATAAGTAAGTCCTCAACATCAGTGTCATCAATAGGTTCTTGGAAACTGTGAGACTAAGCCACATCATGTACTATATGCTGTAGGAACTTAATTCTTGTTTATATTAATTAGCCTATGGTAAAATTGGTAAAATTGGTTTCTTTATACAATATGTCATTTTACTTAAAATCACTGTTTCCAAAAACCTATCCATGACTATGTTAAGTGAGGACTTTCTGTACAGGGTTGATGGGACCATAGGGCAAAAACCTTTAGGAAATCAAGGCATAAACTTTGGGGGCTAAGAATCTTGGAGTTGCAACTGTGGGGAAAGCAATGCCTCCACTTAATTCATCTCGATAACCCAATAACTAAACTAGTATGTCCTAAGGTGGGTTATGAAACACCTGTCTGCTTTAGCATTCTGACTTCATATTAGAGTGATTGTAAAATGATAAAGATTGGTTTCATAAGTATAGTGAGCAGACAAGATTTGAAGATTCCGAAGTATTAATATAATTTATTTTCTTTTATTTTTAAAAACTACCTACGTATTGGAAAATAGGATGTTTCTTATTTTCAAGATTATTTTTATCTTGGCATATTAAAAGACTGCACTTGTGTGCATTTTTAAGGTTTTTTATATCATTTAAAATACTGCAGTAAGCTCATTTAAATACTATTTCTGATATTGCCAGAAGTATAGATTTAATACTTTGAATAAAACAATGAAAGAAGTTAAAAGGATTATGATGAAAATATTGTATGTAATTGTCCAAGCAAAAGGTAGGTATTAAATGATAGAAACTGCTTCAGAACTTCAGTATGAAATATATTTTAAAACATAACACCTATGTAGTAGTACTAGTCTTACCATTTTAAACTGATACTCTAAACTGAGGTTTATTTATAATTGCCAGTTGTGTGGAGGCAGAGTTTTAAGATGAGCAGCAGTTAAGTTTGTTGGTTTTAATAGTTTTTTTACCCACTTCCCTGATTTGAGAACTGTATTAAAATTTTATCCTTTATTTTAGCTGCAGCTATTTTGAAAGCTGATATAAAAATAGGTAAACTTTTTGAATAATGTGTGAAAAAATGATTAAAAAGTACTTCAAACATTAGGTGTTAGTATTATTATGAAAATTAGTTGTTATTACTGTCTCCTTTCACTAATCTTTATTATTATTGCTTTGTCATAGTGGTATGTAGTCTTAGGCACAAGAGAAATTAGACTTTAATAGACAATTATTATTATTATTATTATTATTATTATTATTGAGACGAAGTCTTACTCTGTCCCCCAGGCTGGAGTGCAGTGGCATGATCTTGGCTCACTGCAACCTCTGCTTCCTGGGTTCAAGCAATTCTTCTGCCTCAGCCTCCCATGTAGCGGGCATTACAGGCATGCATCACCACACCCGGCTAATTTTTGCGTTTTTAGTAGAGACTGGGCTTTCATCATGTTGGCCAGGCTGGTCTTGAACTCCTGACCTTGTGATCCACCCGCCTCAGCCTCCCAAAATGCTGGGATTACAGGTGTGAGCCATTGCGCCCGGCCAACAGACAATTATTTTTAACATGGCTGCCTTGTTGTAGGTCTGATGATTGTGCTTCATATATTTAAGCATTAATATGTATTCATATATATACTTAAATGCAAAGTTAAACATTTTGTATAGAAAAATGTTTACTCCTGATATTTAAGTCCTGCTGCCAAAATATTATTCCCCAAACCAAATATTTGGAGTTTTGGTATCTGAATGTTGGGATTGGATAAGAAAACTTTATATTTTTCTTTTTTTTTTTTGAGACGGAGTCTCGCTCTGTCGCCCAGGCCGGAGTACAGTGGCGCGATCTCGGCTCACTGCAAGCTCCGCCTCCTGGGTTCACGCCATTTTCCTGCCTCAGCCCCCGAGTAGCTGGGACTACAGGCGCCCACCACTGCCCCCGGCTAATTTTTTTGTATTTTTAGTAGAGACGGGGTTTCACCGTGGTCTCGATCTCCTGACCTTGTGATCCGCCCACCCCGGCCTCCCAAAGTGCTGGGATTACAGGCGTGGGCCACCGCGCCCGGCGAAAACTTTGTATTTTTCAAGTTCAGCCACTTTAAAAATACTTGTGGCTGGGCCAGGCATATTGGCTTACGCCTGTAATTCCAACACTTTGGAAGGCTGAGGCAGGAGGATTACTTGAGCCCAGGAATTCAAGACCAGCCTGAGCAACAAAGTGAAACCCTGTTGGTACAAAAAAAAAAAAAAAAAAAAAAAAAAAAAGAGCCGGGCGTGGTGGTGTATGCCTGTAGTCCCGGCTGCTTGAGGGAGGCTGAGTGCAGAAGATAGCTTGAGCCTGGGAGTTGGGGGGCTGCAGTGAGCTATGATCGCGCCACTGCACTCCAGCCTGGGAGACAGAACAAGACCCTATCTCAAAAAAATTGTTATTATGATTATTGTTGAGACGGAGTGTCGCTCTTGTTGCCCAGGCTGGAGTGCAGTGGTGCAGTCTTGGCTCACTGCAACCTCTGCCTCCCGGGTTCAAGTGATCTATTGCCTGAGGCTCCCAAGTAACTGGGATTACAGGCGCCCACCACCACACCTGACTACTTTTTGTATTTTTAGTAGAGATGGCGTTTTACCATGTTGGCCAGGCTGGTCTCAAACTCCTAACCTCAGGTGATCCAGCTGCCTCGGCCTCCCAAAGTGTTGGGATTATAGGCGTGAGCCACCACGCCGGGCCAATTTTTTAAATAATTTAAAAAAATTAAATAGATTTGTGGAAAAGGATACTCATTCTCCCTTCTGGAATCAATGCCATAGTTTCAGTTTTATGACTATGTGCTACTTTGATAATAGTAGCAGTTAGTTGTTATTCCACTCACTTAAGCTTTCTTTATTTTTGAACTTTGAATTTTCTGGTTGTCTTTGGAGTTGGTTGGGCTGGGTAAATCTTAGTTATTAAGTGCTGTAGGTACAGAAAATGAAAATTTATATAATGTTTATACATTTAACATTGTTACCTTCATTATATTTCCCATTTCTGTTGCTTTCACATTAGAGTTTTGTACTAATTCAGACTTTGTGGTTCTTATCTGTTGGCTGTTTTAAGTGTGGATATGTTTTGGGCAAATTCTATGGATTTTTGTTTTATTCTAAATCAGAATTGAGTGATAGATCAAATAAGTGATCGTTTAATGCTTTCTTTGTGAAATTTTACCAATTTCCACAATTCTCCCTGATTTGTCCCTTCTCTCTCTCTCTCTCTTTTTTTTTTTTTTTTTTTTTGAGATAGAGTTTCGCTCTTGTTGCCCAGGCTGGAGTGCAGTGGCGCAATCTTGGCTCACTGCAACCTCCACCTCTCAGGTTCAAGTGATTCTCCAGCCTCAGCCTCCCAAATAGCTGGGATTACAGGTGGG
This sequence comes from Homo sapiens, assembly GCF_000001405.40. Classification (NCBI taxonomy): domain Eukaryota; kingdom Metazoa; phylum Chordata; class Mammalia; order Primates; family Hominidae; genus Homo; species Homo sapiens. The sequence continues at coordinate 57,776,675 of NC_000003.12, forward strand.
TGCCACCACTCCTGGCTAATTTTTTGTATTTAGTAGAGACAGGGTTTCACCATGTTGGTCAGGCTATCTTGAACTCCTGACCTCAGGTGATCCACCTGCCTCAGCCTCCCAAAGTGCTGGGATTACAGGTGTGAGCCACTGTGCCTGGCCTGATTTGTTTATTCTCTTAATATTTTGAACTTTGATCATGTTTAACACTTCACTTAACCCTTAATTATATATGGTTCTGGGTAAATTATTTGATTATTATGGCCCTAATTAGCTTAAAATCTCCTTAAAAGTAACTGTAATAGACTATGCTACCTTGTGGCCCGACAGTATAGGTATAGTGCCTGTCATGTAGTAGATGGTTAAAAAAAATTATTGCCAACACAATACCTTTCTCCAAAGAAATTATGGAAGTACTAGCGTAAGAAATTTGACTTTTTTTGGGGGGAGGGGGGAGGGATAGCATTAGGATATATACCTAATGCTAAATGACGAGTTAATGGGTGCAGCACACCAGCAGGGCACATGTATACATATGTAACTAACCTGCACATTGTGCACATGTACCCTAAAACTTAAAGTATAATAATAATAAAATTTTAAAAAAAGAAATTTGACTTTTTTAAAAAAACCTCTTAGAAGAAGATATAGGATAACATCCTTATGACCTTGAATTCAGGGAGGCTATAATAATTTACAGGAAGCATACATTGAGGGAAAAGATTAATACATTCAAATACATTAAAAATTAATTTTATTCATTGGAAGATAGAATAGCCAGGCGCAGTGGCACTTGCTTTGTAGTCCCAGCTACTTGGGGGCTAAGACGGGAGGACTGCTTGAGCCCAGGAGTTTGAGGCTGTAATGTGCTTTGATGGTGCCTGTGAATCACCACTGTATTCCAGCCTAGGCAGCTTAAAAAAAAAAGAATAAGAAAAGTTCAGAAGAAAAAAATTGGCAAATATATTTGTAAAACATATATCACTTGCAAAAGGTTAGTATTCAGAAAATAGAAATAAGTTGTTTAAATAAAAGACAACCCAACAGAAAAGAAACAGTCAAAAGACACACATAAGAATTTCACCGAATAAATAAGATGCAGCAATAAACAAATGCTCAACTTTCAACATAAGTAAGGAAGTGTAAACTTAAACCATGAGATGCCGTTTCTACTCAATTAAAAACTTGGATAATATCAAGTGTGAGTGATACCGTAGAGCAGTAGCAACTCTCATACTTTGTTGTTGATATGGTGAATTTCATTGATTGATTTTTGAATGTTAAGCCAAGTTTGCATTCCTGAGATAAACTACACTTGGTTGTGATGTATTATCCCTTTTATATATTGCTGGATTTGATTTGCTTATATTTTGTTAAGGATTTTTGTATCTCTGTTCATGAAGTATTCGTCTTAAATGCTTGTGAGAATTTACCAAAGGAAGCCATCTGGACCTATTTATGTTCTGTGGAATGTTGTAAACTATAAGTTCAATTTCTTTAATAGAAACAGAGCTTTTCTAGTCATCTATTTTTTCTTGAGTTAACTTTGATATTTTGTATCTTTCAGGAAATTTGTCTGTTTCATCTAAGTTCTTGACTTTATTATAAAATTATTCATAATATTACCTTGTTATACTTTTAGTATCTGTAGAATCTGTGGTGCTGTGTCATTACCTCTCTTATTCTCAATGTTGGTAATGTGTGCCTTTTTTTTTTTCCATTACACTTTGGCTAGAGATTTATCAACATTATTGTTCTTCTTAAAGAATCAGGGTTTTTTTGGTAGATTTTTTTCTATTATTTTTCTATTTTCTATTTCCTGAATTTTTGTTCTTTATTATTTCCTTGTTTCTGCTTGCTTTGTGTTTAATTTCCTCCTCTTTTTCTAGTTTCTCTTTTCTTTCTTTCTTTTTTTTTTTTTTTTTTTGAGACCAGGCCTTGCTGTGTTGTCATTCAAGCTGGAGTGTGGTGGTGCAATCATAGCTCACCACAGCCTCAAACTCTTGGGCTCAAGCAATCTTCCCGTCCTCAGCCTCCTGAGTAGCTAGGACTACAGGTGCATGCCACCATGCCTGGCTAATTTTAAAATTTGTGGTAGAGATAGGGGCTCTGTATGTTGCCCAGGCTGTCTAGTTTCTCAAATTAGAATCTTAGGTAATTGAGTTAAGGCTTTCTTCTCTTCTAATGAATCATGTAATGTTATAACCATTTTGACAAACAGTGTGACATGGTTACAATGCTGAATTTCTGTATATCTATTGACCCAGCAGTTCTTCTCCTAGGTATATACTCTAGGAAATTTTTTTTATATGTTTGCCAGGAGACGTGTTCAAGCATGTTTATAGTAGGATTTTTCATAATAGCAAACATCCAAATGTTCATTGACAGGAATATGTACATACTTCTGTTAAATTACACCACGGAGTACTGTACAGTATTGAACGTGAATGAACAATAGCTGCATATATCAATGCAGATCAATCTCAGAAATGTTGAATAAAAAGAGCAAGGTGCAAAAGAATACTTACACTGTGATGTCATTTAAGATAAAATTTGAAAAATCAGTTGGGCGCAGTGGCTCACACTTGTATTCTCAGCATTTTGGGAGGCTGAGGCAGGTAGATTGCTTGAGCCCAGGAGTTCAAGACCAGCCTGGGCAACATGGCGAAACTCCATCTCTACAAAATATACAAAAAATTAGCCAAGCATGCTGATGTGTGCCTCTTGTCCCAGCTACTCAGGAGGCTGAGGTGGGAGGATTGCTTGAGCCCAGGAAGTTGAGGCTGCAGTGAATTGAGATCGCTGCACTACACTCCAGCCTGGGCAACAGAGTGAGACCCTGTTTCAAAAAAAAAAAAAAAAACAAAAATAAAATAAAAATGAAAAATCACCATACGTACTGATATATCTGTTTTGCTATAAATATAGTAATAGAATGATAAGCAATCCTTGTGGGGGAGGCAGAGTTAATGTAAAAATAGCTAAATTTATATATTACATGTTGCAAGATGTTTTAAATACTTTATAAATGAATACTTATTTGATTCTCATAATCAAGTACTTCTGTGATGCAGGCACTATTTTTATTCTCATTTATAAATAAAGAAGCAGAAAAACCTTAACTTCCTAAAGTTATACCACTAATAAGTGGTAGACCTTATCATCAAATCCAAGCAAGTCTGGCTTGAGTCTGTGCTCTGAATGACTAAGTCTTAGTGCTTGCCATGATGGAAGGGGCAGGGAGTTTCTCAAGCTGGCAGTTGGGTACACCGACTTTTTTTTTATTGTTTCATTCATATTTATATGCTTATATTTATTTTTATATTTAACTTAATTAAAATTTTAAAAGAGAAATAAAAAAAGTTAAGCCACCTGAGAAGGAATGTAAGAACATAACCTCCCTAACTATATTTACATTCTAAATGGAATTTTAGGACATCAACACTATTAATGTTCCCTTTTTTTTTTCACATTGCCCTGCCCCTCCCTTCTTTTTTTTTTTGAGACAGGGTCTTGCTCTGTTGCCCATGCTGGAGTGCAGTGGCATGATCACTGCTCACTGCAGCCTTGACCTCCTGGGCTCAAGCCATCTGCCCACCTTGGTCTCCCGAGTAGCTGGAACTACAGGTGCACACCATCACACCCAGCTAATTTTTGTGTTTTGTAGAAACAGGATCTCGCCAGGTTGCCCAGGCTGGTCTCCAACTCCTGGGCCCAAGCGATCTGCCTGCCTTGGCCTCCCAAAGTGCCAGGTTTACAGGCAAGAACCACCATGCCCAGCTTCAACACTATTAATTTTCTATAACATATTTCCTAGATAATACTAATAAAGCATGAAATATTAAAAACTTGGATAGGTGAGGTGTTATTAATCTTATATATCTTGATCTGGGTGGTAGTTACAAGGGTGTGTTCATCTGGTGGTGATTCATCAAGCTATACACTTTTGATTTGTTCAATTCTTTGTAGGTATTTCAACTTAAATAATTTTTTTTTTTTGAGACAGGGTCTTGCTTTGTTGCACAGGTTAGAACTCAGTGGCTCTATCTCTGCTCACTGCAGTCTTGATTTCTTGGGCTCAAGCGATCTTCCCACCTAGGCCTTCCTCGTGGCTGGGACTGTAGGCACGCACCACCATGCTTGGCTAATTTTTAATTTTTTTTAGAGATAGGGTCTCGCTGTGTTGCCCAGGCTGGTCTTGAACTCCTGAGCTCAAGTGATCTACCCACCTCAGACTCCCCAAGTACTGGGATTACAGGTGTGAGCCACCTTGCCCAGTAAAATTCTTTAAAGATAGAATAAGATATATACATACACATATATATATACCTATGTATGCACATATATATATACATATATATACACACACATATATATGCGCATATATATAAAATAATAAGATACAAAAAATAGAATAAAAAAATAAAAATAAATTAGCGAGGCATGGTGGTACATGCCTGTAGCCCCAGCTGCTTGAGCCCAGGAGTTTGAGACTGTAGTGAGCTATGATTGCACCACTGCATTCCAGCCTGGGCAACAGAGTGAGACCCTCTCAAAAAAAAGGACTAAAAATATTAGATAAGATTTTCTTAAATTCCAAAGGTTTCTTATTGCAGCTACATTATGTATGTATTTGTTGGGATGATTAAAGGGATATAAAATAGGTTATAAAATGATTGGCTGGCTTTTTGAGATGTTACTTCATTGAAAAGGCTGTAAAAAGAATAAGGAAGCTGTTTATATACTGATATGGGAGATTTTCTAAGATATAAATTATTGGGTTAATAAAAGAACAAACAGGAGACAGCACCATGTGTATAATAATCTACCTTTCTTGTAAAGGAGAGAAAAATAAGAATCTATGTTTGTTATTTGTTTATGCCTAAAGAAACTCTGAAGGAGGCATAAGAAATTAGTAGCTGCGGTTACCTGGGAGTGTAGTGGGGATGGAGACTGTGTTGATATGAAATAGGGATGGCAGGAAGTCTTTTCATTGTATTTACCATTTTAGTTCTTTTTAAACCATGTAACTATACAAGCTATTCTAAGTAAATAAATATTGACTGATTTTTTTTTTTTTTTTTTTTTGAGATGGAGTTTCACTCTGTTGTCCAGGCTGGAGTGCAGTGGCGCAATTTCAGCTCACTGCAACCTCTGCCTCCCAGGTTCAAGCAATTCTCCTTCCTCAGCCTCCCAAGTAGCTGGGATTATAGGCATGCAGCACCACACCCAGCTAATTTTTGTGTTTTTAACTAGATGCGGGGTTTCACCATGTTGGCCAGGCTGGTCTCGAATTCCTGACCTCAAGTGACTGCCCATGTCAGCCTTCCAAAGTGTTGGCATTACAGGTGTGAGCCATGATTTTTAAAAGAAAGCATGTTTAGCATATCTCCGTTAGGTAAATTCAGATTTATACTCTTTTATTTTGGGACTTACATTTGATTATTTGTTGGATATAGGATATTTCCATTTCTTGAGATTTGGTCATATCTCTTGAAATAGAGAAATTTTGGGGATACTATATCATTATAAGGGCTTATGTTCAAAGAGGACTTTTTCAGTTAAATTCCCCAAATCTTTCCAGCATCTCCCCTTTTCCAGGACCATTTTAATTCTTTTTAAAATTACTTTTTGCTCTTTTGGATATTGTGCATTTATAGGCAGAAGTTTCCTTTCCAATGAGATGTTAATAATATGACCTTATATTTAAACAGTTTTAGAATTAAAAAGGTGTTTTGTTACTGTGACTGAGCTTTCTGATATCATTTAGTTAAAAAGTAGGAAAAGCCAATGTTTAGGTGGCCAAACTTTCCTTTTATTCTTCTTTGTTGAGACGGTCTCACTCTGTCACCTAGGCTGGAGTGTAGCGGCATGATCTGGGCTCACTACAACTTCCACTTCCTGGGCTCAAGCGATCCTCACATCTCATCCTCCCAAGTAGCTGGGACTACAGGTGTGCACCACCATGCCTGGCTAATTTTTTTGTTTTTTTGTAAAGATGGGTTTTGCCATATTGTCCAGGCTGGTCTCAAACTCCTGGGCTCAAGCAGTCTGTCCACCTTGGCCTCCCAAAGTGCTGGGATTATAGGCATGAGCCACTATGCCCAGCCATGAATGGATTTTTGTCATTATCTTAGGAGTGGGTTAGTATTGTGTGAGTGGGCTTGTTATAAAAGTGAGCTTGGCCCCCTCTTGCTGTCTCCCTGTCTCATGCTCTCCTGCCTTTCCATGTTCTGCCATGCAGTGCTGCAACAAGAAGGCCCTCACTAGATGATGGCACCTTGATACAGAACTTCTAGCTCCCAGAACTGTGAGAAATACATTTCTTTTCTTTATAAATTACCCAATCTGTGATATTGTGGTATAGCAACACAAAATGGATTAAGACAGAAAATTGCTACCAAGAAGTGGGGTTGTTGCTGTAACAAACACCTGAAAATGTTAAAGCAGCTTTGGAACTGGGTAATGGGTAGAGAAGAATTTGGAGGAGCAGGCTAGGAAAAGCCAGTTGTGGTAAATGGAGCATTAATGGTGATTCTGGTGAGAGCTCCGAAGAAGGGGAAACGTGTATCAAAAAATCTGAAAACCTTAGAGATTACTTAAGTGTTCATGATCAAAATATTGGTAGAAATAGGGATAGTAAAGGCCATTCCGATGAGCTCTCAGATGGAAGAGAGAAATATCTTACTGGAAACAGGAGTAAAGGTCATCTTTGTTATGAAGTGGGAGAGAACATGACTGTTCTGTGTCCTTGCCCTAGGTCTTTATGGAAGGCAGAATTTAAGAGTGATGAGCTAGGATATCTGGTGGAAGAAATTTTTAAACAAAATATTGAAAGAGCTACATAGCTATTTGTAACTGCATACATTAAGATGCGAGAGGAGAAAAATGACTTAAAGTTGGATTTATAATTAAAAGAGAAACAGAAAGGAAAGATTTGGAAAATTTGCAGTCTGGCTATGTAAAGAGTGAAAAGGCATGTTTAAGAGAGCAAGCCAAGGGTGTGGCCAAGTAACTGTTTGCTAAGGAGATTAGTATGGATAGGAGGGAGCCAAGTACTTATCATCAAGAAAATGGGAGAATGACTCTGAAGCCATTTCAGAGATCTTCAAGGCTATCCCTGTCATCACGGGTGCAGACCTCTAGGAAGACAGAACAATTTTGAGTCAGGGCCAGGGCACCCTTTGGCACCTTTAATGGGCTTGATGCCTAGGGCTGCCCCTATCTCTGTTCCCTGCATTCTGTTGCAACACTGCCCTAGCTGTGGCTCAAGTGGGCCCAGGTGTTGCTGAACCTGCTGCTCTGAAAGGTACAAGCCATAAACTCTGGTGGTGTACACTTGGTGATAATTCTGTCACCAAATTCAAGAACCATGGGGCCATGGCAGCCTCCACCTAGATTTCAAAGGATGTCATGGATAGGCGGGGGGCCCAGACAGAGATGTGTAGGAGAGGCAGAGCCACTACTGAAAGTTCCCACTAGAGCAGTGCCTAGTGAAGCTGTGGGAATGAAGCAGCCCCCAAGACCACAGAACTATAGGGCCACCAGCATATAACTGCACCCTGGAAAGGCTGCAGGCATAAGACTCCAACCTGTGAGAGCTGCTGGGTGGACTGAGTCTAGGAAAGCTATAGAGGTAGGGCTGCCTGAGGCCTTTGTGAGCCCAACCTTTCCCCAGTGGGCCCAGCCTCTGTCCTAGTGTGCCCAGGATTTTGGACATGGCGTCAAAGGAGATTCTTCTCCAGCTTTAAGACTTATTGTTGTTTTTCTTGGGACCACCAGTTACCCCTCTTTTCCTCATCCCTATTGGAATGAGAGTGTCTGTCCTATGCCTGTGCCTTGTGTTTTGGAAAGTTGGTAACTTGTTTTAACAGGCTCACACTTGGAGGGAATATACTTCAGGATGAATCATGCCTTGAGTCTCACCTATATCTGATTTAAATGAGACTTTAGACTTTTGAGTTGATATTGGAATGAGTTAAGACTTTAAGATTATTGGGATGGAATCTTTGCATTTTGCATTGTGAGAAGGACATGAATTTTGGGGTGCTAGGATGGAATGTTAAGGTTTGCATGTGTCTGCCATGGTTCATGTGTTGGAAACTTAATCCCCAATGCAACAGCATTGGGAGGTGGGGCCTAATAAGAGGTGATTATTAGGTCATGGATTAATGTTGTTATCTTGGGAGTGGGTTTGTTATAGAAGTGAGTTCTGTCCTGTCTTGCTCTCCCCTTCTCTTGTGCTCTCTTACCCTTTTGCCTTCTGCCATGGTATATGGTATGATGCAGCAAGAAGGCCCTCACCAGATGCTGGCAACTTGATGTTGAACTTCTCAGCCTTCAGAACTGTGAGATAGATAGATTTTATATATATATATAGTTATAAAGTATTCAGTCTAAGGTAATCTGTTTATAGCAATACAAAACAAACAAGTATTTCAGCTATAGAATAAAATGTTTGCAAGATTTAGCAAACATAAACGTTTACTTGGTTTTAGAGAATTTGAGGTACATTTCTTAATCTACATAAAATTTAAAACTCAAATATGTTGTAATAGGTTAGGGATTACACCAGTCATAATGATGCCATAGTTGCCTTACACCCTGAGAGAATGAGCCATTTTAACAAATAGGATTTTCTGAGCAGTTGAAAATTTATACCTTTTATGCCCAAATCAGTTTTGGACAGAAAGTTAAACATTTCCTGTCATCTTAAATAGAACAAAGGGCATAACCTTCTCTTAGGTCTTAGTGACCTAGTTGCATTTACTAATATAATTATGCATTTAAGGGGATTAGAGGTTATAAAGTTTGTGCCCCGGGGCTAAATGACTAAATTATCATGATTTAAAGTTCCCTGATATATGAATTTTGTAATGTTTTGATTCTTCTGGGTTTTATTTTCTGTGTCAGCTATTCCTATAGAAACTAAATAGCAACATACATGTAAATACAGATCTGTGAGGAAGCATGTGAATTTTACATTATGTGAACTTGCCCATCTGCTTCTACTACCACACTTCTCTTTTTTCCTTCTTGGTTAACAAGTGAATACCACCTAAAGTGGTATTATTGAGGTCTTTGGTAAATATATTCCTGAAACCTTTTAGAAAAATGTTAAGAGATTTTATATAAAGACCAGGTCACAAATGGCCATGAAATCTCTTCACCTGTTCTTTACCATATGTTATTTTTGTATAACATTTTCACGTTAACTATGTAGCTACATTTATTGGAAAATATAAGTACCTTTATAGTTATTTCAGCAAACATTTATCAGTCTTCTACTACTAAGTAAAAGAACCCCTTCTACTACTACTTTTCTAGGTGACAGAGATGAAAAAACAGGTGTCTGAATTTTTGAAACCTAAAGTCTATTTGAATAAGACAATAAAAAACTGTTTAGTATAATATTTTAGTAGCAGTGTATACCTGGTGTTAAATGATATTATAAAGGAGGATCATCCAATTCAGCATATCAGTTTGATAATACTGTGGTAATAACTCCAAAACCACAGTGCCTTATAGCAGCAAAGATTTATTTCTTGCTCATGTTACATGTTTAGGTAGATGGCAGCTCTGTCCATAGTTGTTCTCCTTTCAGGGGTTCAGGCTGAAGGAGCAGCTCCTATCTGGGACATGTATGTTCTGGTGGTTGAAGGAAAAGAGCTATCCAGAACAGAACCATGGAATTATAGTTAAAAAAGGGGAACATGTTATTCAACACACACTTTATTGGCCAAAGCAAGTCACGTGGCCATGCATAATGCAATTGGTTAGGGAAGTATAATTAATACTCATATAGGAGAAGCAGTAGAATAATTGAGTACAGTAATACATTCTACTACACTCAGCTTCGTTCCCAACTTCCCAAGTGAAAATTATATAGCTTTTTTTTTTTTTTTTTTTTTAAAGACAGAGTCTCACTCTGTTATCCAGGCTGGAGTGCAGTGGCACGATCTTGGTTCACTACAACCTCCGCCTCCCAGGTTCAAACGATTCTTCTGCCTCAGTCTCCTGAGTAGCTGGTATTACAGGTGCCCACCACCTTTCCCAGCTAGTCTTTGTATTTTTTTTTTTTTTTTTTTTGAGTTGGAGTCTCGCTCTGTCGCCCAGGCTGGAGTGCAGTGGTGTGATCTCGGCTCACTGCAAGCTCCGCCTCCCAGGTTCACGCCATTCTCCTGCCTCAGCCTCCCGAGTAGCTGGGACTACAGGCGCCTGCCATCACGCCTGGCTAATTTTTTGTATTTTTTTAAGTAGAGATGGGGTTTCACCATGTTAGCCAGGATGATCTCGATCGCCTGACCTTGTGATCCGCCCGCCTCGGCCTCCCAAAGTGTTGGGATTACAGGCGTGAGCCACCGCACCCTGCCGAAAATTATGTAGTTTTGGGAGCCATCAAGTAAAAATGCATTATAGCAGAAATAAAGCTGTTTTCCAGTCCCTTATGAGCATTCTAATATCTATAAGTTAAATTGCTTGTGTCTCCCTTGAAGATGAGAGAAGCTGTAAAGAAATTATAATTTGAAGTAATGTTCTTTTTATGGGAGATGGAGGACTATATCATTGACACACTACTTGGTATCTTTTTTGAATAACTCTGACATCGAGTTATGAGGTTCAATAATAAGTTTTTTTTCTTTTCACATCTCTTCAATCTACTTTATGTTACCCATTAATCGATTGCTTTGTCATGGACTGAATCTATACAATCATATTTTCAAGCTAAAATCTGGGGTAGATTAGTTCATGGGGTCAAACATTAGCATATTTAAAATAGGAAATGACATGAATTATGTAGCATTTGCTTATTGGGCATCTCTTTCTTTTTTGAGACAGAGTCTCACTCTGTCGCCCAGGCTGGAATGCAGTGGCGCAATCTCCGCTCACTGCAACCTCTGCCTCTCGGGTTCAAGTGATTCTCCTGCCTGAACCTCCTGAGAGCTGGGATTACAGGCATGCGCCACGATACCCAGCTAATTTTTGTATTTTTAGTAGAGACGGGGTTTCACCATGTTGGCCAGGCTGGTCTTGAACTCCTGACCTCAAGTGATCTGCCCACCTCAGCCTCCCAAAAGTGCTGAGATTACAGGCGTGAGCCACCATGCCCGGCTAGGCATCTCTTTATTGAGCATCTCCTATGTGGCATATTTGCCAGCTGACTGGGATATAGGAGTGAAAGATATGATCCTTGCTTTTAGGGATTCTACATAAGTGGACATGTCTCTGGATAATACCAATACTAGGAAATAATTGCCAAGAGAGGTACTAGTCAAATGATCCGCAGTTGAAGTGTTTAGGAAGGAATGACCAATGATAAGATGGTGAAGAAAGAGTGGTTAGAATGGTTTCTCCACAGGTGACAGCTGAAACAAGTCTTGAAAGAAGAGCAAGACTTTGTCATGCAAATGAGGGGAAGTACATTCTAGGCAGCACTAATATATATCATGAGTGATAGCATGAAGGAGTAAAAGCAGTGGTGGTTTATAGAAACTGAGTGATTTTTGTGAATCATATAGGAGAGAGGACAGGAGATGAGGTGGAAAAGGTAGATTTGGACCAAGTCTTGAAGGACTTTAGTGTAATGCTGCTTTTTCCTTTAGGAACAGGTGGTGAGGAGTTTGATAAGATTTTAAGTAATAGAATCACATGCTTAAATCTTTGTTTTTAGAATAGCAGTCATGGTGATAATGTGGAAGACATTGGCTTTGTGCCTAGAGGCAAGGGGACTTGTAGAGTGATTCAGTAAAGAGGACAGTTAGAGGTAAATTCTTGGTGTGTAGCCAAATCATCTGGATAGAGGGAGATAGACTTGGGAGTTATCAGCCCATGTAGTGAAGGTTACAGGAAATACACTCCCAGGGAAGTTTGTATATCGCTAGAAAAGTAGAGGCTGGGGAAGAACCCTGGGGATGACCAGCATTTGAACAGCTGGCAGGGAAAAAAGAAGGCAGACTTAAAAGACCATCCAGAGAAGTAGGAGGATGAGGAGAGATTAGATTTGTGAAGTACAAAGCAGGGGAGAGTTTTTGAGAAGAGAGTTGTGAATAGCCCTCAAATGCTACATTATAAGAGTTGAAAGTAGTCCTTGGACTTGTCAGGTAGGGGTCTGTCTCATCAATGGCTTGAGGGCTGGCTGTTCAGTAGAGTGATGAATGTGGAAGCTCGCCGGCAGTTGGTTAAGAAGGCAGTGAGTTAGGGAGTGTGACAGGGAGTGTGACAGTTCTGTACATGCATTACTATAAGTGGATCCGGAGAGTAATTAAGTTATTTCCATAAGAAAGGTAGTGTTTGTATACTTCAGTGATGATCATTTGTTTTTCTCCAGTTTTAATTGTTGCTGCTCCCAAGGAGCCTGTGGTGATTCTGCCCTTGTATGTCGGGGGAAATGTGGCATTAAAAAAGCAGTACAGGTCAGGCACTCTCTGTCCAGATTAATTTCTCAATAGAGTTATGTGTAAATTGAAATCTTACTGAGTTGAATAAGTTTGTGCAAATGGGATGTTGGTAAGGAAAAAATTATTCAATGACACTTGTTAAAGCATGGTAAGGAAGATTTATTCAGGACCATTGAGATAGGTATAGAAACCACTGCAGTGGGGTGTGGGGATTGCGGGGCGAGGGTAGAGAGAGACTGGGCTCACTCTGAATACAGCATGGGCAATTGGGAATCTATAGCCAAGGATCAGTGTGAGGGTAAGTGGTTGGAAAATTACTAAGAGGAAACATCAGGGGTAAGGGGGATTCTGGCTAAATCGACCTAACAGGATTCTTGGTGGAGTCAGGCCAGGGTGTTCAGACATCACCTGAGGGATGGTAGATAATGAGGAACCTGATCATACATCAAGGATGATCAGATGTCGAGGTTGAGGGGGTTCTGGCTAAACTGACTTAGCAAGGTTCTTTGGCTAAAACTGGATTTTACAAGGAAGTACACAGATGAGCCTAGAAGAGAGTTCATAAGCCTGAGTAAAGTTTGGCCAAGCAAAGAATCTTTGTCAACATGAGTCACATTGTTAAAAATATATGGAAATGTTAAAACTCTGTAATTCAACACAAATTAGAAATTCAGCAGCTATAGATGATATTCCCATAGATATTTTGATGTTCTGAGTTCTTTTTTTCTTTATCAAGTCCAAAATGTCATGTTCTGAGTTATTTTTGTTTGTTTGATTTATTTTGTTTTGTTTTCGAGATGGAGTCTCACTCTGTCGCCCAGGCTGGAGTGCAATGGCATGATCTCGGCTCACTGCAACCTCCGCCTCCTGGGTTCAAGCGATTCTCCTGCCTCAGCCTCCCAAGTAGCTGGGATTATAGGTGCCCGCCACCACTCCCAACTAATTTTTTTATTTTTAGTAGAGACGGGGTTTCACCATGTTGGCCACGCTGGTCTTGAACCCCTGACCTTAGGTGATCCACCTGCCTCAGCCTCCCAAAGTGCTGGGATTACAGGCATGAGCCACCATGCCCAGCCAATCATGTTCTGAGTTCTTAAAGCCAGAAACTTATCTTTGCATTTCTGATGATAGCAAAAATTAATTCTATGAAAAGTTTGTGTGTGTATATGTGTAAATATGTATGTGGATAGCTAAGTATACATTCAGCTCTTACTATGTCCAAAGCATATGAATGAGAGGCTAAGGACTGCTTACTATGGGGAAGAATGATTCTTACTTTACATTTGGCCAAGATCACAGATCTTATAACAAAAGGATTAAATGTTTTAGTATTGATCCTGATGAACACCTGACTTTTAAAGAAGGGTTATAAGAGCTTATAAACCAAGGTTAAGGAAAAAAAAAAGTGGAACACGGTGGTAAAATATTAATCTTTTTGCAGTAGATATATATTTTGTGAATTATCAAATTCTACCTAATTTTATGTTATTTTAGTCACTTATTTTCTATTTGTATAATTTTGTAGTTTTCTAGTTTTGCATTCTTGTTTTTATAATAGGTGCTAAATATGTGAGTTTGTTAAAATGTACTTTCAACATTAAGTAAAAATGAAACCATCGAGCAATTATTAAACACGTAAGACTAATAATTCTCCTGAATTTATACCATATAAAATAAGGTCATGTATATGGAAGTATTTTATAAACTAGGTAGCTAGAAATTAAGTCGTTATTTTTAAGTAGAAGATAAGTTATTAAATATTCACTGTAAATTTTAAGAACATAATTAAGTTGCTTTGGAGCAAAGGGGTCACATAAAATAATTTCAATTTTAGAAAACAATATCCATGAATATAAAGATAATAAGGATATACTGAAATATATATGTATTAGATACATTTTCTGGGTTCTAGGATGGAAAAACTTATTTGGACAGGGGATGGGGGAAGAGGAATGGCTTTTTATGAGTTTTAGCCCAGTATAAATATAGCAGCAGTCTTACTTTTAAAAAATTGGATGGACGCGTTGGCTTACGCTTGTAATCCCAGCAGTTTGGGAGACTGAGGCGGGCAGATCACTTGATGTCAGGAGTTCAAGGCCAGCCTGGCCAACATGGCGAAACCCCATCTCTACTAAAAATACAAAAAAAAATTAGCTGGGCATTGTGGAGCATGCCTGTAATTCCAGCTACTTGGGAGGTTGAGGCAGGAGAATCTCTTGAATCCAGGAGGCAGAGGTTGCAGTGAGCCGAGACTGCACCACTGCACTCAAGCCTGGGCAACAGAGACTCCATCTCAAAAAGAAAAAAAAAAAGGATCATTTTATTTAGTATATGTAGTAGCTCTGAGCCTTTGTACTCTTTACTTGCACAATGTTTTCTATTGTAAAGCATGTATGTCAAAACCCAGAATCTGCACTGTCACTTCCTTATTGTAAATATGGCTCTGCTACTAAGATAACATCCCTGAAACAGGGTGTAAATTTCTCAGGGTCTTGAAAAACAGTTTGAGAAGGGGGAAAAAAAAGTTAAGGTATGAATAATTTTCTCAGTTATGACTCTTTTAAAGTTCATTTCGATAAACTATCAAATAAATTTCTATTTCAACAGAAAATCCAAAAATTGCTTTTTTTTTGCATAGCATCTGAATTGGCTCAGATTAAGTATTTAAAAATTATAATTTTAATGAATAGTAGAAATCTCTCATATTTGAACCAATTTATATCTTTTACTAAACTTTAGAGTTGAAACTGATTCATTAATTTTAATAGATCTGTTTATTAATGATCTATTAATGATCTCAAATTTTGCTTGATATTTTAGATGAAAAAACAGTACTTAACAGATAAATCAAAAACAGTATTAAAATGTAAGAAGTATAACAGGATATTTTAGTGGCCTGTCTTTTTATTGTGTTCAAAGGGAATTGTTTGAACTTAAGTTACAGCTTTAATTGCATGTCAATTATCTGTAAGTATCTTACTTAAAAAGAAAATATGTGAATTAAGCTAACTAGTGACATTTATCTTTAACAACAGAGCACTTTGATTTGAAGAACAAAATTTTGTAATAATTGTGTTGAGTAAATATTTAGATGCGACCTTCTTAGTGATATTTTTATATGAAACACCTTTATTTTGATGGTATTGATTTTACTATTTATACTTTTTATATATAAATGCTTTAAGTAAGAGCAATGTCTATCTTCTTCTCCAAGTAAACTTATAAGTAAATTAGCTGAAACAGTCATTGTTAGAAATCATCCTTGCCTAAATTTTAAATAAAAACATAGTTAAAAAACTACAGTAGTGACAAATGTGACAGCACATAATTAATGTGCTGTCACATTTGCCTGAATTATTTTAAGTTAGGGGACTGTCTTATTTGCTTCTGTGTTTATCGTTCTTAGTTTAATTAGTATTGAATAGGTTTTAACAGTTAGGTTTTATATTTTCTCTTTAGATCTCCTCAGTATTGGTTTTGTCTATTCTGTTTCACTTAAATTATATCTTCATCTATAGGGGATTTTATATTCTATATTGTGTGTTCCTTTAAATTGACCATGATGAATTCTGAGTGTGTAGGTATTTGTACCATTTAAGTCGTTAACTCTTTAGAAATGTATGGACTTATTTATATTTTTTATAATATTGACAGTAAAAAATATGGGAAATGTATTAATATGTTAAACATTTGACAACACAAGCAAGTTATGTGGGCTTTTTAATTTTTTTTAAAGAAATGTAAAAAGTCTGGGCTACATTATGTTTCCCAGGCTGAACTCAAACTCCTGGATTTGACCGGGTGCGGTGACTCACACCTGTAATCCCAGCACTTTGAGAGGCTAAGCGGGGTGGATTGCTTGAGCTCAGGAGTTGAGACCAGCCTGGGCAACATGGCAAAACCCCATCTCTACCAAAAAATTGCAAAAATCAGCTGAGCGTTGTGGTGCGCACCTGTGGTCCCAGCAACTTGGGAGGCTGAAGTGGGAGGATCACTTGAGTCCAGGAGGCCGAAGTTGCAGTGAGCCAAGATCATGCTACTGCACTCTGCCCAGGTGACACCCTGTCTCAATAAGAAAACCCAAAAAATCCTCTTGAGCTCAAGTGATCCTCCCATGTCAGCCTCCAAGTAGTTAGGACTACAGGCTTACACCCCTACACCCTGTAGGCTTCTTATGTCCTTCCAGTTTTTGAGGTTAATTCTTTTCTTCCCTGAAACTCTAGTTTTAGATCTCAGATATCAATGACTTTTTAAATTCATTAACATTTCATTTCTAGATATGAATTTCTAAAACATGTATGATATTTTATAGATTTCAAAGTGCTGTTGATTCATTTAGCTAACACTGAATACTTCTTGTGTGCTGAGCTCAATTCTATAATTGATAAAAGTTTCTGTCCGTATGGAGCTGACATTCTAGTGTTCAGTATACCATCATCTATCTTTCATCATTACCTCAGCCTATTTAGAACAAATGAGAGTGCTTCTGAAATATTGGCAGCAAATCCAGCATAATTAATTTGTCCTATTAATTTACTGTGTAATAGCAATACTTTCATACATTTCCAGAGTATTCTGGTTAAATTTTAGTTTTGTCCTCAACTACTAGCATTTGGTGAAATCTGCCCATATCTCCTTCAGTTTTATGAATTTAGATAATATATGTACCTTCTTAACCTTGTTCTTTTCTGATGGGTAAACCTTCGCTTATTTTTTAAAGCTGGTGCGGTGACTCATGCCTGTAATCCCAACACTTTGGGAGGTTGAGGTGGGAGGATCACTTCAGCCCAGAAGTTCAAGATCAGCCTGGGCAACAAAGTGAGAACTATCTTTCTTAAAAAAAAAAAAAAAAAAAATCCTGCTGGGTGTGATGGTGTATTCCTGTAGCCCCAGCTACTCAGGACTCTGAGATGGGAGGATCATTTTAGCTCAAGAGGTTAGGACTGCCGTGAGATGTGTTCGAGTTACTGTATTCCAGCCTGGGTAACAGAGAGAGAGAGACCCTTTCTTAAAAACAAAAAAACAGTTTTCTAAAGTCATCAGGAAACTTTTTAGATGAGTCATTCAGTGATTTAGTTTTGGTGGCTGTTCTTTTTATTTTCTCCCTATTCTGAAACTCACTTTCCTAACTTCTTTAGTGTGCATTTTAATAGAACTTTCCAAAATTCTGTTCGTACGCTATACTCTCCTGGTTCTTAATTTTCTGACAGTTTTGGCATTTCTATCTTTGTCTCCATGGTCTGTAGTTACCACAAAGACTTTGTCTTTATCCTTTGGCTTTTACTGTCCTGAGTCTCTTTCAAAAGTCACATACTTACAGTCTTATATTAACACTTATAAGCACTTCGTTTCAAAATTTATGTTTTTTTATGAATTTCTCAACCATTTTAGTTTGTTTTTACTTTTTAAGTGTACACTATAGTGGTCTTTAGTATATTCACAAAATTGCGCATCTATTACCGCTACCTAATTCTAGAACATTTTCATCACTCCCAAAAGAAAGTTTGTATTCATTAGCAGTCACCCCCCCATTTTCTCCTCCCTTCAGACCCTGGCAACCACTAATCTGCTTTCTGTCTCTCTAGATTTGCCTATCTGGACATTTTATATCGATGGAATGATACAACATGTGGTCTTTTGTGTCTGGCTTCTTTCATTTAGCATTTTCAAGCTTCATCTAAGTTCTAGTTTATGTAGGTATTGCATTGCTGGATAAAATTCCATTCTAGAGATAGCTACCACATTTTATTTGTCCATTAATCAGCTGATGGACATTTGAGTTTCTGTTTTCTACTTTCGGCTGTTATGAATAATGTCACTATGAAAGTTTGTGTACAAGCTTTTGTGTGAATTTGTGTTCAGCTGTCTTGGGTACATACCTTGGAATTGAATTGTTAGGTAATATGGTAACTCCGTGTTTAACATCTTGAGGAACTGCCAAAATGTTTTCCAAGGTGCCTATACCATTCCCACCAGGAATTTCTCCACTTCCTGGTCAATACTTCTTAATGTTGGTCTTTTTTGTAGCCATCAGGTGGGTAGGAAATGGTATCTAATGATTTTGATTTGTATTTCTCTAATGACTAATAATCTGATAATCTAATGACTAATAATTGAGCATCATTTCATGTCCTTATCAGACATTTGTATGTATCTTTTTTGGAGAAATATTGATTTATATCCTTTTGAAAAATTGGGGCCGTGCATGGTGGCTCACGCCTGTAATCCCAGCACTGTGGGAAGCTGAGGCGGGCGGATCACGAGTTCAGGAGTTTGAGACCAGCCTGGCCAGCGTCGTGAAACCCCGTCTCTACTAAAAATACAAAAGATTAACTGGGCATGGTGGCGCACACCTGTAGTCCCAGCTATTTGGGAGGCTGAGGCAGGAGAATTGCTTGAGCCTGGCAGGCAGAGGTTGCAGTGAGCTGAGATCACGCCACTGCACTCCAGCCTGGGCAACAGAGAGAGACTGCGTCTCAGAAAAAGAAAAAAAGAAAAGAAAAATTGGATTATCAGTTGTATATTCAGGATATAATTCCTGTATCAGATAAATGATTTGTAAGTATTTTCTCTCATTCTGTGGGTTGTCTTGGTGGTGTTGATTGTGGTAAAATATGCATAACATAAAATGTACCATTTGTACAATTTTAAGTGTACATTTCAGTGGCATTAAGTACATTCACAGTGTTGTGTAACTATAACCTCCATTTCCAGAACTTTTTCATCATCCCAAACAGAAACACTGTACCCATTAAATAATAACTCTCCCTTCCCCCTCCCCCAGCCTCTAGTAACCTCTATTCTACTTTCTGTCTCTAGGACTTTGCCTATTCTAGGTGCTTCAAATAAGTGGAATCATATAGTATTTGTCCTGATAGTATCTTTTAAAGTGTAAATATTTTTAATTTTGATGAAGTCCAATTTATCTATTTTTATTTTTATAAGTAATTTTTAGTAATTAAAACATTTTAAATTCATGTTGTCACTTGTGCCTTTGGTGTCATTTCTAAGAAGCCATTGCCTAATTTAAGGCCATAAACATGTATTTTAACCATTTTGAGTACTCTCTTACTTGGCTCTCCCTTCTATATTTAAAACATCCACCAATATAACTATCAAAGGTTTTATGGGAGGAGTTTTATTAAGTGTTCTGCTCTTTTTTGTTGTTGTTAAGATCAGAATAGTAGTTTTCAAACGGTAGAGTCTTCTGGGATGTTTAGTAAAATAAAAGTCCCTCAGCTGTTTTGTGTATTTGTAATAAACTTCCAGGAGACTTTGCATGATGTGGTTGAAAGAGTGTGGAATTAGGATAGTCTAGCCTGGTAATTAAGAGCATGGATCGTGGAGCCTGACTACCTGGGTGTGAATCGTGGCTGTGTCACTTCCTGGCTGATTTTGGACAAGTCACTTGTTCTCTCTGGACCTTCGTTTCCTCCCTCATAGGATTGTTGCAAGGATTAGCTAGGATATAGCTATAAAGCACTTAGAATATCTGCAAAGCACTTAGAACGATTTGGCAACAGTCACCATATAAGTATTAGCTATTATTATACCCTTTAAGTCACAGTAATGTCATTTCTAGAGACCTAATCTAAGAACATTATCAGAGATGTTACATAAAGATGTGTGTATAACAGTTTCATCACAGAGACTGATTATAAAATTAACCACATATAGTCAGTAGACATATGGTTAAATAAATTAATGAAATGTCATATAACCATTAAGTCACATTGTCAAAAATACTTAATGCCTTGGGATGATATCAGTGAAAATGTCAAAAATGCAACTATATGTAGAATATGTCTCTAAAATTTTTTAAAAATTCAAGGCAAGGGGCTGGATATGGTGGCTCATGTCTGTAATCTCAGCACTTTGGGAGACCGAGGTGAGAGATCACTTGAGGCCAGGAGTTCGAGACCAGCTTGGGCAATGTAGTAGGACCCCCGTCTCTATAATTTTTTTTTTTAAATTAGTCGAGCATGGTGGCATGTGCCTATAGTCCCAGCTACATGGGAGGCTGAAGCAGAAGGATCACTTGAGCCCAGGAGTTGGAGGTTACAGTGAGCTATGATTGTACCACTGCCCTCCAGCCTGGGTGACAGAGTGAGATCCTGTATCTTAAAAAAAAAAAAAAAAAAAAGCCAGGTGTGGTGGCTCACGCCTGTAATCCCAGTACTTTGGGAGGCTGAGGCAGGCGGATCACCTGAGGTCGGGAGTTTGAGACCAGCCTGACCAACATGGAGAAACCTTGTCTCTACTAAAAATACAAAATTAGCCAGGCGTGGTGGTGGGTGCCTGTAATCCCATCTACTTGGGAGCCTGAGGCAGGAGAATCGCTTGAACCCGGGAGGTGGAGGTTGCAGTGAGCTAAGATCGCGCCATTGCACTCCAGCCTGGGCAACAAGAATGAAACTCCATCTCAAAAAAAAAAAAAAAGTACGAGGCAGGAGAGTGGAATGTTAGTCGTGTAATGCATATAAAGCAATATGTTAAACTGTTGATGTGGTTATTCTTGGAAGCTGGGAGGTGTTATTTCAATTTTCTTCTGTACTTTATTATATTCTTCTGATTTCAATAAGTATTTTATACTTGGAAAAACAAAATAAATTATTTTTGAAAAAGATTAAATGAAAAGCCTCATAATGTGAATAGGAAACCTGAGTTTAGTACCAGTTATGTTATTAAATAGTTAGAAACCTTGGATTAATTTTATCTCTTCCTTGAGGAGCACAGTTTGCTTATCTGCAAAGTGATGAGTTGGGCTAAAATAGACAGTATGGTAGAGCGGTAAAGATCTGGAAGTCAGGAGTGAGGAATTAGGGATGACAGCTGTGGAGGTCACTGCAATGGGTTCATATCCTGGTTTCACCTCTTATTACCTTGGTGACTTTTGGCAAGAAATTTAGCTTCATTGTGCCTCAGGTTGTTTTTCATTTGTAAAGTGCAGATAATAATAATACCTCATATGGGGCTGTGAAAATTAAATGAGTTAATATATGTGAAGGCATACATGGCATGGCACACGGTAAAGACTAAATAAATGTTAACTAATTTTATTGGTATGTAAGCTCCTTTCTAAGCAGTCATTTATTACCAAGAATATTTTTAGTGAGGTGGGTGGTTTCTTAAATTTGTCTGTCATTTGAAAGTTTAACTAATTTTTTATTTAGGTATTTTCAGGATTGCTGAAGCTGTCTGTTTGTGAAGTAGAATATTTTGGACTTTGGACTTGCTTTGTTTACTTGTCTTGTTCTTATATAGGCGGCTGCTTTGGGGCCCTAAGTTACCTCATTGATGAGGGTATTTTGTAGTCCTTTTTAGCACTAAAAATCTCATACTTGATTTTCTAGAGTGTTTTCTGACTCTCTTTGTTTTGAAACTAATGTTGTATGCAGCTTAATCTAAGTTGCATGGGCTGTTAGGTTGTAGCTATTTTTCCTCAACTGATGTTTTAATTTTAAATTTAGGAAATGGCATAAAACCCAAGAGAATATATATTATAGCTCAGTTGACTAGCCTATTCTAGGAAAAGCTAACATTATGACATAAACTCAGCTAAAAGTTGGTAAAGCATGACCTCTAGTTTAACTCAATTGATGCATAGATGTTATTTAACTTAATCCCAGAAAGAGAAATGTAGCCAAATGCTGTTAAGAGATAAATCTGAAAATCACTTTCAGAGTCAGCAACCATATTGAAATTCACTTTTGGAACTCTGAACAAAGACTGCAGAAGTGTTACTTTTATAATATTATTTTATTTCACTGTCTATATGAGATAAGTCTTCAGTGAATACTGACTCAGTTATTGTATTGCTTTGGAAATGTTGTCGGTGAGCAAGTCACTCTAGAGTACTTCACTCAGTTTATAGTTGCAGTCATAATAAAAATGATTATATTATTTCCTTATGGGGTAAGAATGGAAATTATATTTTAATATATTTAATATTAGATCTTCAGAAGCTCTCCCCATCTCTGCATGATGTAGCTGCAGAAGCAGCCCAATGCAGGAGTCCAGTCATCATTTCTGTGTTAAGAGTGTAAGTTAGAGTAGCATTACCAGGAAGCAAAAGGTAGGAGTTTGCCACAGTTAAGGGATACAATAACTGATGCTAAGGGATACTTATAACAGATGTTAAAGGATATTCTTTGCTAATCGTAATAACTTTTGTTCATTAAATATACCTAGCTAACCCATTACAGGAGAGAGGTAGTGTGTCTTCTGGCTTGACAGTTAGGTAAAGCCAGCCCAAGACAGCTTTGTGACCTACTGATGGAGGAAAAGGCTTTTGCCTTAGGGACTGGATTTTATTTTAGGATGTTGTTTGCCTAAGGTCAAAGAATTACTACCTTATGTGTTGCAGAGATGTAACTCAGTGCCTCCAAATTCCCCACGTTTACTTTTTGTATCTTCTGCTAATAATTTGGGTCCTGTTAATTACTTAGTATTTATATTTCTCTCCACATGTTTTTCTTTCTGAAAGTAAGAATTTATGAGCTTTTCCTTTAAACATTTTGAGCTTTTTGTGTTTGCTGTTTTTATTTTTCAGTTAAAATTTCCATTTTTTAATATATAAGAGGCTGATAACATGTTTGCTTCTGTGGAGGAAAATGGGGAAGCTCTGGAACATCAGGATGATGTATTTTTTTTATTGCACCACTGGACCTTTGGAACTCATTAAATTTTTTTCCCAACTTTTAAAACTTTATTTTATGCCATAGTACAAACATATTCGCGAGCTTTTTGGTTTGCTTGTTTGTTTTAACAAAGTTAAGAATACAGAGTTTCTTACAGTTGACCATGGATGTTCCATTGAGGCATAATAGTAAATTTACAGTATCCCCTTAAAATGATCTGATTCTACTCTGGAGGCTATGGCAGGGGGATTGCATGAGCCCAGAGATTTGAGGTTACAGTGAGCTGTGATTGCACCACTGCAATCCAGCCTGGGCAACAGAGTAAGACCCTGTCTTAAAAAAAATAAAAATCTACTTAAACTGGATCCACTGATTTACATCATAAACTTCAAAATGCAATAAATGTAACGGCCTAATTCTTCCAAAGGTAGTTTGGGATCAGTTGTATCAACATCGGTTTCCTTTCATTTGTTTTTTGAGACAGAGTCTCGCTCTGTAGCCCAGGCTGGAGTATAGTGGCACCATCTCGGCTCACTGCAACCTCCACCTCCTGGGCTCAAGCGATTTTTCTGCCTCGGCTTCCCAAGTAGCTGGGATTACAGGCATCCACCACCACACCTGGCTAATTTTTGTATTTTTAGTAGAGATGGGGTTTCACCATGTTGGCCAGGCTGGTCTCGAACTCCTGACCTCAGGTGATCTGCCTGCCTTGGCCTCCCAAAATGCTGGGATTACAGTTGTGAGCCACCCTGCCCGGCTGTCCGTTTATTCTTTAACATTGGCAAGATTGCTATTTACCATTTTATCTTTGAGAAGCATAATAGAGTCAGTCCTCTTGCTTCTTGAATTTCTTCTTGTGTACAGCTGACTCCAGGATCACTTACACTGTGCCTTGATAATGGTAAGTCTGCAGCTTCATCAGTATGGTCCCCTTTCCAAATATACAACAGGCAAACTTTGTTGCCTCATGGACACATAGAATATTCATTCTGTCTATCCTTAGTCCAGGTACAAAATTGCCTGTCTTATAGTAATCAGTGCTAGGTGCTGCTGTCTCAACAGATGCTCTTATTCCATAGCAGTTTTATTCTCACAGATGAAAATAGGAGGTAATTTCCACAAAGCGGCTATATTGTAGGCCTCAAATATAAAGTCATTCAGACCTCATCTTTTCCGTTATACTCACAGGCCAAGCCAATACCAGCTCCCAGGAGACCTGAGCTCTGACAATGCCATGGCTCCTGTAGAAGTTCTTGGCATACATATGCATTGATCCTACTTTTCCTTTAGCACAACCTCCTCTTTGTCCTGTAAGCTCTACAAGAATTTCTGGGACAGAAAGTTCATGAGTAAAGCTAAAGCCAGAGCCTAATAGGCTGTGATGAGATGATCTGTGGGATTTATCCTGGCTTCAAGTCCTTCCCCTCCTTCTCATCCCAGCAGTCTTCCTGACATCACAAAAATGACAGAAATGTGAATAATTTCTGTCATTTTTGGTGACAATATATAGCAAATCAGCTATATACAGAAATAAATATAGCAAATCTGTATAAACAGAAAGGTCCATTTTTAAATTCCATTTGATGAACAGTCTGCGTCATCCTGTAATATTTGAGTCCGTCTTCCCTGGTGAGTACTATTGTGATAGGCGAGCCCTCTTCCAGCCATTGAGGTTACATTTCTTAATTTCAAGTTTGCCTCATTTGCAAAATTACAGAATGCTACCAGCACTCTGCTAGCTGGCTTCTGGGTGAGCCCACCACACAGGGTGAGATGGAGGTGGGCATCTTCCTCTCTAATGCAAGCAGCAGTGGCCAGGATGTTATTATACTCTGCACCAGGCTGCAGGCCCACAGACATTTTTTAAGGGAACATAATATTCATGGATAGGCTGTAATCTTCTTATCCATTCTTCCATTGTTGAATATGTACTGTTTTTCCTGTTTTTTTTTTTTTAACTATTATAAATCATGCTTTGCTCAGTATCTTAATACCGTGATCTTTATTCATTTTTTAAATTATTTCTTTAGGGTAGATTCTCAGAAGTAGATCAAAGGGCACATTTTTAATGCTCTCTTGGTATGCCTTGCCAAACTACTTTCCAGTAGTTTGTGCCAGTTGGCACAACAGGTTGTGCCAATTTGCATTCTCATGATGATCAGCTTGTGAAAAGTTTCTTTTATGGTACTCTTGGAAGCACTGAATATTTATTATTTAAAATACTTTTTGCTACATTTGACAGTAACAAACTGAATCCTTTAAATTTTTATATTTCAAGGTTATTTAAAATATGTGTATGTGTATATTTATATTTTGTTGTTTTTATCCTTCCTCTGTTCATTGGCTTCTTAAAAACAGCTTTATTGAGATATAATTTACATTCCATAAAATTCACCTATTATAAATGTAAGTCAAGTACTTGAAGTCAATTTTTTTGTCATTCTATACAGTTACGCAACGATCACTGTAATTCAGCTGTAAAACAATTGCATCACTCCCAAAAAAATTCCCTATGCCATTTGCAGTTAATTCTATATCCCAGCCCCAGCCTTAGGCAACTACTAATCTGCTCTTTGTGTGCTTTTTTTTTTTTTAAGATGGAGTTTTACTTTTTCTGCCCAGGCTGGAGTGCAGTGGCATGATCTCAGCTCACTGCAACCTCCGTCTCCTGGGTTCAAACGATTCTCCTGCCTCAGCCTCCTGAATAACTGGGATTACAGGCATGTGCCACCAAGCCTGGCTAATTTTTAAAATTATTTTTAGTAGAGATGGGGTTTCACTATGTTGGCCAGGCTGGTCTCGAGCTCCTGACCTTGAGTGATCCACCTGCCTTGGCCTCCCAGTCTTGAGCCACCGCGCTCAGCCTGCTCTTTGTCTGTAACAGATTTGCATATTCTAGAAATTTCAAACAAATAATGTCATATAATATGTAGTCTTTTTATCTGGCTGGTTTCCTTCACTTAGCATTATGTTTTTGAGGTTCATGCATGTTGTAGAATCTATCAATAGTTAATTCATTTTTATTTCAGCTAGACTATATTTTGTTTATATAGTGTTTGATGGACATTCAGATTGCTTCCAGTTTTGGATTATTATGAACAGTACTGCCAGGAACATTTGTGTACAATTCTTTGTGTCTCTCATTTCTCTTGGGTAATTTCTCTAGGAGTAGAATTGCCTGGAGCCCATTTAATTTTATGTAATTACTTAGCCACAAAAAAAGTTTCTTTTAAAAAATGGATGATAGCACTATACTTGAGAAGAAATACATAATTAAATGGTGTAAGAGAGTTAAAGTGCAGTGATTGGAGCAGGTAAATGAAAAGTTCTAAACTATGCAGTATGAGTGTAATAATGAAAACTACTTCAGAATTTATTGGTAGATGAGCAACTACTACAGTCTAAAACCAAGCGAAGGCAAATAAAAACAGTGAGCATCTAAATAAACATTGAAAACTTTGATTCCATGAAAAATGACAAAAATGGAAATTGGGCATGTTTGCATTCATTAGGATAGAAACATGAGTATATACTCATGTTTCCAGTATTAAAAAAGGCCATCAAGATTATGATAGATAAATAGGCCAAGGAGTTAAGTAGTCAGTTTATTCAAGATGAATGCATGTACTCTAGTGAATAAACAGGCATTCCCCCTTACTAGTAACTACAGCAATAAATATTTTATACATTTGTTGGTTATACTAAATTAACAAAATCAAATTAGTGCTAGTGCTAGAGAGGTTGTGATGACATTAACTTTGTTGGTCTAGTCTGTGTGCCAAGCATTGTTGCAAAGCCATCTAGATCCTTGTAGATGTAAAATGTTGAAATAACTTTCATTTTTGTTTCCTTGAATGTAATTTAAATGTTTTAGTACTGTATAAATAAAGGAAGAAATAAACCAAAAGATAAAACAGTTTTAGATTCTCCCATGTGTTGAAGTCAAATCTGGTCATGCCTTCCTCTCCACTCTCTTTTTGTCTGTCTGACTCAAACTCTGGAGGCACAAATCCAACATGGGTTTTTTTCTTTTTGGGCCAGAGAGCTGCATGCTTGCTCTGCTGTGTTTTGAATCCTGCTTTTCTAGCTCGCCTAAATCCTGAATCCAGTTGTTCTTTAATCCAATGACTCACACCTTGGGAGTTTCCCTCACCCCACTCCAAGAAAATGCAATTAACTTTTCCATTTCAAGTAAATAATTCTGTCACGTGCTTTCTACTCTTTACCGATTTTGCTTTAGGTGCTCATCTGAAAATATGCTTCCTGTTGACTTTTTAAAAGTTCCTTGTAGAGTTCTTCTGTATGGGTGGGACCAAATATCTGTGAATCACTCCCAGTTAGTATAGCATAGTACAGTCATCTTAAGAGTAAGTGATTTTTTAATTTGACAGATTGTCTGCCAAAAAGTGTTAAAGTAGAGCCAAAAGCAAGAACAGAAATTGACTCTTGCTCTATTTATTTTCACCTTTTCTCATCTTTTTTCATCTAACATCAAAGATTATTTCCATTTCTGATACACTTTTATTGTATTTGTATTATTTTTGTCTAATTACTAGCCTAGGTTTCTACATCATCCATGCTTAAATGCTTTTCGTTGTTACATAGGGCTGTAAGACATTTATACTGTCAGTAGTTGAGTTTACTTGAAGTCATAGGTGAGAAGGTAATGTGTGATGATTAAGAAGTCAGGAATGATAAAATAAAAATTTTCTATTTGTTTTATCGTGCTTGACAATAAGTTTTGACTTATTAAAAATACATTGGCCAGGTGTGGTGGCTCACGCCTATAATCCCAGCACTTTGGGAGGTTGAGGCAGGAGGTCACTTGAGCCTAGGAGTTTGAGACCAGCCTGGGCAAAATGGTGAAACCTTATCTCTACAAAAAATACAAAAGATTAGCTGAGTGTAGTGTTGTGCACTTGTAGTCCCAGCTACCTGGGAGGCTGAGGTAGGAACATCACCTGTGTCTGGGAGGTCGAGGCTGCAGTGAGCCATGATCATGTCACTACTTTCCAGCCTGGGCAACAGAGTGAAGCCCTGAATCAAAAAAATAAAAATAAAAAGTATATAGTACCAATTTACTTACAATAATATTAATAATTTTCTTCACTGTAGATAATCTCCTATCACTGTAAATGATCTTCTCCTATAGGTAGGGATACATCTGTGTTTGATCCTTTTAGTCTTTTGTACTCTAGATTGACTTCACTACTTTAAGACCTCAGAAAGAGATGTCCCAGTAGGTTCTGCTAATTTTCAAAAAGTTAATACAACAGAATTAGAGAGTCTAGATTGTTATCTGATGTGACTTTTTTTAATCTCTTGTGATCTCTGTTGGCTTTTTCAAGTCATTATGGTTTCTCTTTGTATACTGGTTGGAGGTATTAGCCCTTGACTGTTTCCCTGGCCTCTTGGATGGTACTTTTCCTGATTTTCCTTTTACCTTTTTGACTATGAAATTCCTTCAAGCATTTTTTTTCCCACTGGGTTTTCCTCAAATGTGTGTTCCTAAATGTTCAGTCATTGTTTTCCCTGTTAGTGTTATTTTTGGATCATCTTATATATTAGAATAATTTTGGTGACCATTCAAATGTGGATACTTTTTAGATATATTGAACCCTGGAGTCTGAATTTTCTGCTGTCTGCTTACCTTTACTTACTAGATGTCCTTATAGTGAATCTAAAAGCAACATATCCAAAACTGAAGTGATTCATTCACTATCCACCATTGCTGCAGTATTTCCAAATACAGATACTGGTATTATCTGTCCAGTAGCCCAGGCTACCAACTGCTGCCTTTATCACTGAACACATAGTTTCTGTCACTGAGCCCCTCTTACTACTTCTAACACTGTCGTAATTCAGGGCCTTATTATTTATTTCAGTAGCCTCTTAACTGGTCTCCAACTCTTTAGTCTGGTACTCTTCAAGGTACTTCTTCATTGAATGAAATATCAGTTTGATCTCAGTATGTCCCTGCCTAAACCCTATAGTCGCAAGTTCTCTATATGATAAAGGTTGTACTGCATGATATGTCCTAAAAGGCTTGGTGACTGCTTACCTCTCTAGCCTCATCTCCTGTCATTCTCAGTCTCATACATCACATACTAGTCCTCTTGACTCCCCCTACCAACCCCACACTATGTTGTGTCTTACCTTTGTTTTTCATGATGTTTCAAGTCCCCTCCCTACTTCCCCTGACTCACTCTTACTCAGCCTTAATGATTCAGCATGGGACAGCTCCTTCAGGAATCCTCTTAATTCTCAGGGTTGGGCCAAGTGCTCCTTTTCTCTGTTCTTGCTAGTAGGTAAAACAGGGTTTTTTTTTTGTTTGTTTTGTTTTTTTTTTGTAAATTTTACTTTAAGTTCTGGGATACAAGTGCAGACGTGTAGGTTTGTTACATAGGTATACATGTGCCATGGTGGTTTGCTGCACCTATCAACCTGTCATCTAGGTTTTAAGCCCTGTATGCATTAGCCATTTGTCCTAATGCTCTCCCTCCCTTCGCCCCCTGCCCCCCAACTGGCCCTGGTGTGTGTTGTTCCCCTCCCTGTGTCCATGTGTTCTCATTGTTCAGCTGCCACTTATGAGTGAGAACATGCGGTGTTTGGTTTTCTGTTTCTGTATTTGCTGAGGATGATGGCTTCCAGCTTCACCCATGTCCCTGCAGAGGATATGATCTCATTCCTTTTTATGGCTGCGTAGTATTCCATGGTGTTTATGTACCACATTTTCTTTTCTTTTCTTTTTTTTTGAGACAGAGTCTTGCTCTGTCACCCAGACTGGAGTGCAGTGGCACAATCTTGGCCCACTGCAACCTCCGCCTCCCGGGTTCAAGCAATTATCCTGCTTCAGCCTCCCAAGTAGCTGGGATTATAGGCATATGCCACCATGCCTGGCCAATTTTTTTGTATTTTTAGTAGAGACAGGGTTTCACCGTGTTGGCCAGGCTGTTCTCGCACTCCTGACCTCAAGTGATCCACCTACCTCGGCCTCCCAAAGTGCAGGGACCACAGGCATGAGCCACCATGCCTGTACCACATTTTATTTATCCAATCTATCATTGATGGGCATTTGGGTTGGTTCCATGTATTTGCTATTGTAAATAGTGCTGCAATAAACATATGTGTGCATGTGTCTTTATAGTAGAATGATTTATATTCCTTTGGGTGTATACCCAGTAATGTGATTGCTGGGTTAAATGGTATTTTTGGTTATAGATCCTTGAAGAATCACCACACTGTCTTCCACAATGGTTGAACTAATTTATATTCCCACCAACAGTGTAAAAGTGTTCCTGTTTCTCCACAGCCTCACCAGCATCTGTTGTTTCTTAGCTTTTTAATAATCAACATTCTGACTGGTGTGAGATGGTATCTCACTGTGGTTTTGATTTGCATTTCTCTGATGATCAGTGATGTTGAGCTTTCTTTCATATATTTGTTGGCCGCGTAAATGTCTTCTTTTGAGAAGTGTCTGTTCATATCCTTTGCCTGCTTTTTGATGGGGTTGTTTTTTTCTTGTAAATCTGTTTAAGTTCCTTATAGATTCTGGATATTAGACCTTTGTCAGATGGGTAGATTGCAAAAATTTTCTCCCATTCTGTAGGTTGCCTGTTTATTCTTCCTATTTGAATTGGAGTGGTGAGAGAAGCATTCTTGTCTTGTGCTGGTTTTCAAAGGGAATGCTTCCAGCTTTTGCCCATTCAGTATGATATTGGCTGTGGGTTTGTCCTGAATAGCTCTTATTTTGAGATATGTGCCATCAACACCTAGTTTACTGGGAGTTTTTAACATGAAGGGATGTTGAATTTTATCGAAGGCCTTTCTGCATCTATTGAGATTATCATGTGGTTTTTGTTATTGGTTCTGTTTATGTGATGGATTATGTTTATTGATTTGCATATGTTGAACCAGCCTTGCATCCCAGGGATGAAGCCAACTTGATCGTGGTGCATAAGCTTTTTGATGTGCTGCTGGATTCGGTTTGCCAGTATTTTACTGAGGGTTTTCGCATCGATGGCCTGAAGTTTTCTTTTTTTGTTGTGTCCAGAGTTTTGGTATCAGGATGATGCTGGCCTCATAAAATGAGTTAGGGAGAAATCCCTCCTTTTCAATTGTTTGGAATAGTTTCAGAAGGAATGGTACCAGCTCCTCTTTGTTCCTCTGGTAGAACTTGGCTGTGAATCCATCTGGTCCTAGGCTTTTTTTGTTGGATAGGCTGTTAATTACTGCCTCCATTTCAGAACTTGTTATTGGTCTATTCAGGGATTCAGCTTCTTCCTGGTTTAGTCTTGGGAGGGTGTATGTGTCCAGGACTTTATGTATTTCTTCTAGATTTTCTAGATATTTGTATAGAGTTGTTTATTTTCTGTTGGTAGTTTGTATTTCTGTGGGGTCAGTGGTGATATCCCTTTTATCATTTCTTATTGTGTCTATTCTCTCTTTTCTTCTTTATTGGTCTAGCAAGCAGTCTATCTATTTTGTTAATTTTTTCAAAAAATTAGCCCCTAGATTCATAGTTTTTTTTGTAGGGTTTTTTGTGTCTGTATCTCCTTTAGTTCTGCTCTCATCTTAGTTATTTCTTGTCTTTTGCTAGCTTTTGGATTTGTTTACTCTTGCTTCTCTAGCTCTTTTAATTGTGATGTTAGGGTGTCGATTTGAGATCCTTCTAGCTTTCTGATGTGGGCATTTAGTGCTTTAAATTTCCCTCTTAACACTGCTTTAGCTGTGTCCCAGAGATTCTGGTGTGTTGTCTCTTTATTCTCATTGGTTTCAGAGAACTTCTTGATTTCTGCCTTACTTTATTTACCCAGGAGTCATTCAGGAGCAGGCTATTCAATTTCCATGCAGTTGTGTGGTTTTTAGTGAGTTTCTTAATCTTGAGTTCTAATTTGATTGCGCTGTGGCCTGAGAGACTATTTATTATGATTTTTGTTCTTTTGCATTTGCTGAAGAGTGTTTTACTACCTCCAATTATGTGGTCAATTTTAGAATAAGTGCCATGTGGCACTGAGAAGAATGTATATTCTGTTGATTTGGGGTGGAGAGTTCTATAGAAGTCTATTAGGTCCACTTGATCCATAACTGAGCTCAAGTCTTGAATATCCTTGTTAATTTTCTGTCTCGTTGATCTAATATTGACAGTAGGGTGTTAAAGTCTCCCACTATTATTATGTAGCAGTCTAAGTCTCTTTGTAGGTCTCTAAGAACTTGTTTTATGAATCTGTATGCTCCTGTATTGGGTGCATATATATATTTAGGATAGCTAGCTCTTCTTGTTGAATTGATCCCTCTACCATTACGTAATGCCCTTCTTTGTCATGACTATGGACCCTGGCCTCCCTGTGCTCTTGGTGGAGGCAGGGAGCGGGCAGGAGCCCTGCCCTTCCGGGCACAGCTGCAGGCACCCAAGTCTCAGCTGCACACCCAGGCCTCCCATTCCATGGAGCAGGCAGGAGCCCACCCCTCACACCCCCAGGTGCAGCTGCAGCCACACAAACTGTGGCTGTGGACCCAGGCATCCCTGCACTCTTGGGGGCCCAGGAAGAAAGGCCCCCCTGCCCTCGCAGGCTTGGAAGTGCCTGCTCCCACTTCCTGGCCTCTCCCTGCTGTTGGCGCCCATTTGATCTCAGAGCAAAGTCAGAGTGGAGCCTAGGTGCTGTCACAGACCAGCCAGGTGTGCACACGCTCAGGGCAGTGCTGACATACCAGCCTCCTGTCACCTCAGCCCACTCTGGACTTTGGGTGCTGACAAACATAGGAAGGAAGCCAATGAGGGGCTGAGGGAAGCTCAGCACTGGCCTACAGGTACCCCTTGGCACCTACAGCCTGGGCACCACGAACAGCAGCAGGAGGCAGACAGGTTCCCGGGTGGAAGGGGTTGGGTCCCTGGTGAGGCCCCACCTTCAGACCAGTGAGGGCCTAAAGGCTGGGGGCCAGCCCTACAGACAGAAGCGGGAACTTGTGGTGCCTTTTCCGGTCCCATTCATGGCCACTCACAGACCAACTGGCTCACATTTCCTCCCCTCTGAAGCCCGTAAAAGCCTCGGGCTCAGCCAGAGCTGAGCAGACGTTGAGATGACCTGCCTGTAGAGAGGAGCTATCCACTTCAGGGCCTCCTCTGAGCTACTCTGTCACTCAGTAAAGCTCCTCTTTGCCTTGCTCACCCTCCACTTGTCTTCCTACCCTTTTCTTCCTGGACACAGCACAAGAACTTGGGACCTGCTGAAAGGCAAGGCTGAAAGAGCTGTAACACAAACAGGGCTGAAACATACCCCTTGCTTGCCATACTGCAGATAAAGAGGAGAGAAGAGCTGCAGCCCTTCAGGGAGCTCAGACCTGGAGCTCCCCAAGCCAGGGCTGTGACTCTTTGGTTCCCTGTGGTTCCTGGAGGCTCCAAGCTTCCAGGTGCCACCATGTTCCCTGGTGGCAACCATGGAAGCTGCTTGCGGTGTGCCTGATCTAGCCACAGCCTTACAGAGAGCCAGCACCCATGCTGGCACCTGGAGCTGCCCGCCCCACTGCAGCAGGCAGCATGCCTGTGCACAGTGGTCCGACCCCATGCTCGCTTGCTTGCACACCCCTTGCCACTCCATGCCTGGCTTGCCGTTGGCAGGCATGGGATCCAGGCTGGTAGCATGAACCGAGTGCAGCCTGCCAGCCCAAGTAGGCAGAATGAGCCCAGCAGACCCGAGCAAAACTCAGGCAAGGGCACCACCAGCCACAGAGGTTTCTGGCCAGAAAAGCGACACCCCAAGGATCCTGCAACAATTTTTCTCTTATTAGAAAAATTCTGTTGATTTCACTTTCTCTATTAGCATTGCTCATTTATTTGCTTCCATTTAGAGCAAAACTTCTTAAAAGATTTATCTATATATGCGGCCTCTCATTCCTCTGTGTCCATTTTCTTTGGAATCATTCTGGTAAGGCATTCATCTTCCGCTACGTCCGCACTGTTCTTGCCAAGGTCGTCGGTGGCTTTCAGATTATTTCCAGTGGTCAGCGTTTGTCCCTTACCTTACTTGATCTATCAGCATCATTTGACTGTTGATCTCTCCCACGTTCTTGGAAAACATTATTCACATAGCTTCCAGGACATATCACTTTCTCTTGGTTCTTTTCATACCTTACTGGCCATTCTTTACAATTTCCTTTGGTTGGTCCTGTTTTCCATGACCTTGAAACTTTGAACTGCTCCATGTCCTTGGACCTGTTGTCTATCTGTACTTGTTCCCTTGGTGATCTCATTCTGTCTCTTGGCTTTAAATTCTGTTTATATGCTGACGACAGCTTAATTTATATCTCAAGCTGAGACTTCTTCCCCTGAACTCTAGGCTCATATATCCAGCTGCCTTTAAAAAAATTTTTATTGTGATAAAATAAATGTAACATAAAATTTATCATTGTAGCCATTTTTAAGTATACAGTTCAGGGTATTATATACATTCATAATGTTCTGTAACCATTATCACCATTCATCTCCATAACTCTTTTCATCTTGTAAAGCTGAAGGTTTTTAAATATTAGACAGTAACTCTCCATTTTTTCCTCCCTCCAGTCCCTGCCAGACTCCATTCTTTCTGCCTCCATGATTTTGGACCCCTGAAACTACCTCAAATAAGAGGAATTATGTAGTATTTTGTCTTTTTGTGACTGGCTTACTTGATTCAGTATAATGTCCTCAAGGTTAATCCATGTTGTAGCATTTGTCAGAATTTCCTTCCTTTCTAAGGCTGAATAATATTTTATTGTATGTATATTTTTATGTCATATTTTGCTTATCCATTCATCTATTGATGGACACTTGGGTTGCTTTTACATTTTAGCTATTGTGAATAATGCTGCTATGATCATGGATGTACCAGTATCTCTTTGAGACCCTACTTTTGGCTATATACCCAGAAAGGGAATTGCTGGATCATATGGTAATTCTTTTTCAAAATTTTTGAGGAACTGCCATATTGTTTAACACAGTAGCTGTACCATTTTACATTCCACCAACAGTGCATAAGGGTTCCAATTTCTCCACATCTTTGCCAACACTTATTTTCTACTTTTTTTGAGAGTAGCTATCCTAATGGGTGTGAAGTGGTATCTCATTGTTTGCATTTCTCTAATGATTAGTGATGTTCAGCATCTTTTCATGTGCTTATTGGCCATCATATATCTTCTTTGGACAAATGTCTATTCCAATCCTTTGCCCATTTTTGAATTGGGTTCTTTGTTTTTTAGTGGTTGAGTTTTAGGTGTTCTCTATGTATTCTGGATACCAATCCCTTATCAAATGTATGATTTGCAAATATTTTCTCCCATTCTGTGCGTTGCCTTTTTACTCTGTTGATAGTGCCCTTTGACACACAAAAGTTTTTAATTTTCATGAAGTCCCCTTTGTCTTTTCTATTGTTGCTTTTGCCTTTGGTGTCATATCCAAGAAATCACTGCCAAATCCAATGTTGTGAAGCTTTTGCGCTATGTTTTCTTTTAAGAATTTTATACTTTCAGGTCTTACATTTAGATCATTGATCCATTTTGAGTTCATTTTTGTATATAGTGTTACGTTAGGCTCCAACTTCATTGTTTTGTATGTGGATATCCAGTTTTCCTAGCACCATTTGTTGAAAAGACTATTCTTTCCCATTAAATGATCTTGGCACCCTTGGACATAATCTTTTGACTGTATATGTGAATGTTTATTTCTGGACTGTCTATTCTATTCATATTCTTTTGAATATGAGATATATGTCTGTCTGTATGCCGGTACCATACTGTTTTGATTAGTGTAGCTTTGTAGTAGGAATCAGGAAGTGTGAATCCTCAAGTTTTGTTTTCTTTTTCAAGATTGTTTTGGCCATTGAAATTCTATATAAGTTTTAGGATGAGCATTTCTAATTTTGCAAAAAACATCACTGGAATTTTGATAGGGATTGCATTGAATCTATTGATTGCTTTGGGTATTATTGGCATCTTAACAGTATTAAGACTTCTATGATTATGGGATGTGTTTTTATTTATGTCTTTAATTTCTTTCAGTAATGTTTTATAGTTTTTATTGTACAAATATTTTACCTCTTTGGCTAAGTTAATTCCTAAGTTAATTCATTAAAAATTTTTTTAAATTTTTCCTTTTTTTTTCTTAACCCCTTTCCCAACTCCCTAAGTTAGTTCTTTTTGATGCTACTGAAAATGAGATTGTTTTTATAATTTCCTTTTTGGATTGTTCATTGTTTAGTGTATAGAAATGCAACTGATTTTCCTGTATTGTCTTTGTATCTTACTACTTTGCTGAATTCATTTATTCTAACAGTTTTTTTCTGGACCATTTAGGGTTTTCTACATACAAGACTATATCATCTATAAACGGATAATTTTATTTTGTCCTTTCCGTTTGGATGCTTTTTTTTTTTTTTTTTTGAGACAGAGTCTTGCTCTGTTGCCCAGGCTGGAGCGCAGTGGTGTGATTTCGTCTCACTGTAACCTCCACCTCCCGAGTTCAGGTGATTCTCCTGCCTCAGCGTCTCGAGCAGCTGGGATTACAGGCATGCGCCACTGTGCCCAGCTAATTTTTGTATTTTTGGTAGAGATGGGGTTTCACCATGTTGGCCGGGTTGGTCTCGAACTCCTGGACTCAAGAGATCCTCCCGCCTTGGCTTCCCAAAGTGCTGGGATTACAAGCCACCATACCCTGCTGGGTATAAGCTTTTAAAATTTTAATAAATATTGCTGAATCATTTTCCAAAAAAGTTGTATCAATTTATAGTCTCATGTCCAGGACAGTGAGCCTTCTGTATCCATGGGTTACACATCCATGGATTCAACCAATTTTGGATGGAAAATATTTGGGGGAAAAAAAAGGATGGTTGCGCCTGTACTAAACATGTACAGAATTTTATTTTTGTCATTTTCTAAACAATACATCATAACAACTATTTAAGTAGTATTTGTATTAGGTATTCTAAGTAGTCTAGAGATGAATTAAAGTATATAGAAGGATGTGTATAGGTGTTAATGCAACTACTACATCATTTTATAAAAGGGTCTTGAATATCCATGGTGGCTTTGGTGTCAGTCCTCTCCATGGATACTGAGACATGATGTATATGAAAATGTTGTTTCCTCCACATTCTTGCTAGAGCCAGTTATCACTAATCTTAGTCTTTGCCAAACTTATATTAAACATCTTGTTAGTTGCCTATCTTCCTGAGCTTTTAGGCTTGAGAGTTTTGGCGTCAGGTGCCTGTTTGTACCTTCCCATACATGTCTTTTTTTTTTTAATGGAAATTTCAAATAATATAGGAAGGTATAATGGGAAGGCCCTTATCCTTATACTGTGTCCCAAGTAGCATTTTGAGTTTTGAATAGAGTGAGTTATGACCTTCTGTGAGCATTATTCTTTTTTTTTTTTTCTATTTTATTTTTTCTCCCCGCAATACTTTCCAAGTCATGAGCCCCTCTCTCAGGGTGAACCCATCCGAGGGTGTCCTTCAGTTGCCTGCCTGCCTTCTTTCCATTCATCGTCCATCTCTGTCACCCAGGCGGGAGTGCAGTGACACAATCATGGGTCATCGCAGCTTCAATCACCTGGGCTCAAGCGGTCCTCATGCCTCATTTTTTGATTTTTTGTAGAGACAGGGTCTCACTTTGTTGCCCAGGCTGGTCTTAAACTCCTGGACTCAAGCAATGCGCCCACCTCAACCGCTCAAATTGCTGAGGTTACAGGTGTGAGCCACCGTGCCCAGTCCTCTGAGCATTATTCTGTGGCTTGACTGGGTTTCCAGCCCTGTTACTTAGGGCCAGGAGTGCAGTAGGACCCTGGTTTAGAAAAGGAATTATGACATCTGCTAAATACTATTTAGCTTAATTTATTCATAAATTGGTTCACACTGTTAATTGAATAGTTACAGATCTCCTAGTCTGTGTAATATATTCTAAGCATACTTACATACACATGAGAGCTGACTAGTAATTTCCTCTTGATATAACTTCACTTAGGGCTGGGTGCAGTGGCTCATGGGTGTATTCCCAGGACTTTGGGAGGCTGAGGCAGGAGAATCACTTGAGGCCAGGAGTTTGAGACCAACCTGGGCAACAAAGTGATGCCTGTCTCTACAAAAACAAAACAAAACAAAACAAAAAAACTAGCTGGGTGTGGTGAATGTGTGCCTGTAGTCCCAGCTACTCGGGAGGCTGTGGTGGGAGGATCTCTTGATCCTGGGAGGTTGAGGCTGCAGTGAGCTGTGATTGCCTACTGTACTCTAGTATGGGTTACAGAGCAAGACTCTGTCTCAAAAACCCCCCAAAATTTGGGATTCCCTAATCCAGCAGTCTCCAACCTTTTTGGCACCGAGGACTGGTTTCATGGAAAACAGTTTTTCCATGGATGGTAGGTAAGGAATGGTTTCAAGATGAAACTGTTCCACCTCAGATCATCAGGCATTAGTTAGATGTGCAACCTAGATCCCTCACATGCATCGTTCACAATAGGGTTTGCACTTCTGTGAGAATCTAATGCCACCACTGATCTGACAGGAAGTGGCGCTCACGTGGTAATGCTCACTCGCCCTCTGCTTACCTCCTGTTGTGCGGCCCATTTCCTAACAGGTCACAGACCAATACCAATACCAACTATGGATAAGGGACCCCTGCCCTAATCCATATCACAGTGTTTTGTATTTGTTATAATTGGTTTTCTGTCCATGCTGTGAGACAAAGGCTTAGTGACTTCCTTCTATGCAGTAGTACACCTTTGCCCCATCACACATGAATATTACTGTGAATATTACCATAAATATCATGGTTATTTATAATAAATATGGTTATTTATGATAACCATTTATTATAACCGTATCATTCTGATAATAACCATAAAATATTATATATGTTATATATTTATCACCTGTATATATTAGAGTTCAGCTGTTACTGATCTATTTATATCTTTTGGTTTTTTTTAATTAGAGCAGGGTCTCACCATCTTGCCCAGGCTGGTCTTGAACTCCTGGACTCAGACAGTCCTCCCACCTTAGCCTCCCAAAGTGCTGGGATTACAGGTCTGAGGCACTGCACCAGCCTTTTTATTTCTCTATCAGCTGTTTAAGTAATTGTCAAAGAACCTTATTTTTAAAAACCTTTACCATTAAAGGAAAGTCCTGAATCAGTTCCCTGACTGAAAAAAATCAAAGTGATTACGTATTTACACATATTCTGTGAGCTTAATAATAATAGCTACCATTTGTTTAGCAGTTAGTATGTACAAATACTGTGCTAATGCTTTATATCCTTTAACCTTTACAACAAACATTCTGAGGTAGGTACTGATGCCATCCTTGATTTAAATATAGGTAAAGGGAGGCTCAAAGAGGTTAAGTAGGTTGCTCATGGTCACACAATAAGTTAGAAGGTGATACAGCTTGAATTTAAACCGTTTGTGTTTGTTTGTTTGTTTGTTTGTTTGTTTGTTTTGAGACGGAGTCTTACTTTGTCGCCCAGGCTGGAGTACAGTGATGTGATCTAGGTTCATTGCAACTTCTGCCTCCCAGGTTCAAGTTATTCTCCTGCCTCAGCCCCCCAAGCAGCTGGGATTATAGGTGTGTGCCACCACACCTGGCTAATTTTTGTATTTTTAGTAGAGATGGGGTTTCTCCATGTTGGCCAGGCTGGTCTCAAACTCCTTGCCTCAAGTGATCCACCTACCTTGGCCTCCCAAAGTGCTGGGATTACAGGTGTGAGCCACAGCACCCAGCCGAATTTAAACCTTTAATATATGCTCTGCTCCATATAGCATCCATTATTTGGATGTAATACAGTATGGCCTACTTTATGTTAAATCACAACTTAATAGCTTCCATTTTATAGTATGAATTACATCATTTATTGCTTCTACATTTAAAGAAGTCATATGTGACTTGTGCCTTTTGGAATTTACTGACAGGGAATGAAACATGGAAAAGATCAGATTATAGTGCTACTCAAAGTGTGGTTTGGAAATAGAGATGTGAGAGTTAGCTGCTTAACTTGGAATAAAGCCTGAGTCTTGGATTTAGTTGGGGGAAAGTGTTTATTTTGTGAGAAATGTTATCTGAAAGAAATCTTATTTGTTAAGCTATTTAAACTGAACTTCAGAAAGAAAAGGTGACTTTTAACAGGTAGAGAGTATGAGTGGGTGGAAGCAAAGGGCTTTTGAAGTCCAAGAGCAGCATAAGGAAAGACAGAGAGGCCTGGGGCTTGTGCAGGGGCACTGCTAGTAGTTAAGCAAGGGTGGAATGGATAGTACTTTGAGAAAAAGAGGAAGATTAGGTTAGATAGGGTGATTAGGGTCATTTTGAAAGACTTTGAAAGTCACAGCTCTTGGACTTGATTTTGAAGTCAGCAGAGGGTCAACAGTCTTTTTATAAAGTGAAACAATGTGATCAGGTTTGTGTTTTAGGAAATAAGTCTAGCATCAGTGTGGAGGGTGTAGAGTGTGGAATTATCTTGGCAATGGTTAGGGTAAGAGGAACTGTAATCGGAAGGGAAAGGCAGTATGCAATTGAGAGATTTTACTGAATCAGAAATCATAGGAATTGGTGACACATTAGATGCCCTGAGGTTTTATTGATATTATTTATTATTACTGATAGTATTATTACCGTTATTATGCACTTACTGTAAGTGATTTCTGATGGTCACAAATCCATTCTATTATTAGTGGCTGCTGACTGAATTTCTGTTAAGAGATGCTCAGGAAATGATGGGTAAATGATGAGATGAGTCTAGGTTGTAGATGTTACAGTCATGTAATATTTATTTAAAATATTTATTTGGTTCCTGCTCAGAAGGCATTTTGTTTAGGATTGGGAATACCCCAATCTTCAAAGAATTTGCCATATTCATGAGGAGTCTAAGCGGCCTTGTTTGCTGTTCTTTCTGTATAATCTTTGGACTTATGTTTTAACTCCTCATTCTGTTGGCTCATGTGGGATGCTGCTTATTTCATAGTGTTCTGAAGTTTAGATGAGGTAGTGTATGTAAAGTACCTAGTATAGCTCCTAGCATGAGCAAAAGCTAGTTCCCTTCTACTCTGTCATGGACACAGAAACTGGAAAACCCAAATTTATTAGGATTGTGTGTCAAATAGGTGGTAGCAGGTAGTGAATGAATTTCTGAAAGAAATTTTTAAAAGCTTACCTTTCCTGATGATTTGGCATCAGAAGGTCTGATTGCTATTTTACTATTCTTACCATTGTGACTATAGATAGGTCACTTGGTTTGTCAGCCTAAATTTACTGATTTATAAAATGAACAGAATCCTTGCTGTTTTATAGGCGGTCTGGAGAAATAGTAGAGATAGTGGATATAAAATTGCCAGATAAACATTAAGTAGTATAGCAGAATGGTTGAGATCTAAAGTTTACTAGCTTAGGAGACCCTTTGGCGAGTTACTTAACCTCTTTTAGTCCTGATTTCTTTTTTGTTTTGTTTTGTTTTGTTTTTTGAGATGGAGTTTCACTCTTGTTGCCCAGGCTAGAGTGCAGTGGCGCAATCTTGGCTCACTGCAACCTCCGCCTCCCGGGTTCAAGCGATTCTCCTGTCTCAGCCTCCCTAGTAGCTGGGATTACAGGCATGCGCCACCACACCCAGCTAATTTTGTGTTTTTAGTAGAGACAGGGTTTCTCCATGTTGGTCAGGCTGGTCTCGAACTCCCGACCTCAGGTGATCCACCCGCCTCGGCCTCCCAAAGTGCTGGGATTACAGGCGTGAGCCACTGCGCCTGGCCATAGTCCTGATTTCTTTATCTGAAGTATGGGGATAATATAACATCTGCCTCATGAGAGTGTTATATAGATTAAGTGAAAAAATGCATGCAGAGTAGTTTATCCAAGCACATGGTAAGCACTCAAAAACTGGCAATGATTATTGTAAATTATGTGGTACCCTTTTGTCACTGTAGAATAATTTTCTTTGATCTTGCTTTCTCTTGTTAAAACTTCTGTATATAAGTGATGTATATAAGTGATTCTGGATATAAGTGATGTTACCTTTGATGGTAGTGAAAGAAATCAGCAATGCTTTTAAAAGAAAACTTCATACTTTCATAAGCTTTGGCTCCAAAAACTTCCTAGGGAAAAATGTCTAGGGACTTATGTTTAAGTCATAAATAGAGATAGAATTTGAATGTGATACTTTCTATTACTAAATTTCAGTTCAAAATTTTAAAAGAATTAGTGATTCTTAACTGGGAGCATTACTAATTCTGAGAAGTGCTGGATATCATGAGAGGTGTTTGAACAGCTGAATCATGTGGCAGCAGAAAAATGAGAGCCTCTGTACTAAACTCACATAAGGAGTTTATTTTCCTTCTTCCAAATAGTCATTTCCCATTTCAGACAAAATGACTGTTTCATAAATTGCATTGTTATTATTTCCATTTATTCACTTATGGTCCCCAGAAAGTTTGTTTGCTTTGTCTTTCAAAGTAGAATTATTATAATTTTTAAAGAACTTACCTGTGGATGTCTAAATTTTCAAAGCCTTGAGGAGATATATCTCTCAAAGAATTAACTATGACTAAAAACGAAGAAATATGAGTAAAGACCAAGATGTTTGAAACAAAGTTATATGCCAACTTGAATGATTGTGCCTAAAGAATGAAAAGGCCATCATAATTATTTTCATTACCTCATAAATTTAAAGCATTTTTAAAAGCTATGAATGTTCTTTTTTGGGCAGGTGTACTATTTATGTCTTTTAACATTTCCACTGAATTTGTTTGCCAAATAAATTCTTTGTGTGTGGGCAGGTTTTTCCCCCCCACAAATAAGATGCATAGTCCTATGATTTTCCAATTTTACCAATCTTTAATGGAAATTTTTTTCTTTTAGTTTCTCTCTCTCCTACCTCTTAATGACTGTATAGATCAATATCAACTATCCTTAGATGGAGCCCATTGTATGCATTATTAAACAGTTTATAAGGCTTTAAACCTAGTGACCTTGTTCTTTTTTTCCCACAAATGTGATCACGGGTACTTCCTTTTGTGGCAAACATGGCTGTTATTCTATGGGTAAGGTGTTGTTTTTGTTGTTGTTTGTTTTGAGACAGGGTCTCACTCTGTCATAAGCCTGGGGTGCAGTGGTGCCTCATAGCTCACTGCAGCCTCAAACTCCTGGGCTCAAGTGATCCTCCTGCCTCAGACTCCAAGTAGGTGGGACCACAGGCACACACCATCACACCCAGGTAGTTTTTGGATTTTTTGTAAAGACAAGGTCTCACCATGTTGCCCAGACTGGTCTTGAACTCCTGGGCTCAAGCGATCCTTCCCCTCCACCTCCCAAAGCACTGGGATTACAGGTGTGAGCCACTGTGCCTGGTCTGTGTGAGGGTTTTTAACAGAGATAAAGAGTGGTGGTGCAATTATTTTGTTGTTGTTTCAGCTGACCCCAGGATAGTTAGCATTTTGTGAGGAAAATCATGAAGTGTAGTGAGAGTATTGCATATTTAAAATATCACAATATCCCCTCGTTCTGTTCCTAATATGCTAAAATACATGACATTTGGGTAAAATATGTAATATTTAAAATATTGGTATTAATAATTTTGATATCCTTTGAGGTAATTAGAGACTTTTTGATGTCTAAAAGATTGAGTTTGAGATCACTATCTGTTCTTTAGTATCAGTTAAGTAGGAGCCTCAAAGACAAACAGCTGCTTTTTTGCTGTGATTAACACACCCCGAGAGGAAAAAATAATCAGAATTTTCTTGT
Organism: Homo sapiens; assembly: GCF_000001405.40. Taxonomy (NCBI): domain Eukaryota; kingdom Metazoa; phylum Chordata; class Mammalia; order Primates; family Hominidae; genus Homo; species Homo sapiens. The sequence goes on from NC_000003.12 coordinate 57,820,442, forward strand.
CAACCCATCAGTTTTGGGGTGTGGGAAATAGATTAATCACTGCCAAATTAGAATTTGCTGTAGGCTTTCAGCCCCCGCCCCCACTACCACCCCATCTCTCAGAACTGTATCTGTAAACGCGAGGGCAAATGGTCCAAGGTTCCATACATGCAGGCTTTCTTTGCCTTGCAGGGTAATCTGGACCTCTGCCAACATTGTAGAATTGATTCTGCCCTCCTAGCGACCATCTCAGAGAGGCTGCAAAGGGCAATTCCAGGGAGATAGGTAAGCAAACCTTAGAGATACCTCCAGCGGGGGACTCAGCTCTCTCTGGTCCTGCTCCTCCTGGTCCACTTCGTCCTCCATATCCAGGTTTTCTTTCAAGCTTACCTCATCTTAGAAATTCTCATTTTAGGCAGGTCCCAGTCTCACTCCTGCCCCTACTGCCTGGTGAATATTGCCCCATTAAGGTCCAGGCCCTCCTTTATCTACAGGACTTAAGGCAAATTAAGGGGGATCTTACAAGTTTTTAGATGACCCTGACAGGTATATAGAGGCTTTCCAGAATTCAACATAGGTGTCTGAGATTCAGAAATCTAATTTACTTTGTCCTGAATTCTCAGTGAAGGATTGTCTTAATTTGAAAGCATATTTAAGAAATATGTAATAATTCTAGTTGGGTTTTATATGCTTTATACTGTTTTGATTACACTTTTAAAAATTTATCTTTACCACTTTCCCTATTTCTGTCTTTCATAATCTTATCTCAGCTCCCATGTAGAGACTTATCTCAGTTCCCATGTAGAAATACTTTTTCTTTCTCCACTTTTCCTTGTGAGCTGGCCCCAAAAGAAAGATTTATTGTACAGTGAACACATCTAGAATGTCACTAGGTGGAAAAAATCTTGGCAAATTAACATCATTTGTAAGACGTTCGGGTAATATATTGGCAAGTTTCATTCTAGTTTACATGTGAGATTTCATTTTGGTGAAAACATTTCACCACTTCTATATATTTTCCTATAGAATATGAATAAAGATTTTTATTTCTCCCTTCAGTGGCACAATTAAAAATTCCAGCCTCAGAAATGTGTGATGCTTTGTTAGCCAGGAAGCCAGAAAGGTTATATAAATAAATTAATTAATGTTGAACATGCATATAATTACTAAGTTTGTATACTCTAAGAAGCGACTAAATTGTTGGTGGCAAAAGTGAACAAATCATGGGTCTCCTTATTTCTGGTGACTCCCACTGCAGTTCATCCTACACACAGCTGCTAGATCATCAAAGCTGTTGGATTAATCTCCCTAAAACAATATTTCATCAACTCTGTCAGTAGTGCCTTCTGTCTTAAGAAATTGCAACTTCTTAGTCCAGTGCCAAAGGCCCTCTCTTTACAGCTGTATCTTGCATTTTTCCACTTGTTCCTTTGTTTGGTTTTTGTTACCCTCTGGGGGCCTTAGCTATATATAAATTTGCTGCAATACCTGTTCCTCCTCCTCCTCCTCCTCCTCCTCCTCTTTCTCCTTGCCTTTTCATTCTGATTACCACCCTCACTCATAAATGCTTCCTTAGCAACTGATTATGCCTAACTGTATTTCCCACCAGGCTCTCAGGATTTTGGTACTTAATTCATCCTGTCTTAATTTATTCTCAGTTTAGGGTTGCTCTCCATATGATTTTATGGATGTGCAGTCTCTCCAAGATAGGTGCCAAGTAGATGTTACAGACTAAGTGATTTGCCTTAATGATGGAGGTAGAGTTGAAATTGGCTCTATGTATTCTGATTGCTTCAGGAAGTCTTTATACATGAAATGGGATTTCATAAGTTTGGAGTCAAAGATCAGAGAGTGTTTAAGTAGGGAAGAAAGGCAGTGTGGAAATTTTGCAGGAATAACAGTGTTAAATCTGCAATAGCTGTGAGGTCGTGGCACTCTGCTTAATATGCCTGAGGCTCAGTTTCTTAATCTGATGCCACGGAAAAAGGTAGAGTAGGAATCTCTGAATTGATTCCTCCACCAGAAGAACTACTGAGCTCGCATGAACTGTCTGAAGCAACTATTTTGGAACTCTGGAGTCTAGTAGAACATTTGCAGCATCCAAGGGAGTACTTGATAAGGAAAGAGGCTGGTAAGTTTCAAAGAATTTCATTGTTTTGGTGTTTGGCATAGTAGCTACCATCTCCCATCCCTCAATCCTGTAGCAGCCAGGTGATGGTTGCCTGTGTTCCTGGTATGACTTGCTGGTCCCCAGGTGGGCGTTTGGGACCTTTAAAAATTGGGATTGTGTATTATGATTGCTATTTTTAATTGCTGAGGTGCCAGCTGTTTCAACCCCCACAAGCTGAAATGACTTACTTGGCATTAGCCATTTAAGATTTAAAGAGACAGCACATTCCCTCAAACTCCTTTTCTTATTGGATCCAGGCACTTAAGGAAATCTGTGTTAGGTCACTGGATGACTGCAGAGATAACAGAGACTTCAGTGACCACATATGGCAGGGAGTATAATCCTTGCAAAGAATAGGTTGGAAAATTCACTTAAACAAATGGCTGGCTGCCACCCTCATCAAGTAACAACAGCAGTCCTGGGGAGAGAAGGGAGCCTGATTTCCAGAGTTACCACATTACAGTATTCAAAATATCCAGAAAAAATTAAAAAGCATACAAGAAAGAGGAAAGTATGGCCCATTGCTGGGGGGAAAAATGGACAGAAACCATCCTTGGGGAAATGCGGACATTGGACTTATCAGACAAAAACTTTATCTTTTTTTTTCTGATTTGGGTAATTTATTTTTTTATTTTTCTTTTATTATACTTTTAAGTTTTAGGGTACATGTGCACAACGTGCAGGTTTGTTACATGTATATACATGTGCCATGTTGGTGTGCTGCACCCATTAACTCGTCATTTAACATTAGGTATATCTCCTAATGCTATCCCTCCCTCCTCCCACCACCCTACAACAGTCCCCGGTGTGTGATGTTCCCTTCCTGTGTCCATGTGTTCTCATTGTTCAATTCCCACCTATGAGTGAGAACATGTGGTGTTTGGTTTTTTGTCCTTGTGATAGTTTGCTGAGAATGATGGTTTCCAGCTTCATCCATGTCCCTACAAAGGACATGAACTCATCATTTTTTATCGCTGCATAGTATTCCATGGTGTATATGTGCCACATTTTCTTAATCCAGTCTATCATTGTTGGACATTTGGGTTGGTTCCAAGTCTTTGCTATTGTGAATAGTGCCGCAGTAAACATACGTGTGCATGTGTCTTTATAGCAGCATGATTTATAATCCTTTGGGTATATACCCAGTAATGGGATGGCTGGGTCAAGTGGTATTTCTAGTTCTAGATCCCTGAGGAATCGCCACACTGACTTCCACAATGGTTGAACTAGTTTACAGTCCCAGCAACAGTGTAAAAGTGTTCCTATTTCTCCACATCCTCTCCAGCACCTGTTGTTTCCTGACATTTTAATGATCGCCATTCTAACTGGTGTGAGATGGTATCTCATTGTGGTTTTGATTTGCATTTCTCTGATGGCCAGTGATGATGAGCATTTTTTCATGTGTCTTTTGGCTGCATTAAAAAAAACTTTATCTTAAATATACCCACAGAGGTGAAGGAAATCATGGTCAAAGAACTAAAGGAAATCAGGAAAACAATGTATCAATGGGAAACATAGTACAGAGATGAAAATTATAAAAAATATAATTCAGTAGAGAGTTCAATGGCAGATTTGAACAGGCAGAAGAAAGAATAAGTAAACTTGAAGACAAAGCAATTGCAATTACCCTGTCTGAGGAGCAGAGAGAAAAATTTGAAGAGAAATGAACATACCCTAAGGGACTTATGAGAAGACATCAAGCTTACCAACATATGCATTGTGGTAATCCTAGAAGGAGAGAGAGAAAGGGACAGAAAAAATAGTCAGAGAAATAATGGCCGAAAAGTATTTTATGGTTTTAGCTTTTATATTTAACTCTTTAATTTATTTTGAGTTCATTTTTGTGTATGGTATGAGGCAGGGGTCCAACTTTACTTTTCTGCATGTGTCTCTCCAGTTTTCCCAGCATCATTTATTGAAGAGATGATTCTTTCCTCATTGAATGGACTTTGAAAATCACTAGGCTGTAGATGTTTGGATTTATTTCTGGACTCTAGGTTCTATTCCATTGATCTTTATATCTGTCCGTATGCCGGTAACACAATGTTTTGATTACTGTACCTCTGTAGTAAGTTTTGAATTCAGGAAATATGCATCTTCCAACTTTGTTCTTCTTTCTCAGGATTATATTGCCTACTCAAGGTCCCTTGCAATTTCCATATGAATTTGAGGATGGACTTTTCCATTTCTGCAGAAAAGGTGGTCATTGGAATTTTGATAGGGATTGTGCCGGATCTGTGGATTTTTTTGGAAAATATTGATACCTTCACAGTATTAAGACTTCCAGTCCATGAACATGGGGACATCTTTATATTTATTTAGACCATCTTTAATATCTTTCAGCAATATTTTACAGTTTTTAAATGTAAAAATCTTTTACCTCCTCAGTTAAATTTATTCATAGGTATTTTATTCTTCTAGATGGAAATGGAATTGTCTTCTTAATTTCCTTTTTGAATTATTCATTGCTGGTATGTAGAAACACTGTTTTTTGTGTGTTAACCTTGTAAGCTGCAAATTTGCTGGATTTGTTTAACTCATAGTTTTCATGTGAATTCTATGGGGTTTTCTATATATAGGATCATGTCATCTGTGAATAAACATAGTTTACTTCGTCCTTTCCAATTTCAATGCCTTTTTTTTTTTTTATTCTTTCTAGACAAGAAACTTCTAGTACAGTGTTGAACAGCAGTGGTGAAAGCCGGCATCCTTGTCTTGTTCTTGATCTCAATGGGGAATGCTTTCAGTCTTTTACTATTGAGTATTATGTTAGCTGTTGGTTTTTTATAAATGCCCTTTATCATGTTGAGGAAGTTCCCTTCTAACGTTAGCTTTCTGAGTGCTTTTATTGTGAAAAGATTTTATATTTCATCAAATGCCTTTTCTGCATTGAGATGATTGTGTGTTTTCTTTTTTTTTTTTTTTTCATTTTCTACAAATGTGGGGCATTTAAACATTTTTATATTATAAAATACCTTTTTAAAGTTGAACCACCTAGGGTAAATCCCACTTAACAAAGCAATGCCAGCCACTTTTACAGCTTGGATGAGTTCTGAGTTAGGCAAAACAAAGATGAAAGCCTTGCACCAGTTCTTCCTATAGCCCCAGACAGGTGAAAATTAGACAAAATAATTTGTGATTAAGGTCTGCTCTGCTCCCTCTGGAACTAGGTACCAGGGTGTCCCACGCTGGGAATGCAGGCTGATGTCTCCAAGACTTATTTTGTGCTGGAGAGGGGGATGGGACTAGGGTAAGTAATGCCACAAAGCTTTCCTATATTTTAATTGCCTTTTTCTTGATTCAGCGTTTACTTGGGTGCTGTAAACCTTTGACTGTTTTCGAGACTTTTAACAAAGTTGGTTCTGATAGTTTCTGCTTGTTTTTCAGTGTTTCTATGGGGAGCTTGGAGCTGCCTACTCTGGCATTTTGCTGATGTCACTTTCTTCATTCTTTATGGTTTTAAAAAATTTTACCCTTTTTAAAACCTTTTATTTACTCTAAGGCATTATTTGTTATATTTAATCACTCTTGTGAGCCTTCTAATTTGTATTCATTTCTAAAATGAATTTTTCCTTTTACTTCTATTCTTTTGAGTTATTTCACCTTTTCTTGAGTTGTATAATTGTGATTTATTTTGCTCTTTCATGTCTTGAATTATTTTTCTAATGTCTTTTAGCTTGTTTTGAAATAGAAGTTTACAGTTTTGATCTCTTCCCAAGGTCTGTTTTTCATTATCTGTAAAGATACTATTCTGCTCCTTATTCTCTTTTTTCTTAAAATAACTGTATGGATGTGACCTTGATACATTTCTGTTGCTAATTTTTATATGAAATTGGTTTTCCTGAACTTTAAAAAGGGGTCATGGTTCAGGATAACTTTTCTAATTCACAGAGCTCCCTCTTCTGTTGTTTTTGTAAAATGTTTAAAAATATGGTGGCTTCCTTTCCCCTTCTCAACTTTTATCTGAACCTTTTCTTTCCTTGTCTCTATTGTCCCTGTTCTGCTTAATTTTGGTTCCACTCCCAGCAGTTTTCCCTCAGTTTGGAGCCCATTCCTGGAAGGTAGCTTTGGTTGGTAGGTTGGTTTTAAGAATTTATATGGCTCAGACTGTTCCAGCCTTTTTAGGAACTTACCCTGCACTCACTTGTTATTGGATTGAGCCACACCATTCCCATTTCCAGCTTTTCTTCAGTTGGCCTCCATACTGTCCAGTGAACACCTAATAGCTATTTTGGTGTTGTCCTCAAGTCCCCCAAATGCCCCCTTTGTTTCCTTACGTATCCTTCTGCACAGATGCTGATTCCATGCAGGTCTTGTGGCTTTTGGTGGTCTTCCCCACTCTTATTTTGGGGTTTGTGTGGGTACTGTGTCACCTACTTTTGTTACAAATGTTTCCCATGGGATTTTGGTTTTGCTATCTTAGTCACTCTGATTTTAGGTGGTGATTCAAGGAGATTAAAAATTTTTGTTGCAGTATCTGCTATCTACCTCGAATCTATTCTGCATTCATATCTTAAGAACTCCCCTATATGGACTTAGAGTTTGTGGCCCCTGGCCTGTGGTGTGTCTACTATATTTGTGCTTTGTTCTGAAGCTTTACTTCAAATGTTATTCATCTGTTGGTGTTTGGATATTGCAAAACCTATCAATGTAGAAAGAGTTAAAAAGAATCAGTGTATCATTATAATGGAAATGAAAATATTTACAGATTGTAGCAAAGTTGAAAGTGATGCAAAATGTATGTATTTATGGAATGAATTCATCTATAGCAGGAACTTTCTGAAGGTCAAAGAGCAAATTGTGCAACCTGTGAAGTGCTGTTCCTGTGTCATTGAAGTTAATCAGCAAGAGACAAGGAAAAGTGACTGATGAGACAGGGGTAAACCTTTCAATTCAAGGATCACCATCAATGCCTGATTGTTGGGAACTTAAAGTTTATTCAGGGAAAGCAAGGAGTTGATCAAAGAATTAAAACCTTAAAACAATGAAAGTGCTGCTGTTGAACTTTCACCTTAAGCCACACAGGGTTTTTAAATTCAGAGCTCCTTACTCACCTGCTCAACATCAAAGTGAATGTCTGGTGGCTAATGCAAATACTACAGCTGCTAGGACATTCCTTAGGCTACTGGGAAAGAAAGATAGTTAAGACTTCAACAGATTCTTTATTTCTTTTTTAATGTGGTCAAAACTCCTTTTAAGAGGAGGGAATAAAAGCCTGATAGAAGAAGGTTATCAGCATAGAGGAGAAGGATATTTCTGGTTTGAATTTGACAAAGGATCAAGTAATATATCTACTTGCTGGAAATGTACCCAGGGACTATAAGCATACTCCCTTTCTAGGCCCTTGCAAACAGTTTAACATTTATTTATTTATGAGACAGAGTCTCACTCTATTGCCCAGGCTGAAGTGTGCAGTGGCACGATCTTAGCTCACAGCAACCTCTGCCCCCCAGATTCAAGCAATTCTCCTGTCTCAGCCCCTCACTGCCGCCGAGTAGCTGGGATAACAGGCGTGCACCACCATGCCCAGCTAATTTTTTGTGTTTTTAGTAGAGATGGGGTTTCACCATGTTGGCCAGGGTGGTCTCAAACTCCTGACCTCAGGTGATCCACCCGCTTTGGCCTCCCAGAGTGCTGGGATTACAAACGTAGGCCATCATGCCCAGCCTAGTTTAACATTTTTATACCTTAGAAACCTAACCTGATAGTAAACAGAATAACTTCTATACATAATGTAGACTGATTAATGGTAAATTGTTTTACAGGAGGTACAGAATCTTTTTTTTAATATGTCAATCTTTCAAAACAGCCAAGGGCAAAAGGTTAAATTATATAAATGAAAATATTTCTGTAGAGAACTAAACTAATGTGCTGTAGCTGTATACAAGTACAGAGGGTTAGGGGGATGAATAGAAGTTAGTGTAACTGAAAAGGATGCAGAAGGAAAAGAGTGGGAGTGATTGAGTTGTGAGGGAACCAGGACCAGATCCTGTAGGGCTACAATGGTAAGGACTTCGGATTTTATTCTAAGGTGTTTGAAAGCCATTAGCAGGTTGAAAGCAGAAGAAGAACGAGCAACTAATATAAATTATATGTTCAAGCTAAACGGAGGCCAAAGGTACCATGGTATGCTTTGGACGGTAATATAGACATGTCAGAATGAAAAGAACCTGGGTTGATATTGATGTAAGAAAAAAAATTTTTTTTGAGACAGGAGTTCATGCTGTTGCTCAGGCTGGAGTATAGTGGCATGATTATGGCTCACTGCAGCCGCAACCTCCCAGGGCTCAAGCCATCCTCCCAGCTCAACCTCCCGAGTAGTTGGGACTACAGGCCTGCACCACCATGCCCAGCTGATTTTTTGTATTTTTTTGTAGGGATGGGGTCTCACTTTGTTGCCCAGGCTGGTCTTGAACTCCTGGGCTCAAGTGATTCTCCCACCTTGGCCTCCCGAAGTGCTGAGATTACAGACATGAGCCACTGTGTCTGGGCCCTGATGTAAAACCTTTTAAATTTGAAAATATGTTGTGGTTTTAGAGTTATATAGAAGCTACAAACATGAGGTGTTGATATACATACATATATATGTTGTATATATATGTACATATATTTCTTTTTGTTTTTCAACAGTGTTGTTAAACAGTAATAAACCTTTTTTCATGTATTCTTTATTTTTATTCTGTTCCATTTTATGTTTTTTTAAAAAATGCTAGTTGCAACTCACTAAATTGGCTTAGTAACCCACTAATGTATCAGAACTTGAAGTTTGAAAACCACTGTAAATATCATATAATCCCCTTATTTAACTTGCCCAGGCACATATTACTAAAAATAACCTGACCAGAATCCAGACATTACCACATTTCCCAAGAATATATTTATTAAAAAAAAAACTCTCTTATACAATGTAACATTAAGTTCCAGTGTAGAAAAAATTTTGAGGGTAAATATTCCTACTTGAAAGTATTGTCTGTCCTTATCTCCCTGGGTGAAATGTTAAGTCCTGTAAGTTTCAAATGTATTTAAAATATCAACACAATTTTCTAATTAATCGTCTGTAATTAGATATACAAACTGCTAATCAAAGTAACAGTTGGTCTATTTTGAATTATAAACAGAGAATAAGTCATTTATAGACAGCCTAGTGGCCTTTATATTGTCAGCTACCAATTAATGAAATGAAATGTAATTTGAACATTTTCTGCAGATTGCTTCTTAGTCTTTAGTTGTATTTAATTTTGGAAGAGAGCTGTGGGAGGGGTGAAGGATAAATGAAACATAAAGTCTGTGTCCCCTGTGAAGTAATGAGGAAAAATGGCCCTTTTAATTTTCTTATTTGAACTCTTGCTTCTGTGTTCCCCAGTTCTGTGACTTTTGAAAGATACTTAATATACCTGCATCTCACTTTTTTCCTTTATAAATGAAAGTAGTAATATCTTTTTTTGTTTGTTTGTTTGTTTTTGAGATGGAGTCTCGCTCTGTTGTCCAGGCTGGAGTGCAGGGGCACGATCTTGGCTCACTGCAACCTCTGCCTCCCGGGTTCAGGTGATTCTCCTGCCTCAGCCTCCCAAGTAGCTGGGATTACAGGCACGTGCCACCACACCACCATACACCACCATGTTGGCGAGGCTGGTCTCGAACCTCTGACCTCAAGTGATCTGCCCGCCTCAGCCTCCCAAAGTTCTGGGATTACAGGCGTGAGCCACCACACCTGGCCTAAAATAGTAATATCTTTATCATAGCTTTAATGTTAAATGAGGGCCTGATGGCAAAAGTATATTTTGATATATAGTGTATTAGGTGTCTTTTTACCTTTCTTCCTTAGGAAGAAATTCAGCGAAAATGTGTTACTAAAATAAGTAGGGCTGAAGAGTGTAGAAAAATCGAAAAAGAAAGGTACGTCTTTTTTTACTGGTGGTTCTCTTCCTAGTAAGTCTATTGTGTGTGATCCCAGTTGTGCTGAAATTTTTAAGGATTTGTAAGTGATAAATAGGTAGGCTTCTTGTGCCTCCTGCTATCCTTTCTGTTTTTAAAGAGGGAGGGTTACCCAAGTGATGAGAAGCAAATTTGGACAACCATCACCACTAATTTTAGAATATTTTCATCATCTCAAAAAGAAACCTTGTACCCATCCCATTCCTACCTGCCACTTCAGCCTTTTGTAAGCACTCATGTACTTTTTGTCTGTATAGCTTTGCCTATTCTGGATGTTTCATATAAAATGAATCATTATAATACATCAGTCTTTTGTGACTGACTTCTTTTACTTCACATAATGTTTTAAACGTTCATTCATGTTATAGCATGTTATCAATACTTCACCCCTTTATTGCCAAATAATATTCAGTTATATGAATGTCTACCACATTTGTTTATTCATTTATCAGTTGATGGATAGTTGGATTATTTTCCCTTTTTGGCTATTATGAATAATGCCAACATTTGTGTAGAAGTTTTTATGAGAACATGTTTTTAGTTCTCTTGGATGTATACCTAGGAGTGGAATTGCTGAGTTGTATACTAACTTTATGTTTAACATTTTGAGGACCTGACAAACTCTTTTTCCAAAGAGGTTGTACCGTTTTATGTAGCTGAATTTTAAATCACCTAGTTTTCAGATTCTAATTTCATATATATTAAAGGAGAACCTTAGCTGAAATGAGTGGTTTGAATTAATAGGGGAAAAATTCACTTGCAATAGTTGGCAAAGCTGGAAGCATTTTTTTAAAAAGTACATTTGGAATTATTACTATTAATATTTGGCCCTTTTTTGTTTTTGTTTTTTTTTGCAGTTTTATCTTCAAGACACTAAAAGTAGTAATGGTACTTTTATAAATAGCCAGAGATTGAGTCGAGGCTCTGAAGAAAGTCCACCATGTGAAATTCTTTCCGGTGACATTATCCAGTTTGGAGTAGACGTGACAGAGAATACACGGAAAGGTACGGGTATGGATCACTTTTTTTATTACTTGTCTTTTAAAGGTTATTTAATTTTTTATTATCTTACTTGACATTATGAAACATTACATGCTTGTGAAAGCGATTTAAATACAGCATTATATACAGTGAAAAGTTAAAAGTCTCATACTTTCCGTATTGCTCTTCTAAAATTTTAAATTCTGAAGTGTTATTTAGTAGTTTATATTCTTCATCACAGTCAGGGACCAGTCAGCTGCAATGACAGCATACCCCACCAAGACAAGCTTAAATCACAGGATATTTATTATTGATGATGAGACTTAATGAGAGATCTGGAGGCAGATAGGTTCATTTGTTCAGTTGACTCAATGAGATCATCAGGGATCCAGGGTCTTACTGTCTTCCTGTTCTACTGTCTTAAACATTTTAGTTTCTCATGCTTTTGGTTGTTGCTTCATGGTCATAAGATGATGGCTGCAAGCCCCAGGCATCATTTTCCTCACACCAGTATCCTAGGCAAAAAGGATGAGGCGGGGATAAAATGCCTTCTTGTGTGGCTCTCTTCTTATGTTGAAAGAACAATCTTTTGCAGAATCCTCCCAGCAGATTTCTCCTTAGGTCTCACTGGCCACATGGGTAGATCGCATACATAGTTACCTGCAGCTACAAAGAAGTCTGGTGAAGTTACTTAATCTCGTGAAAGGGAGCAAGAAGATCTATGATTGACATAGATCAGTTTTGATTTATTCCTTCAGGTTGTGTGTACATTGTTACCCCAAACAAAATTAGAGCTCTCTTAGCAAGAAAGAAGATGGAAAGGTAGTAGAGGTAGGCAGCTAATAGTAGCTATCACAAGTATAAAATAAAATTTAATGTCTCACAATTTTTGAAAGTTCTTTAGCTAAATAAATGTAGATTGATCTTTGTTTTTACAATTCAGAAGCTTCCTGCCTCTACCTAGTTCACGGTCTTCTTTATGACCATGAAATTATATAGCTAAATCATAAAACTAAATGGATAAAAACCATAAGTGTTTAGTTCCACTTCATTAGTTTAATATGGATAGTGCAACCATTTGGCAAGTTTCTCCTTTCATTTGTCTGAACATACTCTGATCTGGTGATACTGGTCAGAATTTTGCATAGTAGAGATGGTGATGGTGGTGATGATGATAATGCTGATGATGCTGGTGTGTGTGTGTTCATATGCATATTTATGCATATACTTTCACTGGTATTGCAACAGCAGTATTATTTTTAATGGGTTTTTTTGGCCTCCTCAGAAAGTTAGGTTTTGATATTTGAATTTGGGCAGGGCCAACATCTTAGGAATTTCCATTTACAATTGTAAACCAAAAAAGAAAGGTTTGTATTTTGGTAAAGAATATTGACACTTCTTACTAAGAGAATTCAACTTATATATGACCATACTGGGAACAGCTGCATTAGACACTCCTATATCTGCTGTTGCCATATCACACCTACAAGTCATTCAGCAAACAGTAAACCGAGCTCATTAAATGGAACCCCAACTGTGAGTAACCCATAGAGAAAAAGAGAATTTGATTACATTGTCTTTCTCTCCAAGGAATGTCTGTCTTCTTGGCTTGCATTTCCTAAAGGGAATTATTAGGTGTTGATTGACAAAAAGGATGAGGTAATGAAATACATTTAGAGAATACTTAGGTAAGATAAGCAGGACTTCTTGGAGCTTTTAATATGCTAACATATATGCAGATTTCCAAGGAGGTGGCCATTATAGAATGCAACTCTTTCCAAACTCCTTTCCACTGTTTTTTCCCATCTATCTGTGAGGGTCTATCTGTGAGGGATACTCTTTAGAAAATGCTATAGAAAGCTAAGAAGATGACCCTGAGATTCAAGGTTCCTCTTAGTATAATCTTATTTTAGTAACATTAGTTTTTTTTTTTTGAGACGGAGTCTCACTCTGTTGCCAGGCTGGAGTGCAGTGGCACCATCTCCAGTCACTGCAACCTGTCTCCCGGGCTCAAGTGATTCTCCTGCCTCAGCCTCTCGAGTAGCTGGGACTACAGGTGCATGCCACCATGCCCAGCTAATTTTTGTATTTCTAGTAGAGACGGGGTTTCACCATGTTGGCCAGGATGGTCTCGTTCTCTTGACCTCGTGATCTGCCCATCTCAGCCTCCCAAAGTGCTGGGATTACAGGCTAAGCCATCACGCCTGGCCAGTAACATTAGATTTTTACAGTCTTCTGTGAAATTTGATTTATCTTTTATGCTAACTTTAAGGAGATTAGATTTAAAAAAAAAAAAACTTGCAACATTTAAAATGTTGTTTCTTTTGGTACTTACTGGCTTCAAAAAGTTGACTTATGTTAAGCACGGGCTCTTGGGATACAGCTGTGTCACCAGTTGAGTACTACCTGTTTAAGGACATACCAGAAAAAAAGTATTGATTTTTATCCTATGCTAAACAGTGCTGTGATAACTTTTGTATCACTTGGAGAATGCTCCTGAAATTATGCAACACTACTAGATAACCCCTGGATCAAAGAGGAAATCAAAAGGGAAATTTCACACTGTATTGTAAAGAGAGGAGACTTTTATGCCAAAATACAGTAAGTCTTTTAGTCAGATAAAATTAATAATCTTAAATTCCATTCATGTTAAAGAAGAAAGACAATTAAGAAATCTGACACTAATCAGAAGAAATTAGAAAACGAATAAGTAAAAGAATCTGAAAAGGAGAAATAAAAGCAGAAATTAATGAAACAAAAAATTCTACAAGGGATAAACAAACCCAGATGCTGGTTCTTTTATTAATAAAAAGAAAACAAACAGTGAACAAGGTAATTAATAAACCGTAATGCATTAAGTTAAAAATACTAGCGAAAATATACAAGATGAGAAATGAGAAAGGAGAAATAAAACACAAATACAGGATATACTACAAGAATAATAAGAGAATCTTATATGGCTATCTATGGCAAAGAGAAAAGAAAAAATTAGAGTAAATTGATGTTTTCCTAGCAAAATTATCTCAAGAAGTGGAAAAATTTGATTAATTGATTGTTTTTGAAAGAGACTAAAAAGTTATTAAAGATTCACCATTGAAAAGACACCAGAAACAGAGGGATTTACAGCTGATCCCTCTGTTTTTAAAAAACAGATAAACCCTGTGTTATTTAAGTAATTCCAAACATAAAGATGGAAAGCTTTCAGAATCCTTTAAAGAACCTAGCATATCATTAATGTGAAAATCTGATAAAGATATAGATACAAAAAAGAAAACTATAATTAATTTTATTTATAACAATAGATGAAAAATTTCAATTAAGATACTAGGCCAGGGTTTGGCATAGTGGCTCATGCCTGTAATCCTAGCACTTTGGGAGTCTGAGGCAGGTGGATTGCTTGAGCCAAGTAGGTTGATACCAGCCTGGGCAACATGGTGAAACCCCATCTCTACCAAAAATGCAAGAATCAGCTGGGCGTGGTGGCGCACGCCTGTAGTCCCAGCTACTTGGGAGACTGAAGTGGGAGGATGGCTTGAGCCTGGGAGGCAGAGATTGCAGTGAGCCATGACCGCACCACTGCACTCCAGCCTGAGCAACAGAGCCAGACCCTGTCTCAAAAAAAAAAAAAAAAAAAAAAAAAAAATGCTATTAGGCCAGACACAGTGGCTCCCACCTGTAATCCCAGCACTTTGGGAGGCTGAAGTAGGAGGAGCCCTTGAGCCCAGGAGTTCAAACCAGCCTGGGCAACATAGGGAGACACTGTCTCTACCCGCTCCCCTGGCCCCCAAATTTTTTTTAATTAGCTGTGGGCCTGGCAGCTTGCACTTGTCTCAGCTACTCCAGAGGCTGAGGTGGGAGGATCACTTCACTTGAGCCCAGGAAGTTGAGGCTGCAGTGAGCCCTGTTCATGCCATTGCACTCCAGCCTTGTCTCTAAAAACAAAAGATATTAACAAATTAAATTCAGAAATAAAGCTAGAATAAACAACAAAGTAGGATTTATTCCAGAAATGCCAAGATGAGTCAGTATCAGGCAGTCTATCAACATAATCCACAGACTAAAGTAGAAAGACCATGCAACTGTATAATCAGTAGTTGTGTCGCTGAATAACCAGAGATACTGAAAAGGCATTTGATCAAATTTAGAAGTTACCCCTAATAAAAATTCTAAATAAATAGGATGAAAAGAAAACTAAGTAAAATAAAAATGTTAAGTAAAATAGAATAAAAAATAGCAAAATACTATACAGCTGTGAAAATGTATGGACTAAATTTGCATATATAAACAAGATAAATCTCAAACTTTATCTCAAGCAAACTGTCGAAGGATTTGTATAGTGTAACCATTTACAGAAAGCATGAATGCCTGCAAAACAATACTATATAGTGCTTTTGAATACACTTATAATAAAGTACATTTGTATACATGTGAATGATAAATAGGATTTATGAAAGGATGTTTTTGGCATCAGTGTGTATCATACTAAAAACAATGGAAGCATAATTTTAAAACTCCCCATTTTACAGGTATTAAAAAGAAAAAATTATATTAATTGCAGGGATTTCTATAAGATATAATGTTGAGTAAAGAAAGAATCAATTGTTTTTAATAATTTCATTATTTAAAATAGTCTCACCAATCCCTATAAATACATATATGTTAGACATATATATCTCTAGATCTTTAATGTGAGTCGTCCAGGAGTGTGGGTGGGAGGGAAGAAGGAATAGAGGAGAAGAGGGAGCCAAATTAAAAGGGAAAGGTTACTAGAACTACAATTAAAAAATCACCCAGTATGTAGGACATTTATGTATTTATATAAACTAATTTGTGTATATGTTAAAAAATTTCAGAAAAAGAATATATATAATATGTAAGATTGTATGTGTGTGTATCAGGATTTTGTTAAAAAGGTAACATGAGCCTAATACCACTGAACATATCGGTTCATATTAGTGTCATTTCTGTTCTTAGCAATCCAAAACAATCTGTTTTTTAAATTTTTTTAATTTATAGAGATGGGGCCTCACTGTGTTACCCAGGCTGGTCTCGAACTCCTGGCCTCAAGTGATCCTCCTGCCTCAGTCTCCCAAAGTGGTGGGATTAAAGGCTTGAGCCACTGGACCCCACCAACAATCTGATTTTGATGTTTGGCATTCTTTGTGTATGGCTTCAAGGAGAAAACTCAATGGTCAGGCATGTACACATAAGCTGCTCTATACTGATAAAATATTATTGTAAACAAAGAGCTGACATTCTAATAGATTTTTTAAAAGAAAGGAAGAAAGTGAGAAAGCCAAGGTTTACTAACCTAACCACTGGCCACTCCTCTTTTCCTGGACCCACAAACTGCTTAAAGAGTGAGTTTTCTGGGTCACACATTATTACAGTAACCCTCTCTTGCAAAGCTTGGGGCCAGTTAGTTCTGTGAACACATGTAACTTCAGTCAGCTTATTACTTCAGGCCTTCATCACCAATATCTTTTTCTTAGTTAAGCTCCTGTGAACAAAGGGCCTATAAAGAGCAAAGTCAATGGTGTATCTTCCTTTGGCATTGTGCTTCAACTGCACTGAATTACTTTTACTCCCCCTAATAGACATGGCCTTCAAGCCCTTGCACATGCTTTTTCCTATGCCTAGAAACCTTTCTTGATCCTCAGGGCTGGACAAGGTGCCCACTCCATGCCCCTGTTGTACCCTGTACTCATCCCTTTTATGTGTTTACTGCCCTCACTAAACTGTAAGCTGTGCAACTATAGGAAGTGTGTCTGTCTTCACTGTAGAATCTCCACACACAACCTGGAACATATTGGTTGAGTAAATTTGAGAATGTCCCATTAATCTTCATCTATCTTTTGTTTGTTTGTTTGTTTGTTTTTTGAGACAAGGTCTCACTCTGTTGGCCAGGCTGGAGTGCAGTGGCACGATTTCGGTTCACTGCAAGCTCTGCCTCCTGGGTTCTTGCCATTCTCCTGCCTCAGCCTCCCTAGTAGCTGGGACTACAGGCACCCACCACCACGTCCGGCTAATTTTTTTGTATTTTTAGTAGAGACAAGGTTTCACTGTGTTAACCAGGATGGTCTCTCTCTCCTGACCTCGTGATCTGCCTACCTCGGCCTCCCAAAGTACTGGGATTACAGGCGTGAGCCACTGTGCCTGGCCCCTAAATCTCTTTTAAACCAAGCATTTCCCAAACTCATCAGACCCTCAGATCCTTTTTTGTAACACTTGCTAGCATTTTGGGAAATGCTGCTATGTGTAGTTGATTAATATAAGTATTAGAACAAAATATTTTCATCAGGTTGCTTTAATTACTTGCCTGTTGCAAATCAAAAGGATAACATGTCTATGCATGTGTGTATCTGGTTGTCATGAGAATCACATTAAAGGCATCGTTGACTGGACTAAATTGTGAGCTTAGTCAGACGTGGGTTATTTTTGTTTTTGTTTTTTAAATTGCCTTCAACTGTGCAGCAACTCTGTACTGCCCAGTCAATATTAGCCCTTGGTTCATCTCATAGATTTGCGCATCAGCTCATTTGCTGAACTTTCAGGGTAATGTGTCTGAACAACAGAATTACTGATGTTGTATATCACAGGTTGTCACCTCTGGAACTAGTTTTATTCTATAACTTGTTCTACCTATTTTTCTTTTTTAAAAAAACAACTTTCTACCAAATTAAAGTGTAGGTATTGCTGGATCTTCATGTTGTATTATGCTCCTGTATTTATTATAGGCTATTTATAGTGAATGTCTTGAGGAGCCATCCTCTAGAAACTCATTTATCATAAGAGAGAGAAATCCATCTCTTCTGTCTTTTGCCTGGGAAAGGAGAAAGCTAGGTGGTTCCTACAAATAGAGATGAACCCTAATGTCTTAAAAGTAAGAAACATCTTTGCACAGGAGTAATGGGAGCTATAAAATACTAAGCAGGCATGTTCCTCAACATCTTCAGTAAAATGCTTTCTGTACCAGATGACTCTGCTAAGTACACAGGTTTTTAAACTGAGAAGCAGATAATCCTTGATGCCCTCAAAGAGTTGAATCTAATTGGTGAGACAACAGTTTCTGTAAATCGTAAATATTCACAATGCAATGTGCTTAATGTTTTAAGAAATAGATATAGGAGGCTCTGGGGACATCTTACCCAGATACTGAGCTTTGGTGAAGGAATTAGAAAATCTGAGCCTGGAGACTAAGTAGCACATGGTCATGCAGGCGAGAGGATAAAAACATTGCTTACAGAAGGGACAGCCTGTGTAAAAGGCATGGGGCTGTGAAAGGTAAAGTGCTTGGAGATCGCAGGTAGCTTGGCTTTGTATAGGATATCCTTCGTAGCAGGATAGAGGATGAGGTCAGACAGGAATGAAGGAGCCCAGTGGTTCATGGCCATGGTTATTGTGCTGGGCAGAGTTTAGAAGACTGCCAATAGATGGTTCTGTTTTTTATTGTTGTTTGTTTGTTTGTGTTTTTGAGACAGGGTCTTGCCCAGCTGGAGTGCAGTGGTGTGATCATGGGTCACTGTAGCCTCGAACTCCCAGGCTCAAGCGATCCCCCAGCCTTAGCCTCCTGAGTAGCTGGGTACAGGTGTGCACCACCCCCACCCTGCTAATTTTAAAATTTTTTGTAGAGAGTGGGTCTCACTATGTTGCCCAAGCTGAACTCAAGTGATCCCCCCACCTCAGCCTCCCACAGCACTGGGATTAGGGGTGTGAGCCACTGTGCCCTGCCAATAGATGGTTCTTGATCTGTGTTAGCACTTTTTATATAATCAATTAGTAATGAAAATCAATATTGAATACATGGTGTTAAATTCCTTAATTTTAATGTGCATTTCCAGATGACAGTCATATTACTTCATGTTTATAATATCATCTTGATGATTCGTCGGCCTGATCATTTAATATCCCCAAATGCATTAGCTCTATTTTTTTTTTTTTTTTTTTTTTTTGAGATGGAGTCTCGCTCTGTCACCCAGGCTGGAGTGCAGTGGCATGGTCTCGGCTCACTGCAACTTTCGCCTCCCAGGTTCAAGCAGTTCTGCTGGCCTCAGCCTCCCGAGTAGCTGGGATTGCAGGCACCTGCCACCATACCGGCTATTTTTGTTTTTTTCTGGGATGGAGTCTCACTCTGTCGCCCAGGCTGGAGTGCAGTGGCGTGATCTTGGCTCACTGCAACCTCTGCCTCCCAGGCTCAAGCGATTCTCCCACCTCAGCCTCCTGAGTAGCTGGGATTACAGGCACCCACCATCATGTTGAGCAGGCTGGTCTTGAACTCCTGACCTCAGGTGATCTGCCTCGGCCTCCCAAGGTGCTAGGATTACAGGCATAAGCCACCATGCCTGGCCTAATTTTTGTATTTTTAGTAGAGGGGTTTTGCCATGTTGGCCAGGCTGGTCTCGAACTCCTGACCTCAGGTGATCTGCCCACCTCAGCCTACCAGAATGCTGGGATTACAGGCGTAAGCCACTGTGCCCAGCCTAAGTTTTATATTTTTAGTAGAGGGGTTTTGCCATGTTGGCCAGTCTGGTCTCAAACTCCTGACCTCAGGTGATCCACCTGCCTCGGCCTCCCAAAGTACTGGGATTACAGGCGTGAGCCACTGAGCCCGGCCTAATTTTTGTGTTTTTAGTAGAGAGGTTTCACCATGTTGGCCAGGCTGGTCTCAAACTCCTGACCTCAGGTGATCCATCCACTTTGGCCTCCCAAAGTACCGGGATTACAGGCGTGAGCCACCATGCCCGGCCAACATTAGCTCTATTCTTAAAATTCAGTTTTGTTGAGATATAATTTACGTATAACACAATTTTACATGTACAATTCAGTGAGTTTTGACAAATATATATGGTCTCATAACCACCACTCCCCTAATCATGATGTAGTGTATTCTCATCAGCCTGCATTAGTTTTTAATCAGAGCTTAGTGAAATAAATAATTCTTTGAACTCTGGAAAATGTAATACAGTATTTGAAGAATAAAGAGAAATAAAAAACCGTCAACCTTCAAGCCAGAAAACAATTTTTTAAAATTAAACCCACATATAGAGAAACTCTGTACAAGTGCTACTTTCAGGAGTTTTGTCTCTTAAAATCTTCAATAGGAAAAGGAGGAAGTAAGATGCAACAGTGAGAAGCTGTCTACAAAGGGACTGTACTGATGTCATTTTGGGGGTGGAGGAAGAAACAACTATCAAGAAAACAAAACAAAATTTTAAATATTGAAATGGAAACATGAGACACTAGCAAACAATTCTGATACTTAATAGCAGAGAATTGTGGAAGCAGTTTCACTTGTCTGAGGTCTTGGTTTTCTCACCCATAAAATGGGGGATTGAGTGGCATTTCTCAACTGTATTATGCAGAACTTTAGAGTTTTGTGAGGTGTGGTTAGGTGTGTAATAGGTTGGGGAAGGGAAGATTTGGAATAAGAACTATATTTTAAATTTGGGAATAGTCAGACCTTATGTTTGATACTGGCAGATGGGGAAAAGTGTATTTCCCCCTCACAATTTTATTTCCATATATTCAACTGACTTTTTATTGACTATTATTACAGAATTGGAGATTAAGACACTTTTCAAAATGATTCTATCCTTATTTCTACCTTGAAATTGTGATTCGTTATGGACAAGATGAGTTTCTCCAGGGTAATAATGTCATTAAACCACTAGCTTTATTTTCTTTCTGAGAAATTGTTACTTTTAAGAATAAACTATGTTTACATATGAGAGGTGTGAAGTTTTATATTTTTAAACAATTATTTCATCCATATTATTTGTTTGTTTCAACCAGTTACCCATGGGTGTATTGTTTCCACAATAAAACTTTTTCTACCAGATGGTATGGAAGCCCGGCTCCGCTCAGAGTGAGTATAATTTAGTACTGTGAAGTTTTTGTGAAGTTTAGTACTGTAAAGAATTTAGTAATAATATTCTAGGTGATGGTGTACTGCTAATACCTGCTTCAGGACTATTTAAATAATATTAGAAAATTGATTAGTACTTTTTGGAATATAATACACTTCAGTTTAAATTGCTTCTTTGCTTTAGTTACAATTCTAGTAAATAATAATGTATCAAAGGCAAAGATTATTTTGTTTCCAAATTTAATTTATATTTTGATGGATAATTAGTTGTTTTTCACAATGTTTCAAGTATATAAGTTACTGGTAAGTGATAGCTTCATTCCTTTTTATTTTCATTTAATATAGGACTTCTTAAACTGTGATCACTTCTGGTATTAATGCCAGTGTCACAATCTTATAAGACCTTGAGGATACCAATATAGTTGTTAGCTTATTTTGGTGGGAGGTTTTTGAAGATTTTTCCAATGTCCTATTTACTTTTTGTATGAAGGAGTGTAAAGGTCATTTAGAGGCCGACATTTGAAAGGGAAAATTACCCATAAAATCTAGATTTTTAAAAGCATATGTAAGTACATTTTGATCTTGGGGTTTTCAGAGATTATTATTATGAAGTGTTGAAGGGAGTTGAGCAATCTTTAAACTTAACATTTTTTATTTGTGGGAAAAGCCTTGAATATGCTAGAAGCTTGTTTTTATACCCAACATAATATTTTCCTGTCTTTCAAAAACAGAGACAGTGACCTGAGGGTAGGAGGTTAAGAGAAGCAATAAATTGAAGGAAAAGTAGAGCATTGAATAGGAAAGTGAGAAGGAAAGATTAAGCAGAGCGAGGCCCTCCCATTACTGTCCGTGCTTTCAGTAGAATCATTTATTTTATGCTTGTTAGAAGCCACATACTTTTCCTTGTTTGTTTACTTTTCAAGATATCTGAAGCAAAATAGCATAGGTTTTAAAACATTTTAATTCTTTTTTTCCTTTTTTTTTGTCCTTGGCATATGAAGTAATATCGTAAATTTAAAACATTAATGTGTTTTCTATTTGCGATTACAGCTTAATTATTAAAATTAAAATAAACTTTAGGAAGTTTAATATAACTTAGCTTTTAAGAGTTAAGAATTAAGGTTTTAGAAATGAGTAACTATTAATCAACTAATGATATATTGCTTCTTAAAGACCTTGATGTTTGTATTTGATAATGAGATTTTTCTTTCATGCAGTTTGAAAACTTTGAACAGTTACGTAAGGAATCATCTGTGTTCTCAGGTTCCATCTAGTAGAACTTGTAAATTTTTTCAAAGTCAGTTGGAATGTATTGTGTCTCTATCCTTTGTGTTTCTCTAATTCTTTTCATCTTTGCCCATTTTCTTCTCATTGTTTGTCTTTTCTTATATGGTTAAATATTAGTATCACTTAAATTTTTGCTGCCAATATAGTTATACATAATCTAACTTTCTGGAGAAGATGAATTTTGAACAAGCAATTCTCCAGAGCTGGAGGAAGATCAGAATGGCCTTTAGAGTTGGGTAGTCCAGTTTAAAGTCTGACTCCACTTGTTCTGTGACTTGATCAGGCAACATTTTTCTCATTTGAAATATGAAGATGATGATAGTACCTATTTAACAGGAATTTTATGAGAATTAAACAAGATTTAGTACTTAAAGAACTTGGCATAGTACTTGGCATATAATAAGCACACAATAAACTTTAGCTGTTTCTATTACTGTAAACTAATTTTTAAAAGCATTAAGATGCTTTTGGGTATGCCAGAAAGCCTAGAGTTTAAGTTCCATTGTGTACATAGCATTTATTGCTTTTAAGAACTTCAGAAGATAGTAAGTACTCAACAAGCTGACTTTTTTCCTTCCTTAATTTTTATTACACTGCACAAATAATTTTCCTTTTGTTTTGTTTTCTTTTTTCTTTCTTTCTTTTCCTTTTTTTTTTTTTTTTTTTTTTTTCTTTGACAGCCTGGTTCTGTTGCCTAGGCTGGAGTGTAGTAATCTCGGCTTGCTGCAACTCCACCTCCCGGGTTCAAGCAATTCTTGTGCCTCAGCCTCCTGAGCAGCTGGGACTACAGGTGCACACCACCACGCCCAGCTAATTTTTTGTACTTTTAGTAGAGATGGGTTTTACCATGTTGCCCAGGCTGCTCTTGAACTCCCGAGCACAGGCAGTCCACCCACCTTGGTCTCCCAAAGTGCTGGGATTATAGGCCTGAGCCACCACGCCTGGCCAATAATTTTTAAATGATAAGAAACAGAGAGGCCTGGTCAATAATTTTCTAATGATAAGAAACAAAGAGGCCCAGCCAATAATTGCCTTCCTTCCTTCCTTTTCTTTCTTTCTTTCTTTTTCTTTCTTTCTTTCTTTCTCTCCCTTTCTCTCTCTTTCTTTCTTTTCTTTCTTTTTTTTTTTTTTTTTTTTTTGAGACAGAATCTCACTTTTGTCAACCAGGCTGGAGTGCGGTGGGATGATTTCGGTTCACTGCAGCCTCCACCTCCCAGGTTTAAGTGATTCTCCTACCTCAACCTCCCAAGTAGCTGGGATTACAGGTGCATACCACCATGCCCAGCTAATTTTTGTGTTTTCAGTAGAGATGGGGTTTCACTATATTGGCCGGGCTACCTCAAACTCCTGACCTCAGGTGATCTGCTCCCCTCAGCCTCCCAAAGTGCTGGGATTACAGGCATGAGCCACTGCACCTGGGCCAACCATTTTCTAATGATTAGAAACAGAGAGGCCTGGCGCAGGTGGCTCGTGCCTGTAATCCCAGCACTTTGGCACTCTGAGGCGGACAGATTGCCTGAGCTCAGGAGTTTGAGACTAGCCTGGGCAACAGGGCAAAACCCCGTCTCTACTAAAAATACAAAAAATTAGCCGGGCGTGGTGGTGAGCGCCTGTAGTCCCAGCTACTCAGGAGACTGAGACACGAGAACAGCTTGAACCCCGGAGGCGGAAGTTGCAGTGAGCCAAAATCAGACCACTTCACTTCAGGCTGGGTGACAGAGTGAGACTCTGTCTCCACAAAAAAAAATTTTAAAAATTAAAAAAAAAAATTGCATATAATCCCACCACTCTAACACTAAGTAACTATTTTCATTTTCCACATTTCCTTCTTATGGTTTGTATATGCATATGAACTTAATTCATACTTCAGAATATACTTATATCCAGGGTAGTTTTTGTAAAATACAGATGTATATCACTTATGGAATGTGTTGCCGGATTTTTAGCCATTTGTTTATTAATGGGATTGTTATGAGAAGATTTTATACTTGGGTCACTAAGAAAGGTGAATTAAAAAAAAAATCCCTATTATACCATTTGTTTCTATTTAGACTTTTTTTTTTTTTTTTTTTTGGAGATGGAGTCTTGCTCAGTTGCCCAGGCTGTAGTGCGGTGGTGTGATCTCGGCTCACTGCAACCTCCGCCTCCCAGGTTCAAGTGATTCTCCTGCCTCAGCCTCCCAGGTAGCTGGGATTACAGGTGCCCTCCACTACACCCGGCTGGTTTTTGTATTTTTAGTAGAAACAGGTTTCACCATGTTGGCCAGGCTGTTCCCAAACTCCTAACCTCAAATCATCTGGCATTTAGACATTCTTAAGTTCATTTCACTATATGTGCATATCTGCAGAGAAAAGGATATATACCCACAATGGTTATCTCTGAGTGCTGGTATTGAGTAATTTTTATGTATTTCCTCATGATTTACTTCACACATTTTCCATAATCAATATTTGTTATATTCAAGAAAAATAAATTATTGTTTAAAATGCCTATTTCAATGTTCTGGAGTAAAGTTATACATAATTTTAAAAAAATCTTTACTAGGCACCAACTTTGTTAGGGCCTGCTGATGGGCTTTGGGCATATACAGGTGAATAGGTCATAGTTCCTGAGAACACAGATGTATAATCAAAGAAGGACAGTAAAGTTTATGTAGGCTCAATGAAGTCTGTATCATGGGTGCTCAGAAGGGAGGTGGGTGCTGGTAGTTAATATTCCATTTTATTCAGCATTTTAGTGTATTTGTGACTAGTTGAATTAGACCAGTTCTTACAGTGTTTGCAGTTATTAAGGTGGGATCAAAATTATTCCTATTTTTAACTCACATCTAATCAGTTTTTCAGCAGCTTACATATGATTTATCAGTTCAAGCTAAGAACTTTACTCAGTCAACCTTCAAGCTAACCATTATAAGAATGGCCTCTAGGATGTGGAGTGATTAGCAGCTGGTAGAGGTCATGCGTGGTAGCCTTGTTTTGAGTCCCCTGTACTCACCCCCAACATAAACAGTATCTTACAGGGATTTGTAAAATAGGGACTCCAGCTTCCTTAGCTGCTGTATTCTCATGAGAGTAATAGTAGTGATCAAGTCCATTTCCAAAGCACTGTTTTAAGCTTTTATTCATATGAATACATTTAATATCCCCAATAACTCCATGGAATTGGTTGTATGATTATCTCCCCCCCACCTTTTTTTTTTTGGAGATGGAGTCTTGCTCTATTGCCCAGACTGGAGTGCAGTGGCATCATCTCGGCTCACTGCAACCTCTGCCTCCCAGGTTCAAGTGATTCTCCCACCTCAGCCTCCCAAGTAGCTGGGACTACAGGCACATGCCACCGCACCTGGCTGATTTTTGTATTATTAGTAGAGATGACGTTTCACTGTGTTGGCCAGGCTGGTCTCGAACTCCTGACCTCGTGATCCGCCCACCTTGGCCTCCCAAAGTCCTGGGATTACAGGTGTGAGCCACTGTGCCTGACTCGATTATCTCATTTTATGCATGAGGAAGCTGAGACCTATATTGATTAGGCAATTTGCCTTTCAGCTGGTGGGTAGAGCTAGATTTTGGACCCAGTATAATTTCTGAGATGCTATACTACCTTTTTGTCAGCAGTAGTTATCAGGCCAACAAGGCAACTGGTACCAATTAATGCCATCTATTTAATGTTTTGTTCTGAGTTCAGTTTCATACATACATCTAAGTTTTCAGTTAGTTTCTGAGGTGGCTGGGTAGAGAAGAGGAATAGTAGTGTTTTGATTAAAGTTGTTCTTCACTGGAACAAGTTTCCAAATTATAACCTTGCTTTCCAGAACTTTGCTTTTTAAGACTTTCTGTATAGGAATGTTTAATTTTAAAAGAACATAATTTACATATTTCAAAATTGAAAATGGATAATTTTTTTTTTTTTTTTTTTTGAGACAGAGTCTCACTTTGTCACCCAGGCTGGAGTGCAGTGGCGCAATCTTGGCTCACTGCAACCTCCACCTCCTGAGTTCAAGCGATTCTTATGCTTCAGCCTCCTGAGGAGCTGGGACTAATGGTGTGCGCCACCACGCCCAGCTAATTTTTTTATATTTTTAGTAGAGACAGGGTTTCATCATGTTGACCAGGCTGGTCTTGAACTCCAGACCTCAGGTGATCCTCCCGCCTCAGCCTCCCAAAGTGCTGGAATTACAGGCATGAGCCACCATGCCTAGCCGAAAATGGATAAAGAGTACTCCTTTTCTGTATAGAAATTCGTATAATCAAGTAATTCATCATATCCCTCAAAAAGTAGTGGCTCCTCAAAGAGCATTTAATACATTTTGGATTTGGAATTTGTTTTTAGAACTATATTGATGTGTACAAGGTAGGTTTACATATTTTTGTTTTCTAAGAATTTTATACATTTATGAAGGATTGAAAAATAGTTCACCTTTTTTTAATTACATGAAGGCAAATGTATAAACTTTGTGGTGTAAGATATTCTGGTGCTCTCATACTCTGTTTCCTCTATTGTCCGGATATTAGATAAAACTTCTAAATTTTACTTTTCAGTGTCATCCATGCACCATTACCAAGTCCTGTTGACAAAGTAAGTTGCTAATGATTATTTTTTCCAAACTGACTCAGCTATGTTGCTTTGAAAATGTTTGTTTTTAATATGCTTTACCTAGAAATTTATTTCTCTTTTATAACAAAATATGTAGAATGCATATAGCTATATAGTTATTATAATCTTCTGATCTTCAATATCTGGAGAATCTAAGATGGATGTTTCTTCAGAAAAAGGCTTTGTTATCTCAGTTAAATTATTCACTGTGTAAACTAGGAGTACCTGTTTTGTGTCTAGCCAGGGATAAGGAGTATTCGCTGTTACTTTTTATTCTGAGATACAAGTCTGTCTAGAAATTTGTTTAAGTTTCTACCTAAATAGTTCACTCAACATTTCCCAATACAGGGAGGTAATACAGAAATACAGGCTTACAAAAATTGTTCTTTTATTTTCTTTGAAGGTTACTTTTTACCTGATCTGATCAGAAACTTTGCAATAATTGCTTGCTAGAAAGCATTTTTCTTTTGTTCAGAAATAATGGTTTATTCAATTATAGGTTTCATTGCTAATTAGCCCCCCAAAATACATCTTTTGACATTAATGTGAGAGTCTAGTTTTCTTAGTGCAGTAACTAAACTAGTGGAAAAAATATTTTATGTTTTTCTTCCATTTGAATGAAGAATGAAAGCCTGCTTAAAACTGAAGTTCTCTGTTAGACTCCTTTTTTAAAAGTAAAAGTGGTTAATCATCAACTTCTGCAATACCAAAGATTATTCAGAAGTAAATAATGGTCCTGCTAATTTAGAACTAAATTTAAAAAATAATGCCAACTCTCTGCTGTCTCGTCAGCATATTAATTAAAGTATACTTTCCAAGCTTAATAAGGACTGGTGCTATAACATCATTAATAAGCTGACACATAGGGGTGAATATTACAGCAACCCAGTAGTCCTTCTTCCTTCTTCTTCTCCTCCTGCTCCTGCTCCTCCTCCTCCTCCTCCTCTTCTTTTCTTTCTTCTTTCCTCCTTTTCCTCCTTCTTGGTTTTTTCTCCTTCTTCTCCTCCTCCTCCTCCTCTTACTCCATCTTCTCCTCCTCTTTCTCCTCCTCCTTCTCTCCCTTCTTCTCCCCCTTCTCCTCCTCCTGTTTCTTCCTTTTACTTTCTTCTTTCTTCCTCCTTCTGCCTTCTTTCTTTTTCCTTCTTATTCTTCTTTCTTCCTTCTTTCTTCTTCCTTCTTTTTTCTTCTTCGTCCTTCTTCCTTCTTTCTTCTTACTCGTTTTTTTCTTCGTCCTCCCTCCTCCTACTTCCTTCTTCTTTCTTCTTCTTCCTTCTTTCTCCTTCTTCCTTCCCTTTTTCCTCCCTCCTTCTCCTTTTTCTTCCTCTTCCTGCTCCCTCCTCTTCCTCCTTCCTCCTCCCCCTCTTCTTTTTCTTCTTCTTCCTCTTCCTTTTCTTCCTCCTCCTCCTTCCTTCTTCTTTTTCCTCTTCCTTCCTTCTTCTTTCTTCCTCCTCCTACTCCTTTTTTTTTTTTTTTTTTTGAGACAGTTTCACTCATGTTGCCCAGGCTGGAGTGCAATGGTGCAATCTCAGTTTACTGCAACCTCCGCCTTCGAGGTTCCAGCGATTCTTCTGCCCTGGCCTCCCAAGTAGCTGGGATTACAGGCATGTGCCACCATGCCCTGCTAATTTTACGTTTTTAGTAGAGACGGGGTTTCTCCATGTCGGTCAGGCTGGTCTTGAACTCCCAACGTCAGGTGATCTGGCTGCCTCGGCCTCCCAAAGTGCTGGGATTACAGGCGTGAGCCACCGTACCTGGCCCTTCTTCTTTTTTTTTTGAGATGGAGTTTCGCTCTGTCGTCCAGGCTGAAGTGCAGTAGCGTGACACGGGGTTTCACCATGTTGGCCAGGCTGGTCTCTCGAACTCCTGGCCTCAGGTGATCCATCCCCCTCGGCCTTCCAAAGTGCTGGGATTACAGGCATGAGCCACTGCGCCCGGCCCTTTTTTGTTTGTTTTTCTTTTTAATAATGCCATGGTTCTATATTCTACAGCCTTGAAAAAACCCTTATAGAAGATATTCCTTATAATACTCTTGAGTTCTAAATAGTTTGACTATGACTTACAGTGTTTAAACACCATTACTTCCCATCTTTTTTCTTAAAACCTACCTATGGATTTCAAGAAACATTGCCTCAGGCCACTGGACAAAGTGTTGTATTTCATGCCCCTGCCCTACCTATACCACATAAAAATACCATTTTGAAGATGGCTACTTCTAAATGAATGAGGCTTGTTAAAATATTAAAGAAGTATTTAATGATGAATTTTAAAGGGAAAATATGTGGATCTGTTGATTAGGAGGTTTTATTTCTGGATTAAGAAACGGCTATATTTCCGTCAGAAAAGAAAAAAATTTAAAAGGCTATATTGCCTTTGTGCTAT
Source organism: Homo sapiens (assembly GCF_000001405.40). Classification (NCBI taxonomy): domain Eukaryota; kingdom Metazoa; phylum Chordata; class Mammalia; order Primates; family Hominidae; genus Homo; species Homo sapiens. The sequence continues at coordinate 57,849,631 of NC_000003.12, forward strand.
AAATTTGTGATTTTAATAACAGTTATTTTGCATATTTAAGTAAGTAGACATTTCAAGAAATTGGTTTGTCTTTAATGTTCTTTATGAAGTGTTTTCTGTTGATACTGTGTCATTTGTTTCTAGGTTGCTGCTAACACTCCAAGTATGTACTCTCAGGAACTATTCCAGCTTTCTCAGTATCTACAGGTAAAAGTACATCTTGAGACTTCTTAAAAGCAGAATTTCTTTTAAACTTTTAAAAGTTCTTAAAAGCAGAATTAGGGCCAGGCATGGTGGCTAATGCCTGTAATCCCAGGACTTTGGGAGGCCTAGGCAGAAGGATTCTTTGAGGCCAAGAGTTTGAGACCAACCTGGGCAATAAAGTGAGACCCCTTTAATTTAAAAAAATTTTTTTAATTAACCAGGTGTGATGGCGTGCATCTGTAGTCCCAGCTACTTGGGAGGTGGAGGTGAGAGGATTACTTGAGCCCAGGGGGTCGAGGCTGCAGTGAACTTTGATGGCACCACTGCACTCCATCCTAGGCAACAGAGCAAGACCCTGTCTGAAGAAAAGAAGGGCAGAATTAAACAACTTATATTTTATTTTGCAAATTCACAAATATAGGATAAAAAAATGGCTGGATGCAAATAGAAAAGAAATACTGTCTTTTCAAAAAAGAACAAAGGATTAAAAGTAGATCTTATGAAGAAAGATAAAAGAGTCAACATTAAATCTAGAGAAAAGCCTTTGTACAAGAGGAATTTTTTTGTTCAAGTATGAGGAGGTTCCAAAACAGTTTTTAAAAATCTGTTTTCAAATTTTTTTGGAGACAGGGTCTCGCTCTGTCTCTCAGGCTGAAGTGCAGTGGCATGATCAGAACTCACTACAGCCTCGAACTCCTGGGCTCAAGTCTTTTTCCTGCCTCAACCTCCCAAAGTGCTGGGATTATAGGTGTGAGCCGCCATGCCGAGCCCCAAAACAATTCTTTATCCATAGATGACTTTTGTTTTGTTTTATTTTATTTTATTCTGTTTTATTTTTGAGATGGAGTCTCACTCTGTAGCCCAAGCTGGAGTGCAGTGGTACAATCTCAGCTCACTACAACCTCTGCCTCCTGGGCCCAAGCGATTCTCCTGCCTCAGCCTCCTGAGTGGCTGGGACTACAGGCATCCACCACCCACAGCTGGCTAATTTTTTGTATTTTAGTAGAGACAGGGTTTTACCATGTTGCCCAGGGTGGTCTCAAACTCCTGAGCTCAGGCAATACACCCACTTCAGCCTCCCAAAGTGTTGGGATTACAGGCATGAGCCATGGCGCCCGGCCCATAGATGACTTTTAAATAAAAAATAACTGGGAGAGATTTTGATTGCTTAATAATATTAATAGCAAGTAATTATATAGCACTTATTATATGCCAAGCTTCATTCTAGCACTTTACCTATATTATTTAATTCTCACAACAGTCTTACAAGGTGCATATTTTATTCCTATTTTTACAGATAGAGTAACTGAGAGGCAGGAAGATTTAATAATTTATACAGTATCACATATCAAGTATATGGTAGAGCTGGGATTTGAACCTGGACAGCCAGACCTCAGATTTTCTGCTTTGTGTAACTACTGTGCTGTGCTGCTGGATTCACAGAATAATTTCTTGGTGTAGAGCAGATACTGCTTCAAGTTAATGCCATATTTAAAGAACCGTATAAATCTTTAAAAAGCAAACAAGTGTTTTGGGTTGTTTTTTTTTTTTTTTCTGGTTTTTGTGGGTTTGGGCTAGATTATGTTTCTTATTCTGGTGAGGGAGCATGGTTAAAGAAAACTCCTGGATCAGGAGATTAGAGACTGAGGTATTTTTTGTTTTTGTTTTTTTTTTTTTGAAATGGACTTTCGCTCTGTCACCCACGCTGGAGTGCACTGGCGCAATCTAGGCTCATTGCAACCTCCACCTCCCGGGTTCAAGCAGTTCTCCTGCCCCAGTCTCCCGAGTAGCTGGAATTAAAAGCATGTGCCACCACACCTGGCTAATTTTTTGTATTTTTAATAGAGTAGAGTACATTTTTAGGTTTCACCATGTTGGCCAGGCTGGCCTTAAACTCCTGACCTCAAGTGATCCATCCACCTTGGCCTCCCAAAGTGCTGGGATTACAGGTGTGAGCCACCGCACCAGGCAAGATTGAGGTTTTTATCTTAGTTCTGCTACTCAACCCACTTTTGTGACCTTGAGTGAGTCATTTTATGTGGGTAGGCCTTCAGTTGTCTTTTGTTTCAAATAATAGAACCAAACCTGTGATCCTGGGTCCCTATATTCTTTTTTGAGGTGGAGTCTTGCTCTGTTGCCCAGGCTGGAGTGCGGTGGCGTGATCTTGGCTCACTGCAACCTCCACTTCCCGGGTTCAAGCGATTCTCCTGCCTCAGCCTCCTGAGTAGCTGGGACTACAGGCATGTGCCACCACGCCTGGCTAATTTTTTGTATTTTTAGTAGAGAGGAGGTTTCACCGTGTTAGCCAGGATGGTCTCCAATCTCCTGACCTCGTTATCTGCCCACCTTGGCCTCCCAAAGTGCTGGGATTACAGGCCTGAGCCACCACACCCGGACCCCTACATTCTTTTATAGGAATCAATCAGTGAGAACAGTTTCATCTTAGTTAAGAATGTACACATCTATGAAAATGAACAGAAAATTATCAATGTATTAATCAGATCTTATCTTCCACCAGGCATAATGTATGCATAGAAAAACATTACACATTTGGATTTTAATAGAGTATTTAAGAGTATTCTAAGCCAAAATTCCCTCATTTAATCCTTGGCTTTAATTTCTGACCTACTGGAAAAGTTGTTTAACCCTTTTGTGCCTCATTTTCCTCATCTGTGAAATGGATATAGTAATAGCACTTAACTTACACAGAATTGTGAAGAATAAAAAAATTAATATATGTAAAGCACTTAGAACAGTTCCTGGCACATAGAATGTATGCCATAAATGTTAGTAGTTTACCATTCAATAGGAAGGCACATTAATTAAGCTGCTTATTATTAGAGGTGGAAGAAAACTTTGAGATTAATGTAGTTTAAACCTCATTTTTCATATGAGAAATGTGGGGCTCATATAGGTTAAATTATTTGCCCAGGCATGTATACTACTGTTACTAGTCATCGTGGATAGCAAATCTCACTCCCTCACTCTCTCACTCTTTCCAACCTTCTTGTTCTGTGAATATCCCTAGTGTCCTAATCCTCTGCTGTTCCTTTTCTAGCTCTTTGAGATAAAATTATACCAGTCTTTTCTGTATATGTTCTTATTGAACTGCTAAAGTTCTAATGTAAATTGTGAACATTTTAAGTAAAAACTGGAATAGATGCATTTTATACCTTAGAACTAACTAAAAGACCATTCCTGGACATATTAGATTTCTGTTAGGATATAGTTCATGGAGTTAAACTCTAAATGGAATTGAATTAAAAAGGTGAAATTACACCATCTAGTGGAAGTAGATTCTAAAGATATGGTTGGTTGATGGTTTTGTTTTTCAGTAAAACTTTTTGCAGCATCTGAGTGATTTCCTGAATGTTAGGAATGTTTTAGGAACTTAAACTTGGCAAATAGTCTCTTAAGTGAAGCTGTGTTTTAATATGGATTCTGAGGTGTATGGCTTTTTATTAGATTCTTTAACCGATAGCTTTATTATAACCTATAGCTTATATTAAAATGTAGTACCTCTAAGTAGACAAAATTTTCCGTAGTCATTATTTATCAAGGATGTGGAGAGCAATAAATTAATGCTTTAAACCTCAAGTACTATGTTTGAAGTGTATACTTCTCTGTTGAGGTGTCTCAGAGGCGTTAGGGTCATAAGTGTTCCTCTGGATAATGACAGGAATAGAACAAGGTGAAGAAGGTATGCCAAAACCACAACTAAGTGCTATGAGCATTTCACCTTGATTCTGAGTAAAGGAGTCTCGCTTAACAGCTATTAACTGTTAACAAGCCACCTAAAGTTTAGACTTTGTACACCAATGTCTTTCTCTGTAAAATATATCTTTGGGCTGGGCACGGTGGCTATGCCTGTAATCCCAGCACTTTGGGAGGCTAAGGCGGGCGGATCACCTGTGGTCAGGAGTTCGAGACCAGCCTGACCGACATGGAGAAACCCCCGTCTCTACTAAAAATACAAAACCAGCTGGGCGTGGTGGCGCATGCCTGTAATCCCAGCTACTCGGGAGGCTGAGGCAGGAGAATGACTTGGACCCAGGAGGCGGAGGCTGCGGTGAGCCGAGATCATGCCACTGCACTCCAGCCTGGACAATAAGGGTGAAATTCTGTCTCAAAAAAAAAAAAATTATATATATATATATATATATATATATATATATATATATATATATTTACATATAATATATATTATATATAATATATAATGTGTATATATATACACATAACATATATAACACATTATATATATATATTATGTGTAAATATATATGTATCTTTGGATATATATATCTTTGGAGCTGCCAAATAGTTATTTAATTCTCCCATTATAAGTCCCTTAATTACATTGAACCAATATTCAGTGGACTCTTACCTATTTTGGTATATTAATTACTGCTAAGTGTTATATAGTCAGAGAGAATCAGAACACCTGAAAATGCAATAGGCTGTGCGAGTGAAGCAATCTCTCTTTTTAAATGTATATATTGGCCGGGCACGGGGGCTCTTGGCCTGTAATCCCAACACTTTGGGAGGCCGAGGCAGGCAGATCACTTGAGACCAGGAGTTCAAGACCAGCCTGGCAAACATGGAGAAAGCTCATCTCCACAAAAAATACAAAAATTAGCTGGGCATGGTGGTGTGCACCTGTAGTCCCAGCTGCTCAGAAGGCTGAGGCATGAGAATTGCTTGAACGCGGGAGGTGGAGGTTGCAGTGAGCCAAGATCATGCCACTGTACTCCAACCTGGGCTGCAGAATGAGACTCTGTCTCAGAAATAAAACAAAAATGTATACGTTTATATAAACAACATTTTTAAAAGGAAAAATTAAAAGCTATTTCTATTTTGGATATCATACTTGTGCAATTAAGCCATTATAAAGTATTTTTGCTGATGACCAGATTATCTTGGCTTCAGTTGGAATGAGTTTGTTCTGAGATGTATATATTTCACATATATTCACATATATGTGTATGTGGTTGTATATATACACATGTATACATGTATATACTATCATGTATCGCTTAACAGGCATATGATCTCATTAGGTGATTTTGTCTTTGTGTGAACATTATACATTGTACTTACATAACCTAGATGGCGTAGCCTATTACACACCTAGGCTATATAGTGTAGCCTATTGCTCCTAGGCTACAAACCCATACAGCATGTTATTGTACTGCATACTGAAGGCAGTTGTAACACAATAGTATTCGTGTTTAGAAACATATCTAAACACAGAAAAGGTACAGTAAAAATAACAGTATAAAAGATAGAAAAAGGCTGGAGGCAGTGTAATCCCAGCACTTTGGGTGACCGAGGCAGGAGGAACACTTGAGGCTAGGAGTTCGAGACCAGCCTGATCAACTTGGCAAAACCCTGTCTCTACTAAAAATACAAAAATTAGCTGGGCATGGTGGCACATGCCTGTAGTCCCAGCTACTCGGGAGGCTGAGGTACCAGAATTGCTTGAACCCAGGAGGCAGAGGTTGCAGTAAGCCGAGATCACACCACTGCACTCCAGCCTGGATGACAGAGCAAGGCTCTGTCTCAAAAAAGAAAAGAAAAGAAAAGAAAAAGATAGAAAATGATATACCTGTACAAGGCACTTACCATGCATAAAGCTTGCAGGACTGGAAGCTGCTCTGGGTGAGTCATTAAGTGAGTGGTAAGTGAATGTGAAGGCCTGTGACATTACTGGACATTACTGTAGACTTTATAAACACTGTACACTTAGGCTGCTTTAAATATATATTTAAAAAGTTTTTGGGGCAGGCATGGTGGCTCATGCCTGAAATCCCAGCACTTTGGATGGCTAAGGTGGGAGGATCTTTGAGACCAGGAGTTCAAGACCATCCTGAGCAACATAAGAACGCCCCATCTGTTAAAAAAAAAAAAAACAAAAAAAAAAACTTTAAATAAAAATATTAGCTGGAGGTTGGGTGCGGGGACTCACACCTGTGATCCCAGCACTTTGGGAGGCCAAGGCGGGCGGATCACTTGAGGTCAGGAGTTCGAGACCAGCCTGTCCAACATGGTAAAACGCCGTCTCTACTGAAAATACAAAAATGAGCCAGGCGTGGTGGTGCTGCATGTCATCCCAGCTACTCAGGAGGCAGAGGTGAGAGAATTGCTTGAACCCAAGAGGCGGAGGTTGCAGTGAGCCAAGATCGCGCCATTGCACTCCAGCCTGGGCAACAGAGAGAGACTTCGTCTCAGAAAAAGAAAAAAAAAAAAATTAACTGGGCATGGTGGTGTGTGTCTGCCTCCTAGCTATTTGGAGGGCTGAGGCAGGAGGATCATAAGCTCAGGAGTTTGAGATTACAGTGAGCCATCACTTAGTGACATCATCATGCAACAGCACTCCAGCCTGGGTGACAGACCTAGACTCTTGTCTCAAAAAAAGAAAAAAAAGTTCTTCTTTCTTCAATAATAAGCTAACCTTAGCTTGCTGTAACTTTTTTACTTTATAAACTTACAAGTTTTAAAACCTTTTTGACTCTTGTATTCACACTTAGCTTAAAACACAAACACGTAGTACAACTGTTCAAAAATATTGTTTCTATTCTTAATTTATAAGCTTTTTATTATTAAAAATTTTTTAAACTTGCTTTTACTTTTTAAACTTTTTTGTTAAAAATGAAGACATAAGCACACACATTAGCCTAGGCCTACACAGTATCAAGATCATCATTATCACTATTTTCCACCTCCACATCATATCCCACTGAAAGGTCTTCAGGGGCAGTAACATGCATGGAGCTGTCATCTCCTGTGATAACAGTGCCTTCTTCTGGATACCTCCTAAAGGACCTCTCTGAAGGTATTTTACAGTTAATGTTTTTTTCTTTTTAATAAGCAGAAGGAATGCACTCTATAATTAACAATAAAAAGTATAGTACATGCATAAACTGATAAAGTCATATAATACTATTATGTATTATGTACTATATATAATTATATGTGCTATACTTTTATATAACTGGCAGCACAGTAGGTTTGTTTACACCAACATCTCCTCAAACACGTGAGTAATGCCCCCTTGTGTTACAATGTTAGGATGGCTATGATGTCATTAAGCGATAGAAATTTTTCAGCTTCATTGTAATTTTTGGGGACTACTGTGTATATGCAGTCTATAGTTGACTGAAATGTTGTTTTGTGGTGCATGACTGTGTATGTGTGTATGCATAGATATATGTCTACATACACACAGTGTGTATGTATGTGTGTGTGTGTATAAAATGCAAACCTGAAACATTTGTTAGCTTTTTCTATTGTATGTTTTTAAAAACTTGCTCTTCCAAATTATGAATAAAAAGAAAACAAAAAACAGGTGACTTGTTTTCTATTATGGGAGAAGTTGCAGTTAGAGAACCTCTAATAGCAGTACTTTCAGCCCAACAAATGAGACTAAAATGATGTGGCCCATATACATGGAGTAGCCATTTCCTATCTGCAGGGAATATGTTCCATGACCCCCAGTAGATGCCTGAAATCACAGATAGTACCAAACCCTATATCTACTATGTTTTTTCCTATATATACACATACCTATGATAAAGTTTGACTTATAAATTAAGCATAGTAAGAAATTAACAATAATAATAAAATAGAACAATTACAACAGTATACTGTTATGTGAATAAAAGTTATGTGAATGTCAACATTCTGTCTGTCTCTCTCAAAATATCTTGTACTGCACTATAACTGAAACTGTGGAAAGGGAAACCAGAGATAAGCGGGGACTGCTGTATGTTTTACAAAGTACTATCAAGTTTCACTACTTTAAAATACATCAAGTGGGATGTAATATGAAAATATTTTAGAATATGCTGAAAATTGATCACTCCTCAAAAGAATCATGATGAGCTTATTAGAATCTGTTTTGTGATTTGTAATACTAGGAGGCCTTACATCGGGAACAAATGTTGGAACAGAAGTTAGCCACGCTTCAGCGGCTACTAGCCATCACCCAAGAGGCTTCAGATACCAGTTGGCAGGTATTCCAGTTGTTTTATATTTAAGAAACATTTAAACATAGTTTAATATTCCATACATGTTAAATAAACTAAAATGTAGCAAACAAAGACAAAGTTATTTCCTAACTAATGAACAAGTTGTTGAAGATTTAGCATTTTACAGTGGATGCTGGTCAGTTTTACGCTTTTATATCTTTTGTTGTCAGTAGCAACCTTTTTTTATATACATGTGACTTTATAATTACTCGGGTTTTACTTACATTTAATTTTTCTTCAATAGGCTTTAATAGATGAAGATAGACTCTTATCACGGTTAGAAGTTATGGGAAACCAATTACAGGCATGCTCCAAAGTAGGTATTAACCTCAAATGTGTAAAATGAAATGCATAGTTTTTTATGTAACATCATTTCTTTGACTATCATTTTGAGTATATGCTAAAAACTTCATACATTTCCACAATTCTTTTAAATCTTTTGTGCTGAGAAACGTCAGACATCCATGTAAATAAAAATAATTACATAATGAATACCCATGTACAAGTCTGTCTTTTTTCTATTGCAGTTAATATTTCTTGAAAAAACTGGGTCATTTGTCCTCTAGAATTTCCCTCAGTCTGCATTGTTATTTAAACATTTTTTAGCTCCCCCTCCCACTCCATAAAGTAGTAGTTCCATCTAGAGATTTGATGTGATTTAGGTTCAGTTTTTCTTTTTGTCAACAACACTTTATGGATGGTATTGTGTTCTTCCACCAAGGGACAACATAATGTCTAGTTGTCTTTCTTTTTGAGATTTTTATCAATCATTGATGATCCCAGGCTAGATCCATTATTTCATTACGGTTACAAATAAGGCTGGGCGCAGTGGCTCACACCTATAATCCCAGCACTTTGGGAGGATGAGGCGGGCGAATCACCTGAGCTCGAGAGTTCAAGACCAGTCCAACCGACATGGAGAAATCCCATCACTACTAAAAATACAAAATTAGCCGGGCATGGTGGCACATGCCTGTAATCCCAGCTACTCAGAAGGCTGAGACAGGAGAATCCCTTGAACCCAGGAGGCAGAGGTTGCAGTGAGCCAAGATCGTGCCATTGCAATGTAGCCTGGGCAACAAGAGTGAAACTCTGTCTCAACAACAACAACAACAACAAAAAAGTTACAAAAATAATGATGTAATTCTGTTATTCCTTCACTTATTTAGCTGGGTTACTTCTATAAAGAGAAGTTTCCTTCCATACACAGTGGCTCATGCCTGTAATCCTAGCACTTTGGGAGGCCAAGGCAGGCGGATTGCTTGAGGTCAGGAGTTCAAAACCAGCGTGGCCAACATGGCGAAACCCCGTCTCTACTAAAAGTACAAAAATTAGCTGGACATGGTGGCATGTACCTGTAATCCAAGCTACTCAAGAGGCTGAGACAGAATTGCTTAAACCCGGTGGGGGTGGAGGTTGCAGTGAGCCAAGATCGCACCTCTGAACTCCAGCCTGGGCGACAGAGCGAGACTGTCTCAAAAAAAAAAAAAAAAAAAGCGGGGGCAGTTTGAGACCAGTATGGGCAACATGGCAAAACCCAGTATCTACCAAAAATTAAAGATTTGCTTAGCATAGTGGTACATAACCTGTAGTCCTAGCTACTCGGGAGGCTTAGGTGGAAGGATCGCTTGAGCCCAGGAGTTTGTGATTACAGTGAGTTATGATCGCAGAACTGCGCTCCAGCCTTGGTGACAAAGAGAGACCCTGTCTCTAAAAAAACGAAAAAAGGAAAAACAATGGCCATTGTTTTTTGTAACTTTGGCATCAAAAACCAAATACCACATGTTCTCATTTATAAGTGGAAGCTAAGCTATAGGTATGTAAAGGCATAAAGAGTGCTATAATGGACATTGGAGACTCAGAAGTTGGGAAAGTGAGAGGGGAGTGAGGGATGAAAAACTCCCTATTGAATACAATATACACTACTCAGGTAATGAGTGCACTAAAACCCCAGACATCACCACTACATAATTCATCCATGTAACCAAAAACCACTTGTATCTCTAAAGGTATTGGAATAAAAAAATTTAAATAACCCTGAGGTATGTTTTCTACGGGGAAAGCAAGATAAGTGATTTTCTCCCCTTATTTATTAGATTTCAGAATAATGAATTGGTGGTTTTTCATCTACCAAAGACTGGCCATGAAGTGTTTTCTCACTCCACTTAGATTTAAACATATTTGATGTATTTAAATCTGGTGCAGTTGTTTTTCTTGTTTTAGAGACAGGGTCTTGCTATGTTGCCCAGGCTGGTCTTGAACTCCTGGGCTCACGCAATCCTCCCATCTCGGCCTCCCAAAGTGCCACGGCCAGCCTATTTTTCTTATTGATGCTCAAATTATCCCATCTTTGGTCTGTGTAAATGTCTTCAGAGTGATAGCTTCATGCTGTCATTTCAGACAAGATGTTTCAGGCTCATTTTGTACTTTTCCTGCCCCAGACATGAAGTCTGCTTTTCCCCCATGGTACTCTTATTCCTTTTGTTTTAACCATTGTTTCAGAATGCTTGGTGCCTTTGAAGGTAATTGATTATTTTTGCCTACAAATGTGAATATGGTGGCTTGCAGAAAATATGACAAATATAAAAGTAACTAATTTTGTATATTTTAGGGAAATTCTCAATTGCCTATAACTTTTTTTTTCTATAGGAAGTGGAAATTAGTAAGTTTGTGAAGGCATAATTTACTTATGCAACTTGTAAATACATCTTTAGTTAATACAGGGCCAGAATCATTTATGTTTGGAGGTACCTTAATATATAATTTAAAGTATATCATAATGTGTTAATTTTTTTCAAACAATAAATGCTTTTAAAAAATAACTTGTCTATAATTATAAATATCTTTTATTGTAGAATCAAACAGAAGATAGTTTACGAAAGGAACTTATAGCATTACAAGAGGATAAACATAACTATGAGACAACAGCCAAAGAGTCCCTGAGGCGGGTTCTTCAGGAGAAAATTGAAGTGGTTAGAAAACTTTCAGAAGTTGAGGTATTTCAATCAAAAAAAAAATACTAAATAGTATTATGAGTGTTCAAAAAAATCTCAAGCATTCCAGGATACTTTAAACTTGGGTATTATTATATAGTTAGGAAATACTTTCTGTCTGTCAGGTGGGAAGGAACAGTTACGCTGCTTTCATTGACAGCAATTCTCCATGTGAGTTTTGGTACTTACTCCCTAGTCAATGGCTGAGGAAATAAAAGCGTAACCAGGGAATCTTATTGTTTGCATTCTGCTTAGGATTCACCCTCCATACAGCAGACCATGATATGTGCTGGGGAATTGATTTCCTGTCACTTGGTTTTGCTTTGCTTCTATTTGAGGGGGGTCAGTGTAAGGCCAAGAGTCTACACTACTTGTTCTTTTTTAATTCACTCTGCAGAGAGGAAAACTAGCTGTGTCATATATTTAGGAAGTTCAAAGGTGAAATCATCTCCAAGGTCCTTTCTAGGTCTTGGAGGAGCAATCAAAATGCAATTTTTATTGCTTTGGGGAAAAAAATTCTAATTCATAATATAGATCTTTTCTTTGAACCACTGCAAAATTACCACATAAATAATGTATTACTAGAATTAGTTAAAATGCTCATCAGAAACTAAATGGTAAACATACCTTTCCTTACTACAGGTATAGTTTGTATTGCTACCTCATCCCATAGTGCCTGATTCACTGTTGTGTGATTAATTTGATATATAAAGAAAGTTACTAAGTGTCTTTTAATTTTTTATTAAATTGATTGCTGGATATTATTAAACTTGCTTTCAAGGATTGATAGGCTTAAAATATTTTCACAGCTAAAAGTCATACCCATTGGCCTTTCAAAAATGTAATTATATAAAGGCAGCATCCTTTTCCTGCCCCTGCTCTCCCTCCACTTTTATTTTTTTGTTGTTTTTGTTAATTCTTAGTTATGTTTTCTGTTTTAGTGTGAATTGAAATTCTTATGTTATTTGACTCAGCTTTATTTAAAGTCCAGGGCAGATGTTGATTTAGAATAGTCCATAGAATTATACTTTTTATAAATTTCATTTAGAAGGAATTCTAAATAACAAATATACACTTATTCTAATTAAATTGCCTGTAAACTTGAATCGCAGCGAAGTCTGAGTAATACTGAAGATGAATGTACCCATCTGAAAGAAATGAATGAAAGGACTCAGGAAGAATTAAGAGAATTAGCCAACAAATATAATGGAGCAGTTAATGAGATTAAAGATTTATCTGATAAATTAAAGGTATGTATTTACTCTGCCTGAAAGTATGTTAAGCTAATAATCCCTAACACACTAGATAGCTTAAGATTTTAGGTATTGCTTTAGCTGGGCGTGGGGTGGCGGGCGCCTGTAATCCCAGCTTCTCAGGAGGCTGAGGTAGGAGAATTGCTTGAACCCAGGAGACGGAGGTTGCAGCGAGCTGAGATCACGTCACTGCACTCCAGCCTGGGCGACAGAGCGATACTCCATCTCAAAGGAAAAACAAACAAACAAACAAACAAAAAACAGTTTGGGCCAGGCGCAGTGGCTCACGCCTGTAATCCCAGCACTTTGGGAGGCCGAGGCGGGCAGATCATGAGGTCAAGAGATTGAGACCATCCTGGCCAACATGGTGAAACCCCGTCTCTACTAAAAATACAAAAATTAGCTGGGCGTGGTGACACATGCCTGTAGTCCCAGCTCCTTGGGAGTCTAAGGCAGAAGAATCACTTGAACCCAGGAGGCAGAGGTTGCAGTGAGCCAAGATTGCACCACTGCACTCCAGCCTGGCGACAGAGCAAGACTTCGTCTCACAAAAAAAAAAAAAAAAAAAAAATTCAGTTTGAAAACCACTGGTATAGATAGATATTTTGAATTGATTTGCATAGTCTCCTTGAATGTGTTAAATTATGCTGAAAGTATGAAAGCAGGATGTAGGTGGTACTACATATTAAATAAGATTTCTATAAAAAAAGATTTTAGGTATTGCTGAATAGTTATTGATGTAAAAATTTGGTAACAGTTGAAATTTATAGTGAAAATAAGGTGTCTGTATTCCATTTAGCCCAACCTCCATTACTATAGATAATTGAAAGCCTGTAAATGCTGACATAGTTCCTCTGGATGAATATGTAGTCAGTGCTTCACAATAGACATTTCTAAAATATATAACAGGAAGTAGATGAGAATCAGCAAAACCCATGATATTCAGATGTTTTAAAACCTAAAACTGCTTATCATTAGGCCATCTAAAAGGCAGGGCCCAGCTATTTAGTGCTGTGCTGGAACAAGCCCAGAGAGAATCTGGGAATGATCTCCCTTTTAGCTTTCAGGGATGCTGTTAACTCTGCTTTAGCTGCCATTCCCTCTATCTATGAGACATCTAGGATAAGGACAGATCAGATCATAGGGTAATGATAGGGTAATGTCTAGTTGGTCCTTTAGAATCTTATAACTGAGGAAAAAAAAAATCTTATAACTGTTTGTGAAGGTCCATCTTGGTTTAATTCAAACTATGGATTGAGTGCCTAGAAGATATGTGTTTGTTAGAGAAGACCAGAGCATACCTCCGTTGGTTAACCTATGATAGTTTTCAAAGTTGGTCTTGTTAAAAGGAGATTGTCATTGTCCATTTTTGTTGCTATAAAGGAATAGCTGAGCCTGGGTAATTTATAAAGATAAGAGGTTTATTTGGCTCACAGTTCTGCAGGCTGAAGCTTCAGGCTGCTTCCACTGATGGCAGAAAGCAAAGTGGAGCTGGTACGTGTTCCATGGTGAGAGAGGGTCTGGGAGAGGTGCCAGGCTCTTTTTAAAAACCAGCTTTCATAGGACTAATAGAGTGAGAATTCACTCATTACCATGAGGACAGCACCAAGCCATTCATGAGGGATCTGCTCCCATAACCCAAACACCTCTCATTAGACCCCATCTCCAACACTGAGGATCAAATTTCAACATTGAGGCTTGGGGGACGAACATCCAAACTATAGGCAGAGAGGTCTTTTTGAATAGTGATTGTACTGTCATCTCGTTACTAAATAATTTTGTTTAAAATTTCAGAATGTTAACATGATAGAACTTCAAAATTGAAATGATAGTAATTTTAGGGAAAAATCTTACTTCCCTCTTTAAAAATACGATTTTTTTTTCCACATTGACCCTTTACCTCTGTGTGTACTGAGCCTACTTGCTTCCTCCAAGTTTCTCTCTCCTGGGTGTTATGGAGGAATAACCCAATGCAGATAATTTTTGACATCAAGCCTTTGTCTTTATCATCTTTACTGGTTTAGAAATGTCAGGTTAGCCGGGCGCAGTGGCTCATGCCTGTAATCCCAGCACTTTGGGAGGCCAAGGTGGGCTGATCATCTGAGGTCAGGCGTTCGAGACCAGCCTGACCAACATGGAGAAACCCCGTCTCTTCTAAAAATACAAAATTAGCTGGGTATGGTGGCGCATGCCTGTAATCCCAGCTACTTGGGAGGCTGAGGCAGGAGAATCACTCGAACCCGGGAGGCGGAGGTTGCCTAGGCAACAAGAGTGAAACTCCATCTCAAAAAAAAAAAGAAAGAAAGAAATGTCAGGTTTACAGATAATGTTCTGTAGAACATTTCTTTTCTACAGAACAAACTTTTCTTAGAAGTTTAAGTGAATAAAGGCATTCCTGGGGCTCGCTCTTAAAACAGAGTTAGGTTTGTTAAATAACTGAATTTTCTTATTTTTCTAGGTAGCAGAGGGAAAACAAGAGGAAATCCAACAGAAGGGACAGGCTGAGAAAAAAGAATTACAACATAAAATAGATGAAATGGAAGAAAAAGAACAGGAGCTCCAGGCAAAAATAGAAGCTTTGCAAGCTGATAATGATTTCACCAATGAAAGGCTAACAGCTTTACAAGGTAAGTAGCTAATCCAGAAATTGATTTTATTTTATTTTTTTTCTTGTTATCTGTGAAATATCTTTTTTTTTTTTGGACTTTTATTTACAGTACGGTTAGAACATCTTCAGGAGAAAACTCTTAAAGAATGCAGCAGCTTGGGTAGGTGGCATCCATATTTCTTACTTAAACCTGAATTTTATCCTTAAACTTTTGACCTTGTTTACTGTCTCACACTGCATTTTTTAAGGGATGTTTTATGTATTAGGTATAAAGTATCTATATTCTTTTAGAAAATTTTCTTTAAAAATATGCTTGATTGCCACCAGTGGGCACCATTGTTTTCCTTGAGATGAGTGAAATTTCTGCTCTGAGATCTTCTACCTCGGGATATTTAAATAAGAAAAGTACATGAACAGCAGGATCCCTTTTAAAGTGTTCTATACAATCTTAATCTTAGGAATGCAGAATGCCATGGTTACACTTGAGACCACATTTAAAGTAATACTTCTTTGATCAGGCAATGATATACTGTCTTAATCCTAGGGATACAAGTTGATGACTTCTTACCTAAAATAAATGGGAGCACAGAAAAAGGTAGTGTAAAAAACTTAAATATATATATACTTTTTATGATATCATTTTAGTATTTAAGCAGGATAAGGAGTTCAGGGTTTTAAGTGTTTGGAATGAAAAGCATGCTCTCACAGATCATTGAACCCCATCATTTAAAAATCAAGCTTTCCTTTATTTTGTAAGAGTTGATGCTGTGATCAATTCTTAGATATCCCTTGTTATATGGAAATTTCAATTACTCAAATCAGAAAATTATTAAGTTCACCTTTAGCAATATATAATATAGATCTTTTTCCCCACTCTGTTTTTCGAAGAGCTGTACTACCATTTTGTTTCATCAAGTTCTGCCTCCAGTGATACTTGACCCCCATTTAAAACATTCGAGTTTATTTAACAGCTTATTGAGCCCTTGGACATATCATAGAAACTACTTTGTTTATCCATCTGTTTCATTGATCAGAGAGAACAGGGTCAGTTTTTTCTGCCATCAGAAAAATCTTTTATTAGTTGTTGGTTCTGTGACCCTTCTTTCTGGACAGCGTGGGTTCTCTCTTGCCAAAAACATATAGCCACTATTGGTTTTCCTGTCACTACACGGGGTACTTTTTACCCAGTGACCTCTATTATCCTTCAGTCTTGAAGATCCCTAGTCATTCTCCTTCTCTCCCCTTCCATCTAACATTAATTGAGCACCAACTATGTGCCAGACCCTGCGCTAGGTGCTTGGAGTACAGTAGAAATTAAACTCTTTTCTGTGTTTACCAATCTATGTGCCTTTCATCTCAGTTTTCTACAGAAGTTAGTCGAAGATATCAGAGTTGATACCCAGAACTTATTAAATATTTTTTCCCTTAGCCAGGCATTGTGGTGTGCGCCTGTAGTCCCAACTACGTGGGAGGCTGAGGTGGGAGGGTCAGCTGAGCCCAGGAGGTTGAGGCAGCAGTGAGCCATAATTGTGCCACTGCACTCCAGCCTGGGTGACGAGCAAGGCCCTGTCTTTAAAAAAGAAAAGAAAAGAAAAGAAAAGACAAAATATTTTTTCCATGTATCAAGGGATATCATAATAGTTCTTGGGCAGCAATCAAACTGGTAGAGTTAGGAGGTGGGTTTTTTGGTTCTTTTTTGGTTTGGTTTTGTTTGGTCAGGTTTTAATCAAGAGCTGGCAGTATAGGCTCAGGTAATTGTGTGTATGTTAGCTGCAAGGTCAAAACCTTATTTGCATATGTAATGAATTTTGAAACTCTCAAGAAAAATGTTCATTAATCATTGCTGTTTGACTATTCTACGTATGTTTTGTAAAATGCATTGACTTTTTAAAATTCCAATTTGATGGAATTTAAATTTGAGAATTTTTAAAGGTGTAGTTTATATTCATTGCGATCAAGCAGATCGCTTGAGCTCAGGAGTTTCAGACCAGCCTGAGCATCATGGTGAAACTTTATCTCTACAAAAAATACAAAAATTAGCCACGCATGGTGGCCACACACCTGTAATCCCAGCTACTCAGGAGGCTGAGGTGGGAGGATCACTTGAGCCCAGGAGGTCGAGGCTGCAGTGAACTGAGATCATGCCACTGCAGGCGATGGGAGTGAGACCCTGTCTCAAAAAAAAAAAAATCATGTCCGGGGCAGTGGCTCACACCTGTAATCCCAGCACTTTGGGAGGCCAAGGCGGGTGGATCACTTGAGGTCAGTAGTTGAAGACCACCAAGGTCTGGACAACTTTGTGAAACCCTGTCTCTACAAAAAATACAAAAATTAGCTGGGCGTGGTGGCACGCTACTGTAATCCCAGCTACTCTAGGAGGCTGAGGCAGGAGGATCACTTGAACCTGGGAGGCAGAGGTTGCAATGAGCCCAGATCGTGCCACTGCACCCCAACCTGGGCAACAGAGTGAGACTCTTGTCTCAAAAAACAAAACAAAACAAAACAGTCAATCAGTCATCACCCTCTTGATTTTATATTAATAATGTTAGTATTAACCCAAGCTGGGAACCTGCTATTCATTCCTTCAGTTAAGAGAATCGTTTTATGTACATGGAACCATCTTTATACTATTTAGAGTTGTAAAATTACTGATTCATTTTTTTCCAGTTCCAGTTGGTTCAGATGAAAATAATAGTAGACTGTTTTCATATTGTATTAATATAATTGTTAAAGACTCCTTGATTTTAAGAATAAATATTTTAGATACTTAAAGGTAACTCCTTGCCATAATTATTTTTTCCTTATTTGTGTGCTTGCTTTTTTGGTGGTGATATATTGAGTTACGGTATGATAGTGACTAATAGAATATTTTAAAAGAAACTAAGCAATAAATTTCTAGATGTACACGAAAACTTAGTTAAGGGTGGACTTTGGAATAAGATGCGTCACTTAATTCCATTCCAAATCACTTATAATAATGAACCAATTTTCAAGTATCCCAGTATTACCAATGTCCATACCCATATTATATAATTTTAACTAAATTATTCTTTAAATAGTAGAGAGCCAAATATAGTTGTAAGAGAATATTTTTAAATATCTGAAGATGTTAAAATTAATAATACTAATACTTTCAGTGAATCCCATTTTAAAAATTAAATATAATGTAGCTACTAAAAGCACAGGTTTTGTACTGTAAATTTTTTGTGTGTCTTATCTAATAAGCATAAGCTGAATGTATCTTAGAGAGTAAAGGACAGTGTTGTCCGAAATAAACATAAGGCTGGGTGTGGTGGCTCACACCTATAATCCCAGCACTTTGGGAGGCCAAGGTGGAAGGATTGCTTGTGTCCAGGAGTTCAAGACCAGCCCGAGCAACATAGTGAGAACCCATCTCTATAAAAAAATTAAAAATTAGCTGGGCATAGTGGTGTGCACCTGTAGACCCAGCTCCTCAGGAGGCTAGATGGGAGAATCACTTGATCCCAGGAGGTCAAGGCTGCAGTGAGTCATGATCACACCACTGTACTCAGCCTGGGTGACAGAGTGAGACCCCATCTCAAAAAAATAAAAAATAAACATAATGAGAGCCACATACATAATTTTAAATTTTCTGCTGGGCAAAGTAGCTTGCTCCTGTAATCCCAGCAAGGGAGGATTGTTTGAGCCCAGAAGCTCGAAACCAGCCTGGGCAACATAGTGAGACCCCATCTCTAAAAAGAAAAAAAAAATTTTTTTTTTAAATTAGTGAGGTGTGGTGGCATGTGCCTGTAATCCCAGCACTTTGGGAGGCTAAGCAGGGAAGACTGCTTGAGGCCATTAGTTTGAGACCAGCCTGGGCAACATAGTGAGACTTCTGTCTCTACACAAAATTTAAAAATTAGCCAAGTGTGGTAGTACACACCTGTGGTCCTAGGTAGTTGGGAGGCTGAGGAGGGAGGATCCCTTGAGCCCAGAAATTCAAGGTTGCAATGAACTATGATTGTGCCACTGTACTCCAGCCTGGACAACAGAGTAAGACCCTGTCTCTTAATTTAAAAAAATTCTGGCAGCCACATTGTATTAGTCAGGGTTCTCTAGAGGGACAGAACTAATGGAATATATATATATATATATATATATATAAAATATATATATGTGTATTATATATAAAAATATATATTATATATGTGTGTATTATATATAATATATATTATATATATTATATATGTGTGTATTATATATAATATAATATATGTTATATGTGTGTATTATATATAATATATGTGTGTATTATATATAATATATATTATATATGTGTATTATATATAATATATATTATATGTGTATTATATATATAATATATATTATATATATTATATATATAAAGGGGAGTTTATTAAGTATTAACTCACACAATCACAAGGTCCCACATAGGCCATCTGCAAGCTGAGGAGCAAGGAGAGCCAGTCTGAGTTCCAAAACTGAAGAACTTGGAGTCTGATGTTCGAGGACAGGAAGCATCCAGCACAGGAGAAAGATGTAGGCTGGGAGGCTAGGCCAGTCTCTCTTTTCACATTTTTCTGACTGCTTATATTCTAGCTGCACTGGCAGCTGATTAGGTTGTGCCCACCCAGATTAAGGGTAGGTCTGCCTTTCCCAGCCTACTGACTCAAATGTTAATCTCCTTTGGCAACAACCTCACAGACACACCCAGGATTAATACTTTGTATCCTTTAATCCATTCAAGTTGACACTCAGTATTAACCACCACACACATTAAAAATATAAAAAGCTGGGTGCAGTGGTACATGCCTGTTGTCCCAGTTACTTGGGAGGCTAAGGTAGGAGGATCCCTTGAGGCCAGGAGTTTGAGGTTGTAGTGCACTACAATCACACCTGTGAATAACTACTGCACTTGATCCTAGACAACATAGCAAGATCCCATCTCTATTATATATATATATATATATATATATATATAATATATATAAACAAAACAAATTCTAATGATCTATTTTGCCTACAGCATCCAAAATATTTCAATATTAATAAATATTAAAATGATTAATAAATTATTCATAAAATTTCATATCACTGTTTTCTTACTAATTCATTGAAATCATTGTACATTTGTTTTATGCTTAGGACATCTCAATTAGAGCTAGCCACATTTGAAGGGTTTAGTAACTACAGTAGCTAATGGCTATAGTATTAGATAACACAGGTATATAAATAAAAATCCATAGGAAACTCATTTATATAAATAAAATGTATTTTAAGTAGAGTGGTTCTCTATCTTTTTATATTAATATCAGATTTTATCTAAACCAGTTTAGTAAATATTTTAATGTAGAGTTCAGATAAAAGTGTGATTGTTAGCTTTGTAAGTAATGGTAGGATGTCCCTCTTTAATAAATGTCATCTTAAGTTCTTTGATATTAGTCTGAAATATGTTTCAAATATGTTTTGTAAAGTCCTTTAGTTAAGTTAAAATATCATTCCAAATGAGTTTATATATATATAACATGATGATGTAGTTTGAGTTTTTAAAGTGTTACCATAGCTAAAATGGGATTTATGAAAAACAACTTTTTATCCTGGCAATTACTATTATACTGAGGGCTCCCGTTTTGCTTTTCCTGGATCCAGTTGTCAAATTCTTATTTATTAGATTTTTTTTAAATTTCAAATTTCTGTTGCTGTTAGTATTTTTTTCTTTTTGAGGCTATATTGTATCACTATATAGTATTCTAGGTATGTAGTGCATTGGTCTCTCCAAAACACAAGTTTTATCAACCTTTTTCCTCCATGTTTTTGTCTTATACTGATGGTGATGATAGATGAGAGGCTCTGCACACCATGTAACTTATTAAAGCATAATGATAAATTTTAGTATAGAATTAAAGAAGGTAGCCAACAGGAAGGATGTAAAGAGAGGTAAGGCATGATCTAAGTAGGTAGTGTCTGCCTCTCATGCAAAGTTGAGACGACTGAGGAGTAACGTGGCCTGAGGTGGACGAGAGGGGAAGGAGGTTTTTATAGAGAGAATGGTGCCAACTCATGTGTCCCCTTTGACAGATTCTAATGCTTTCACACTTTCCAAGTAGTCATTATGTCAGAATATGTTTTTAACACTTCAACTTCCAAAATAGATTTGGTCATTTTGAAAGATATAAATACACGTTAAAGGACATTATCCAGATTCAGAAGTAACTCTTTAAATCACAATAAAGATTATTGTAAGAAAAGAACTGAAACTTTTATTTAACCACTATGTTACATTTTTATTGTCTCCATTCATTTCTTTAAATGAAAAATAAATTCTGTTTGACTTGAGCAAAACCATTTACCAAGCTCTTACTTTGAAATGAATAGGCACTGATTTTGGTCATTTGGGCAGAGATAAACAATTTAATGTTTTAATACTGTATGAGGTACAGATTAAGTGACTCAAAAGGGAAGATTATGAAATGAATATGTAAAACTTATTACATCAATTTCTTAAAAATCTTATGGTATTACTTTATGATATTCTTAAAGTATTTACCTTTTGCCTCTTAACTAAGATGAATAGCTTTGAAGAGGGAGTATGATAGAACAATCACTTGAAAATTAATTTAATTTAATAATGACAAACTTAAATTATTTAAGGGTATTTGTTGAGTTCTAGTGGACAAAAGGTGGAAGAACCATTTTAAAGCAATATATTTATGTGATTTTCTTGAGCTCTTTGGATAAAAACTACACCTTTAAAAGCTAACCATTCAGTGTACAAATTAATAATAATTTTCAGTCATTTAACTCCAAAATATGTCTGCTTTAGTATCAAAATATATTAAGCCTTTATTAGTCTTACTTAGTACCCATGTTAATACTTTTCAGTTTTCCTACCTTTGCTGTTGGTTTTCAAAGACAGCAACAAACTATATCCTTAAAGGTGTTTCTTTCTTTATTAGAGCACTTGCTTTCAAAGAGTGGCGGGGACTGCACTTTTATTCATCAATTCATAGAATGCCAGAGTGAGTACAGAGTATTTTTCACATTGATTTTAATGAAGTCAGGGGCTAAAACTTAAAAGTGAGAGGTAAAATGAGGATCTCAATGTGTTTGTTATAGCAGAAGTGCTTAAAGGGGCATCTTTAGACAGCAGCAAACCTTTTCATAACTATTTGTCTTTTGAGAAAAGTATTTCTGTTGCATTTGCCTTCACAGATGGAGCTGAGCATTTCATAATAGCTACCATAAAAAAGAGGGAAACTTTCAAGCTTGTTAAATTTGAGGTTCTTAAATAAATTTCTTAGAGAAAATGAAGCCAGAAAAATAATTATTTAGTTTGGGCACTCCATTCTGAAGATGGCCCTCAGAGTAGCAGGAGCTTTTTAGAGAGGTAGTAGCAGTAGATTGTCCTACAATCTGACCTCCACTGCCTATCCGTGGGAAGTTGTAAAAGGCTATCTTTAAGAATATTTTAAAGAGGCCAGGCGTGGTGGCGCACGCCTATAATCGCAGCTACGTGGGAGGCTGAGGTGGGAGAATCGCTTGAACCTGGTAGGCAGATGTTGCAGTGAGCCGAGATCGCACCATTGCACTCCAGGCTGGGCAACAGAGCAAGACTCTGTCTCAAAAAATATATATATTTTAAAGATGGATTGGCTTGGCTGGGCACAGTGGCTCACACCTGTAATCCTAGCACTTTGGGGAGGCCGAAGTGGGTGGATCACCTGAGGTCAGGAGTTTGAGACCAGCCTGACCAACATGGTGAAATACCGTCTCTACTAAAAATACAAAAATTAGCTGGGTGTGGTGGCAGGCGCCTATAATCCCAGCTTCTTGGGAGGCTGAGGCAGGAGAATTGCTTGAACCCAGGAGGTGGAGGTTGCAGTGAGCCGAGGTCGTGCCACTGCACTCCAGCCTGGATGACAAGAGCAAGACTGTATCTCCAAAGACAGACAAACAAACAAAACGATAAATTGGCTTTTGAAGTGATTTAGACCTCTGCTGAATTCTGAACAAAGATGTCATTAATTCCTTTTTACTTGAAAGTCACAAAAGCTGCTTAAATCTGTAACAATTGCAAGGTTATGATATTTTCTTGGTTTTGTTAAGTAAAGGTCATTGTATGTGGTAAAGATTTGTTGATAATGTCTGCGGTTTTTCCCATCAAGCAAATACTTTCTCAGGCATTCTTCTCATTCTGCTCTCCTTTCTTGGAAATGTGGTTTCCCAAGTTTTTATGCTCATAATTTCATTTTGTGGATATTCATGCATATGTGCCCCCCGCTACCCTGCCCCACTACCTCAGGAGCGCTTGGGGGTTCTATGGGTCATACCTGGTAATTAAAACAGACACAAATTCAACAAATCAAATGTTATACTCCTTAGAGATCCTTCAAAGAAACTGAGAATTTCATTTAATAGTTTTCACAGAGCTTCTGTTTTTGCAGTTTCGATACTATAATATTAAGTATAAGTTGAGTATTACTTAGAGACAATTTATTTAATAAATGTGACATATTTCTTTGTCCTTTTAAAACAATATTTGGCCGGGCATGGTGGCTCACGCCTGTAATCCCAGCACTTTGGGAGGCCGAGGTGGGTGGATCACCTGAGGTCAGGAGTTTGAGATGAACCTGGCCAACATGGTGAAACCCCATCTCTACTAATAATACAAAAATTAGCCAGGGGTGGTAGCACATGCCTATAATCCCAGCTACTTGGGAGTCTGAGGCAGGAGAATTGCTTGAACCTGGGAGGCAGAGGTTGCAGTGAGCCGAGGTTGTGCCACTGCACTCCAGCCTAGGCGACAGAGTGAGACTCCGTCTCAAAAAAAAATTAAAAAGTAAAAAAATAAATAAATAAAACTATTTATAAAGCAAAGATTAGTACATCTTTTTGTTACCTTCTGATTACTAAATCTCATTTTCATGGGAAATTGGCACAGGGTCCTGGGGCAAAATAATTGGTGTCCACTGATACCAACTAAAAGAATATCTAATCTAAAATGCAAATCTTTAGGCCAGGTGCTATGGCTCACGTCTGTAATCCTGCTCTTTCATGGGCCTAGGCAGGAGGATCCCTTGAGGCCAGGAGATCAAGACCAGCTTGGGCAACATAGTGAGACCCGTTCCTATAAAAAACTTTAAAAAATTATCCAGGAGAGGCTGGGAGCTGTGGCTTATGCCTATAATCCCAGTACTTTGGAAGGCTGAGGCGGGCTGATCACTTGAGGTCAGGAGTTTGAGACGAACCTGGCCAACATGGTGAAACCCCATCTCTACTAAAAATACACAAAATTAGCTGGGGCGTGGTGATGCATGCCTGTAATCCCAGCTACTCAGGAGGCTGAAGCAGGAGAATCACTTGAACCTGGGAGACGGAGGTTGCAGCGAGCCAAGATCGCACCACTGCACTCCGGCCTGGGCAACAGAGTGAGACTGTCTCAGCAACAGCAACAACAAAAAAATTATCCGGGAGTGATGGCACATGTATGTAGCCCTAGCTACTCAAGAAGCTAAGGTGGGAGGACCCCCTGAGCCCAGGAGTTCAAGGCTCCAGTGAGCTATAGTTGTGCCACTGCACTCTAACCTAGGCAACAGAGCAAATCCCCGTCTCTAAAAAATAAAATAAAATACAAATCTTTAGAAGAAAGATTTTTATTTTGAACTTTTAAGATTTATATTTTGAACCCTAATGAGAGCAGATAATTATCAAAAGAATGTCTACTCAGTTACAATTTGCAAAAATCCTTGTTTTATTTTGTTATTATTACTGGCTTACTTAAAACAAAACAACTTTTTGCCGGTAGTCCCAGCTACTCAGGAGGCTGAGGTGGGAAAATCACTCGAGCCTAAGGCAACATACTGAGACTCCGTCTCTTTGGGGAAAAAGAAAAAAAAAAAAGCCAGTGAGGTGGCTCACGCCTGTAATCCCAACACTTTGGGAGGCCGAGACTGGTGGATCACTTGAGGTCAGGAGTTCAAGACCAGCCTGACCAACATGTTGAAACCGCATCTCTACTAAAAATACAAAATTAGCCAGGCGTGGTGGTGGGCGCCTGTAGTCTCAGCTACTTGGGAGGCTGAGGCAGGAGAATCACTTGAACCTGGGAGATAGAGGTTGCAGTGAGCCGAGATTGTGCCATTGCACTCCAGTCTGGGCAACAAGAGCGAAACTCTGTCTCAAAAAAAAAAAAAAAGCTTTTTACTTTTTAATGTCTATTTTATTATTGAACATTTCACTTAAAATAGTATAAAATACTTAGCTATATTTGTAACACAGAATAAAGTTTGCTTTAAATATACAAAAGGTGTTTGAAGATTTTTGTTGCATCATAGTTTTGGGGGAAAATGGACCAAATAAACATGCAGAGATAGCACAGAATTTATATAAATTACACCAAATCCCTTCAGTGGGAATGTTAGAAAGTTATTAAAATGATGTTTATGAGGACTGTGTAATAGCATGAGAAAATACTAAACAGGTAGTACCTACATACAAGAAAAAAATCAAAATATAAAATCCCATTTTTGTGTACAAAGGGTGGACCAAAGAACAGCGAAAAAAACCAGGCACAGTGGCTCATACCTGTAATCTCAGCACTTCAGGAGGCAAAGGTGGGAGGATTGCTTGAGCCAGGAATTTACAGCCACCCTGGGCAACATAGTGAGACCCCATCTCTACAAAAAATTAGCTGGCCATGGTGATAACATGCCTGTGTCCCAGCTACTCAGGAGTCTGAAGCAGGAGGATCGCTTAAACCCATGAGGTTGAGGCTGCAGTGAACCATGATCACACCATTGCACTCCAGCCTGGGCTACAGAGCAAGACCTGTCTCAGAAAACAAAAACAACAACAAAACAAAAGAAAATAAGTATTCCCAGACATCTGAATCCTTTCGGTCCCTGAGTGCAAACAGAGAAAGTTTGGGCTATGAGTTCAGGTAGCTAAGGAGAGGCCTACTATTGAAATCTGTTTGGTTTCTGAGTTTCAGGTAGCAAGTAGTAAGAATTTGGTTATTGGTGATTCCAGAGGTATTTCAAAACTTTCCAAATCTGTTCGTTTCCTTAAATTTGGGTAACCAGAGTTGGGAAAGTGAGGGTTGACTCTGGTTTGACTTGTCAGAAGGGACATTTTGTCATTTTATGACATGCTGCCATTGTAAAAATTGTTGTGTTTAATAAGTATTTTTAATATTATAAGCAAGACAAATTCAGCAAATATCTTAAGTAAATTTATACTCAAGCACTTTTAAAACAATTTTGGATTACATATTAACAAGTTCACACAAGGTTTTTTGCCATTATTTTCATTGATAGGTATCTTGAACTGATTTATAATTTTGAATATGAAGTAAATATTTGTGTGCAGTGCTGCTTCATATTTCTTGTTTCCAGTCTTTTAAAAAGCAAATGTTAAATACCTAGCCTTCATTATTTATTAGTGCTTCTATAGTATAATTCACCTTGTGTTTTAAAAATTAGAAAGCAAATCATTTATTTCCATAAGGTTTTCCATGTCTGTCTTTAATATGATGACAGATTTTTCAGTTTATGTGTATGAATCTATAAGAGAACAATTTGGTTGTTGGCTCTTTCCATTTAAAAGTTGTAGAAAATAAATGAATTGAAACACATTTCAATTTGTTTTCCTTTTATGGTAAAACAGACTTTTTAAAGAAAAACTTCTCTTTTCTAAGAAAAACTTTAAATTCCAGACAAAGAAATTGGACTTTGAACAGAGATTTAAATAATGTTTTGCATAATTTCAGAACTGTAAAGTAAATATTCTCTATTAAAAGATCTTTACCACATATAATCTAGAATTAGGAAGTCACTTCAGTAAAACTTGCTAAAAAAAGCTTCAGCAATATTTTCCTCTTCAGGGATTCAGACATGAGCTTGGTTTAGGCAAAACTCCACATTTAGTGTTCTCTGCAAATTTTAGTTACTTAAAGTTTACCGTATAAACTTAATGGATACATTGAAACTTTTTGTGTTCTGCTAAAGATGTTTTCCAAATTAAGAAATAATGTATCTCTAAATCTGTTTCATACATATCCATGAACTCTGTCACTTGATTAACTTGTACGCGTGGTGGAAAGATGAAGGGTGAAAGGACATGGAGAACTGCCATCACTTGGTGGGCATAGAGTGAGAGATAGCCTTCTCTGGACTGCTGCCTGCCCCTTTGATTTCTTTTGCTACTGTCTGTTCTAATGAGGAGAGAGGCATCATTGCCAGATGCCAGAGAAATTTTCCTGAGGTCTACTTTGTAGAGACAAACTGCCCACTCCCCAAGGGCATCTCTCTCAATGGTAGAGTTAATCAGTGCCCTGAAGTAGACCTCATGCCTTTGTATTCTTTTTTTTTTTTAACACCTGAGATCTGAGGATGTATTCTTAATCCGTGTTTGTTATTATTATGAGACTTAACTTTTTGTTGTTATTAGTTTAATATTTTATGTCTTACTGTTTTTTTCCTGATTTTCAGAAAAATCTTTCTCTCTGCCTCCCACCCCCATAACTAGGAAAAATTATAGTCACTATCTGTATATGCTTTTCTCATTCCCTCCTTTCTCTTAGGGCTTTGCTCTCACATAGAAATTGCCTTATTTGGAGTAATGCATTGAATTGATGTTGCTTATGTGACTGAATGTTTATTTTTCATCACTCTGTGAGGTCAGCCTCTCAGAACAGTCTCAGTATTCTGATTACGTATTCTACTCAAAACAGATTTTTAGATTTTCATTTTGTAAACTTTTATTTCTCTAAGCCAAAGCAGTTTATGGCAAATAATAGAAAACATGTATTGTGTTTCCCTGCTCGTAATATGTTATGTCCCTGTAATAGGAAAACTCTGAGTGTCAGCTAGGTGCTGCTAATTTTATTTTTTTATTCTCAGAGTGGTTTATTCAATCTAAGATGTATTAGAGAGTTGTTTGTACTGATCATTTCCCTAGTCAGCCCACTTTCTAACATATCTACCAGATTTTCTCCCATTATAACTGCCCAGGTGACAATCTTAAGTACATGCCAGTGGTGTTTTGGTATGTGTACTGTTGCTTTTTAAAAAAGATCTGTTTCCATATTCTTGAAATTGGTCCCTTTCACTTTGTTTTCAGTCTATCTTTGAATTCTAAATGCTTTTTTCCTTCTTTTTTTTTTTTTTTTTTTTTTAAACAGAGTCTCGCTCCGTTGCCCAGGCTGGAGTGCAATGGCGTGATCTCGACTCACTGCAACCTCCACCTCCTGGGTTCGAGCAATTCTCCTGCCTCAGCCTCCCAAGTAGCTAGGATTACAGGCACCCGCTACCATACCCGGCTAATTTTTTTTTTAATGTATTTTTAGTAAAGATGGGGTTTCACCATGTTGGCCAGGCTGGTCTCAAACTCCTGACCTCAGGTGATCCACCTGCCTTGGCCTCTCAAAGGGCTGGGATTACAGGCATGAGCCACTGCACCCGGCCTCCTTCTTAAATTTTAGGACAAATAGCTTCTGGAACTGTTTTTATGAAAAGGCACAACATCTTCTATAGCAAGAGTTACTTTAACTGATTAAATTTTGCTGCAGAAATGAGTAACCTTATGAAAGTCTGTATTATTAAAACTGGGAACCTCACAGAGCCTCTCCTATGAGGTTCTATGTCTCTATTTCTGTTTTGTTAATTATTTCAGAAGGGAAATAATTTTCTGGTTTGAATACCGATTATAACAATTTGTGTATTGATATTCTAATCTCAGTTTCTTCATCATATTTTCTCTTGGTGATCTTTTAGGTAATGTTAACTCATTTCTGTTTATGATGTTTAGAATTCAATCAGAGGGATCTTGATGTGAATTCTGATGCACTCTCTCACTGGCAGTATGATTGTGGACAATACTGGGCAAATTTACCTCTTTAAACCTTGATTTCCTCATTTATAAAGTGGGAT
Organism: Homo sapiens; assembly: GCF_000001405.40. Taxonomy (NCBI): domain Eukaryota; kingdom Metazoa; phylum Chordata; class Mammalia; order Primates; family Hominidae; genus Homo; species Homo sapiens. Next base: position 57,878,608 of record NC_000003.12, read on the forward strand.
GGCAGTATCTCTCATAGAATTATGAAAATTAATTGAGATCGTATTTACTAAGTGCTCTAAGTAATGCATGACACACTGAAATGTACATTAGTTAGCAGGCAGAAAACATGTTGGAGAGGTGTAGAAGCTGTGCATAATTACCAGTATGCATGCTATTTAAAAAATTTGGTGTCAAGAACATTATTTTGATGTCCCAGTCATAGCATTTTCTTAATGAAACCCAATTTTGAGACTTAGAAATATTTTCCAGGTTGGCAGTTACAGCAGCAGATTGTCTGGTTCTTTTATATTCACTCCCTCCTCTCTTCCAATCAGTTTGTTTCAGATCCCTAGGAAACTGACATCAGTATCAGATAGTCTGTGCTATTTGGGTTTATCTTCTGCTTTAGTTTCAATTAGTTGTAGCTGTCAAGTAAGGAAAATGGCTTTTTAGCTTTAAGAACTCAATCCAATCTTGGCATAGCTGTCTCAAACTTCTGGGCTCAAGTGATCCTCCCAATTTGGCCTTTCAAAGCATTGAGATTACAGGCATGAGCCACCATATTCAGCCTCCTTTGAACTTCTTTTGAGTGTATTGTTTGTATTGTTTCTCATTTTTAATTTTATGCCACATAGTAATATGGTTAGTACATAATTTATTTCTGTCAATCAAGAAGTAAATTTGGTTCTCTCTGTTCAGTCTTTGACAAGATTTGATAGTCTTCTGACTAAATGCTTAGATGATGGTACTTACATGTCAAACATATTATACTCTCAGTTCTACTCCTTGGTAGGTTCCCTACAGAGATGCCTGTGCATCAGGTACAAATTCAAGAGTGTTCATAGCAGCATTATTCACATTAGATCCAAACTGGAAACAGCCAAAAAGACCCTCAGTAATTAAATGGACAAATACACTGGGGCATATTGGGCGGAAAAAAAGCCTGACACACTATATGGTTTTCCATTTATATAAAGTTCAAAACTACTAAAATCATATTATTTGGTCATGTATATTTGGGTAGTGTGACTATAAAGAAATATAAGAAATTAAATACCATGAAAGTCAGGATAGGCCAGGCGCAGTGGCTCATGCCTGTAATCCCAGCACTTTTGGAGGCCGAGGTGGGTGGATCACGAGGTCAGGAGTTTGAGACCAGCTTGGCCAACATAGTGAAACCCCATCTGTACTAAAAATACAAAAAATTAGCTGGGCATGTGTGGCGGGTGGCGGGCACCTGTAATCCCAGCTTCATGGGAGGCTGAGGCAGGAGAATTGCTTGAAACTAGGAGGTGGAGGTTGCAGTGAGCCAAGATCATGCCACTGCACTCCAGCCAGGGAGACAGTGTGAGACTCTGTCTCAAAAAAAAAAAAATAAAAATAAAAAGCACACAGAATAGTAGTTACCTTTATGGGAGAGGAAGGGATTTTTATTGGAGGGAAGGGCTTCCTCCCTGTGGAGGGCCTTAGGGATTGGTGGGGTGGTTCTATTCCTGACTTGGGCTGCAGTCACATAGATATTTGCTTTATGAAAATATATTAACCTATACCTTTGTGTTTTATGTTCCTTTTTGTATGTCATTTTTGTTTTGTTTTGTTTTGTTTTGTTTTGTTTTGTTTTGTTTTGTTCTTGAGACTGAGTCTCACTTTGTTGCCCAGGCTGGAGTGCAATGGCACGATCTTGGCTCACTGCAACCTCCGCCTCCCGGGTTCAAGTGATTCTCCTGTCTCGGCCTCCTGAGTAGCTGGGATTACAGGTGCATGCCACCACGCCCAGCTAACTTTTGTATTTTTGGTAGAGATGGGGGTTTCATCATTTTGGCCGGGCTGGTCTCGAACTCCTGACCTCAGGTGATCCGCCCGCCTCAGCCTCCCAAAGTGTGGGGATTACAAGCATGAGCCACCATGCCCAGACTTGTATGTCATTTTTTATAATAAATATGGTTTTAAAATGGTGGAAAATGAATAATCACCTCTCTAGAGTATTGCTCAAAAAAGAGAGTTTTAAGGCCATGTACAGTGGCTTATGCCTGTAATCGTATTACTTCAAGAGGCCAAGGTGGGAGGATCGCTTGAGTTCAGGAGTTCGAGACCAGTCTGGCCAACACAGTGAGACCATGTCTCTACAAAAATAAAAATAAAAATAAATTAGCTGGGCATGGTGGCACATGCTTGTAGTCATACCTGCCCGGGAGGCTGAGGTGGGAGGATCGCTTGAGCCCTGGAGCGGGAGGCTGCAGTGAGCCATAATTGCAACACTGCACTCCAGTCTGGGTGACGGAGTGAGACCTTGTCTCAGAATTTTTAAAAAAAGAGTTTTAGGGCTGGGCGCAGTGGCTCAAGCCTGTAACCCCGGCACTTTCGGAGGCCGAGGTGGGCAGATAACGAGGTCAAGAGTTCAAGACCAGCCTGAGCAACATGGTGAATGAAACCCCATGTCTACTAAAAATACAAAAATTAGCCAGGCATGGTGGCGCGCGCCTGTAATCCCAGCTACTCAGGAGGCTGAGGCAGGAGAATCACTTGAACCCAGGAGACAGAGGTTGCAGTGAGCTGAGATAATGCCACTGTACTCCAGCCTGGATGACAGAGCGAGACTCCATCTCAAAAAAAAAAAGTTTTAAAAAAGAAGAAAGAAAGCCTTCTACTCTATCGCTCTTTGAGTTGTACCAAGTTAGATAGGTCTTTGAAGACCTGCAGTTATCATGACAGGAAAATTCTTTCTTGAGTCTCTGAAGGGGTAAAGTGAGAGGCAGAGATCTCTGATCTCACCTCGATTGTATGTATTACACTTGTGACTCCCAAAGCATTGAGGTCTCTACACCAAGTTGGAGACTCAGTGGTTACAGACTGTTTTAAACTAGATTTTTTATTTATTATTATTTTTTGAGACGGAGTCTTGCTCTGTTCGCCAGGCTGGAGCGCAGTGGTGCGATCTCGGCTCACTGCAACCTCCACCTCCTGGGTTCAAGCGATTCTCCTGCCTCAGCCTCCCGAGTAGCTGGGACTACAGGCACGTGCCACTATGCCCGGCTAATTTTTGTATTTTTAGTAGAGACAGGGTTTCACAGTGTTGGCCAGGATGGTCTCGATCTTGACCTCGTGATGCGCCCACCTCGGCCTCCCAAAGTGCTGGGATTACAGGCATGAGCTGCTGCACCCGGCCAAAATATATTTTTTCTTTATTTACAGGCCTCTAGTGATTCACAAGATTTGAAAATATAACTTTAAATAATTTCAATGGTGATAATAGCAGCTAATTAGCCAGGAGCAGTGATTAATGCCTGTAGTCTCAACCAACTGGGAGGCTGAGGCCAGAGGATCGCTTGAGCCCGGGAGTTAGAGGCTGCAGTTCACAGTGATCATGCTGTGAAAAGCCACAGTACTCCAGCCTGGTCAATGTAGCAAGATGCCATATCTTAAATAAATAAATAAATAAATAAATGCAGCTAATCATTATTTAGTACTTATAAACCAGTACTGTTCAAACTTTTTATATATATTATTTAATCCTTTTTTTAGGATGAGGAAACACTCAAATAATTTTTTCTTTTGATCCCTTTAAACATAGATGCTCAATTGATTCATTCTACAAAGATTAATTAAACATGTATGTACCAGGCATTATTTTAACTGTTGGGGTTATTAGAAGTGAGTAAGACAAAGAAGGCTTTGCCTTCATGGAGTTTACAAGCTCTTGAGGAGACAAAAAATAATAAACCAAAAAATTAATATGTTAGGAAGTGATGAGTCCACTGAAGAAAACAAAGACTGTAAGGGGATAGGGAACAATAAAGGTAGTAATGTGGCTGAACAGATATGGGACTAAGCTGAGTTGTATGTGTGTCTGGAGAAAGTGTGTGAAATAAAAACCATATGAAACCCTAAGACTGAGATTGGAGTTTTAGAAGAACTTAAACACCTTTTTAAAATAAAAGGCCAGATAGTAAATATTTTAGTCTTTGCAGGCTGTAAGGTCTCTTGGCAGCTACTCAGTTCTGCCATTATAAGGGAAATTAGCCATGGACAATATGCAAATGAATGGACCTGGCTGTGTTCTCATAAAACTTTATTTGCTAAACAGGCAGCAGGTTGGATTTGGCCCTGTGGGGGTATAGTTGACTGACCCCTGGGATAGATCTCAAGGGACCTTGTAGGCCATGATAGGAACTTCAGATTTTTTTCTAAGGGTGAGAGAGTTTGGAGCAATAAATTACAATCTTCTGATATGTGTTTATAATTTTTAAACATGTCAGTATGTAGATCTTCAACATACTAGAGAAAGACTAGAATAGCTTTCAAAGCTATTTGTGTTTATACTATTTTATTATCTGCTGTGTTCATGTAACAGGCATTTGCAAACAACTATTATGTGTCAGAAGTGTGTTGGGAATTAAATTATTAAAAAAAAAAACTTCTCTACTTTCACCAGACCCTAAATTCCTATATTTCTCTCATTTATCTTGGTAATCCACAGTGAGTGCCTGGTGCATAGTAAATATTTGAAAGAATGAGTATATTCCCTCAAGGAATTCATAGTAAGTTGGGCAAGGTAGACATAATGAATAGTTGCAATATACCTTAAGAGAGATAGGAATAGAGGCTTAGTGAGGAGAGATTCCAAACATATTTAGGAGAAAGGAAGAGAAGATAATTTCAGTTTTAGACATGGTGAGATTTAAGTCCCAGTGGTATTTCTGGGTGAAGATGTTTGGAAAGTAGTTGGACAATGGACAATAGGGTCCTGGGGCCAAAGAATGCTAGACTTAACATCAACATTTAGAAATTACTCAAGGTAGTTAAAGCCATTAAAAAATGTTGTTGTTGTTGCTGACAGAGATCTTAAAGGCTAATGCACATATTTAGATTATAATCAGAGAAAGGGAAAGGCAATAAAAGCCTAAGAAGGAAGGAATGAACAAGCACATAAAAGTAGGAGTGAGTGATATCCTAGAAGTTAAAGTAGTAGTGTTTCCAAAGGGAGGCAGTAAACTTGATTAAATACGGTGAATGGACCCATTCATAGTAAAATATTATAAAAAGCATAAGTCACAAGCACAAGAGAATGGGAGAGAAGACTACAGTGGATAATAGATGCCAACAAAATTTTGGAAAATGTGAAACATACAATTGAGTAGTAAGAGATATGGGTTTCCACTTTCTCTTTTCTGAAGGCCTGCAATGGGGTAAAGGAAACTTCAGAAAACCAAGTTAAAACTGTGGCTAAGGGGCACTTAATACCTGTCAGGTAGGGCAGGAATGCATGGTTGCTAAAAACAGGATTAAAAGTTTATATAAGGAATAATTTGAACTATTTTCTTATTTTTCTTCTTCTTTTTTCTTTTCTTTCTTTTTTTTTTTTTTTTGAGACAGGATCTCTGCTGCCTAGGCTGTAGTACAGTGGCATGATCTTGGCTCACTGCAGCCACAACCTCGCAGGTATCGATCCTCCCATCTCAGCCTCCCAAGTAGTTGAGACTAAGGGCATACGTCACCACACCCAGTTAATTTTTCTATTTTTAGTAGAGACAGGGTTTTGTCATGTTGCCCAGGCTGGTTTCGAGCTCCTGGGCTCAAGCGATCTGCCTGCCTCGGTCTCCCAATGTGCTGGGATTATAGGCGTGAGCCACCACACCAGGCTGATACTTTGTATTCTTGTCCATGCAGACAGACAAGTATCTCTTTCTTTATTCAGAAAGACTGAAGGTTTGCTCTCTGGAGGCTGAAATGGAGAGTCTGTAGACTGGGGTATTTCAGATATGTCTGAGGGGGTAGGTATGAGCATCTCACTGGGGAAAAGTGGGAGAGTTAAATGAAAGTCTCTGTACTGAATCAGAATGCTCGTCAACAGGCTTATATTCCCCAGAAAGGCAGCTGCAGGGCTCTACTCCAGAGAAACCAATCAGACAAAGAGAAACACATATTGATACTGATATTTAAACTGTCCCAAAGTGTTTAAATAACTTAAATAGCAATTTGGGAGGCCAAGGTGGGCAGATTGCTTGAGCTCAGGAGTTCGAGACCAGCTTGGGCAACATGGCGAAACCACGTCTCTACAAAAAATGCAAAGAATCAGCCGGGCATGGTGGTGTGTACCTGTAGTTCCAGCTACTTGGGAGGCTGAGGTGGGAGGATGGCTTGAGCCCAGAAGGTGGAGATTGCAGTGGGCAGAGATCACGCCACTGCACTCCAGCCTGGGTGATAGAGCCAGACCTTGTCTCAAAAAAAAATAAAATAAAAAAATAAAAGTCTCCCAACAAACTGCCATTGTGTGGCCCAGTGGGTGTAATAAGCCCTGCAAATGCATGTAAGACTTTGTCAGCTTCTTATTGCCTCACCCTTGAATATGAAGAGAAAGCCAAGATCAGACTTTTGAGGAAATTCTTTCTTGACAAAGACAGAGATCAAACCAAAAAACAAACAAAAAAACACACACAGAAAAATGTGAGTAGGGAAGAAATAGGAAAAAGGTAAGAAGCAGAAATTTTTTTTTTTTTTTTTTGAAACGGAGTTTCGCTCTTGTTGCCCAGGCTGGAGTGCAATGGCACAGTCTCGGCTCACCACAACCTCCACCACCCAGGTTCAAGCAATTCTCCTGCCTCAGCCTCCTGAGTAGCTGGGATTATAGGCACCCACCACCACGCCCGGCTAAATTTGTATTTTTAGTAGAGACAAGGTTTCTCCATGTTGGTCAGTCTGGTCTCGAACTCCCGACCTCAGGTGATGCCCGCCTTGGCCTCCCAAAGTGCTGAGATTACAGGCGTGAGCCACTGCACCCAGCCAGCTTGTTTGTTGTTGTTGTTGTTTTGTTTTGTTTTGTTGTTGTTGTTTTTGTGTTTTTTTTTTTTTTGAGACAGAGTCTTGTTCTGTCGCCCAGGCTAGAGTGCAGTGGTGCGATCTCGGCTCACCACAACCTCCACCACCCGGGTTCAAGCGATTCTCCTGCGTCAGCCTACCGAGTAGCTGGGATTACAGGCACCCACCACCACGACTGGCTAAATTTGTGTTTTTAGTAGAGACAGGGTTTCTCCACGTTGGTCAGGCTGGTCTCAAACTCCCGACCTCAGGTGATCCGCCCGCCTGGGCCTCCCAAAGTGCTGGGATTACAGGCATGAGCTACCGCGCCCGGCCATCTTGTTTTTGTTGTTGTTGTTATTGTTGTTTTGCTTTTCGGTTTTTGGTTCTTTTTTTTTTTTTTTTTTTTTTTTTTTTTTGAGACAGAGTCTTGCTCTGTCGCCCAGGCTGGAGTGCAGTGGTGCGATCTTGGCTCACTGTAAACTCTGCCTCCCAGATTCAAGCGATTCTTCTGCCTCAGCCTCCTGAGTAGCTGGGATTACAGGCGTGCATCACCATGCCCAGCTAATTTTTGTATTTTTAGTAGAGACGGGGTTTCACCATGTTGGTCAGGCTGGTCTCGAACTCCTGACCTCGTGATCCACCCACCTTGGCCTCCCAAAGTGCTGGAATTACAGGCATGAGCCAATGCGCCCAAGAAGCAGAAACTTTTTTAAAGATATAATTTTTTTTTTTTTTTGAGATGGAGTCTCGCTCTGTTGCCCAGGCTGGAGTGCAGTGGCATGATCTCAGCTCACTGCAACCTCTGCCACCCAGGTTGAAGCAATTCTCCTGCCTCAGCCTCCTGAGTAGCTGGGATTACAGGTGCCCGCCACCTGGCTAATTTTTGTATTTTTAGTAGAACCGGGTTTTCACCATGTTGGCCAGGCTGGTCTCGAACTCCTGACCTCAGGTTATCTACCCACTTTGGCCTCCCAATGTGCTGGGATTACAGGCATGAGCCACTGCACCCAGCTTAAAAGTATAATTTTTGAAGTTTTATGGATGAAGCAAGATAAAGATGGTATTTTTTAAAGGAGCAAAATGCAAATAGAATTTTTGAAAGCTAAAAATATGATACCAGATTTTTAAAAACTGTAGGAAGATTGAGGAGAAGGTAGAGGAAATGTCCCAGAAAATATAAGAAAAAGGCAAGAGGTTTTTTTTTTTTTCAAGAGGGAAAATTAAAGAAAATTTGAGGTTTAATCCTAGAGATCTAATATATTAATAATGAATTCCAGAGGGGGAGAATAAGGGGGAGAGAGAGAATGGAATAATTTACCAATTAAGTAGAATACAAGATAATTCCCCAGAAGTGACAGATACGAGCTTATAAACTGAAAAAAAAAATGCACCGAGTACTTAGCACAATATATTTTAAATGACCACACACTAAGCCAGACACAGAATGTCATGTGTTATATTGTTTTATTTATATGAAATATCTAGAACGGGTAAATCCATAGAGATAGCAAGCAGATGTGGGACTGCCAGGGACCGGTGAGGTGGAGGTGGGGAATAAATGCTTAATGGGTATAGGGTTTTTGTTGGGTAATGAAAATGTTTTGGAACTAGGCACAACATAGTGAATATACTAAATTCTACAGCATTGTTCATATAGTTGTTTTATGTTATGTGAATTTCACCTCATTTAAGGAAAAAAAAGAGAAAAAAGAGACTACACACTGAGGAATATGAAATTTAAGAGCACCAGGAATAAAGAGAAGATTCCGAAACCTTCTAGAGAGAAACAAAGGATATCATATAGTCATAATAAGCTAAATTTATAATATAGTAATAAATAAGCCATGAGATTTTTTTTTTTTTTTTTGAGTTTCACTCTTGTTGCCCAGGCTGAAGTGCAATGGTGTCATCTCAGCTCACCTCAATCTCCGCTTCCTGGGTTCAAACGGTTCTCCTGCCTCAGCCTCCTGAGTAGCTGGGATTACAGACATGCGCCACCACATCCAGCTAATTTTGGGGTTTCTCCATGTTGGTCAGGCTGGTCTCGAACTCCTGACCTCAGGTGATCCGCCAACCTCGGCCTCCCAAAGTGCTGGCATTACAGGCATGAGCCACCATGCCCAGCCAAGCCATGAAATCTTAATGGCTCAACTAAACAAACATTTATTTCTCATTCACACTACATGTCCATGGTGAGGAAGACCACTCTGCTCCATATTGTCACTCAGAGATCTAGACAGATGGAGTCTTTACTATCTTATGATGTTGCTGTCTCAACACACAGCTTCTAGAGTTCCTGTGGTGGGATAAGGTGTAAAAAACTTAAACTTTCTCTTAAATGCTTTGGCCCTGGCTAGCATCAGTCCTATGAATCTTCCTCAGTGCTAGGGAGTTGGGATGTGCAGTCCTCCCTGATGCCCAAACAGAACAGGCAAACCAGATATTACTGAGTGCAAGAAATCCCTACTATGTGTACTGAGGAACAGGATTCAAGCTGTATTAGACTCACCTTCTGGTTGGAAGCTAGAAGACAGTGGAATAATGCTTTCAAAATTCTGATGCAAAAGTATTTCCTGTAGATTTGTGTATCTAGTCAAAGCATCAATCACATGTGAAGGTAGAATGCTAACATTTTCAGAGAAGCAAAATCACAAAGTATTTACCTTCTGTCCACCCCTTTTCAGGAAATTATAAGAGGATATGTTATAAGAAAACAGAAAGAGGAAGGTGGGGATATATGATGTGATAAATTACTTGGTGTGTTTGACAATATTGAAAGTTGTATGGTTCTGTGAGAACTTGGGCTATGTTTGAGATATATAAAAATTAATAAAACAAAAAAATGAAGCATTATAAATTCTGAGTATACCGAAGGCCATACAAGAAAGGAAATATAATTATAGCATACTATATGACTCATTATATAAAATAATTTTTCAATATAAATACTGATTATAGGCCAGGCGCAGTGGCTCATGCCTGTAATCCTAGCACTTTGGGAGGCTGAGGCGGGTGGAGGTCAAGAGATCAAGATCATCCTGGCCAACATGGTGAAACCCCGTCTCTACTAAAAATACAAAAATTAGCTGGGTGTGGTGGTGCGCACTCATAGTCCCAGCTACTTGGGAGGCCGAGGCAGGAGAATCATTTGAACCCGGGAGGCAGAGGTTGCAGTGAGCTGAGATTGTGTCACTGCACTCCAGCCTGGTGACAGAGTGAGACTGTCTCAAAAAAAAAAAAATAGTGATTATAGATTGACAAAATGCAACTCTTGAGGATGGTAGTAGAAAATGGCAAAATTTAACCGTGTAAAATAGATTCTCAATAAATATCTAAAATGGAAAAATAAAATCAATGTATTATTTAGAAATATAAATGTAAGTATCAGAAGAAATGGCTAAA